>NC_000008.11:22587375-22890405 GCF_000001405.40 Homo sapiens | reverse complement strand
TGACATAAAGTTCCTAAAATTCTAGAGAATCGCTGCCCAAAGTGTGGTCCGTGGACCAGCAGCATCGGCATTCCCTGGCCACTTGGTAGAAATGTGCCATTGCGGGCCCCATCCAGACCTACTGAACTGATGTCTGCAGCTTAGTGAAAGTCTCAGACTCTTGAGTGTTCATTACTGCAGTTTCTCTCTTGGATGTTCTCTTGCCTTTCACCTTCAGCCCCTGGATTTCCTAGAGCGCAATTGTTGCTGAGTCCCCAGGGGAGGAAGCTACCTCTTCTCCATCACCTATCTCCTTCCAGGGCTCTCTGTCTCTGTGCCTGTTGAGAGTGGCAAGTACTGGCTCATGTTCTCCTCACTCCTATCAAGGAGCATGAGGTCTTCCAGGTAACATCTGGTGGTGCTCAGCGGCTTGCTCAGAGACCTCAATATTGCTTGGCTCAACCAAAAATAAATTGGAAAAGAAAATTGAACATTGCATCAATTTGGAGCAAGTTTATAAATTCTGCAGCTAAGCAATACCAATAGAAAATGATAGATCGCCACCGAGCAGGGCGTCCCTGCAGTGATGTATAGTCACATTAGCTGAAATACCGTATTACATGATTCTGCTTTATTACCAGTGTTGGTGGCAGACAGAAAAACAGATTACACTTGAGTTCAAATCGATAGGAACTTTATTTACCGGCCTTTTAAAAACATATTTCTGCACTTTATAAAAACATATTTCTGCACTTTATAAAAACATACGGTAGATGCTATTGATAGAGGTTGTCTGCTTGTTAAAAAGCAATTTGCCCAAAACGAGGCTTTTAAGCTGTAATTTACGGCATTACCTTTTACCTCCTTTAAGGGTTCTGTTTGCTTGGCTGTGCTTTGACGACTTCCTTAGACTTCTCTTGCCTTTAATTTTTCTCTCCCATTTACCATCTCCCTAAACTCTGAGCTCCCCGGAGCCTTAGAGCAGAAAGGAGAACAGGGTAGCATCTTCTGAAGGGGACTGGGGTCTCTCCCCAAAGCCCAGCTTCCACCTTCCTCTTCTCAGCCCCTGCATTGTTCTGGATTTTGAGGGGGCTCAGATGGCCCAGCCTCTGCCTCCTGCTGTTTCTCACTCCCATGGTCTTCTTTTCCTCCTTTTCCCAGCTCCAAAATGGGTGCTTCTCTCCCGAGCTCTGATTTCAACAAATCCTGTATGGTAGGAAAATTATCCCCATTTTGTAGCTGTGCAAACTCAGGCTCTCAGAAGTCAAACCCAGGTCTTTTGAGTCCAAATCAAATCAAGTCATTTTCGAGGTTTGAAGATTGTGCCCGGCAGTAAGCCTGGTGCTATGGGAATGCAGAGAGCTTATGATCCACTTGAGAAGACAAAACAAACATACTTTTGAATAAACTATGAGAGGTACTTCTCAGTGGTTAAATCACATAGTGACTGAGCATATGGGAGTTTGCCGAAGCCTGGAAGGCTTCCTGGCGGAGTAAGCCTGTGGCCAGGATTAGCCCTGGGTTAGCCAGGAAAGCGGAGAGATGGGAGCTCCCAGCATGGGGAATAAGGTGTAAGAATCCTGAGCCCAGCACTTCCTGACATGGAAGAAGAGAAGGCCTGGTGGCGTGCTGGACAGAAGTGAGGAACCAGTCAGCTGGGCACAAGGGCCTGGTGGCAGAGGCCCAGAACACTGAGATTTGATGGGGACAGAAGTGAGGCATTGCAGGTTTCTGGGCACAGGAATAGCATGAAATTAATGGTTTAGGAAGATGATGTCATAGTGATGTGTGAGATTCTGGTTGGAAATCTGGGGATGCGGTACCAGTGCCCCTGAGCAAACTGGTGTGGCCCAGCCCAGGAGGGCTCCAGAAGCCTGGCCAGAGATAGGCAGAAGCCACGGCCACCTCACTTACAAGCCCCACCCTCATAGCAGGGGCCAAGACTGAGGGTTCTCCCGTGGCCGGTCCTTTTAGAACTGGATGGGTTGGGGCATCCGGTAATCCCAACACTTTGGGAGGCCGAGGTGGGCAGATCACCTGAGGTCAGGAGTTCGAGACCAGCCTGGCAAACATGCTGAAACCCCATGTCTACTAAAAATACAAAAATCAGCTGGGCTTGGTGGCACGAGCCTGTAATCCCAGCTACTCAGGAAGCTGAGGTGGGAGAATTGCTTGAACCTGGGAGGTGGAGGTTGCAGTGAGCTGCGATCATACCACTGCACTCCAGCCTGGGCAACAGAGCGAAACTGTCTCAAAAAAAAAAAAAAAAAAGAAGTGGGTGGGTTGGCCAAACATCCTAGGTTGGCCCTGCATCCAATAAGTTATGTCCTAAAGAAGATGTGTGGAGTCCCCTGCAGGCCACCACAGGGGAAGACAATTAACTGGAAATAAGTAGACAGCAATTAAAATGAGAGCACTCACTCCCTTTTTATTGTCATTGTTGTTGTTATTAAATTATTTTGAGTTAGCAGGTGTACAGATAAGGGTCACAGTGAAAAGCTAACCTCCCTCCCACTCAGTTACCTACTGAAGCAGCTCCTGTTCCCAGCGTGTGCATGCGCGCATGCGTTTGTATTCTCCAGAGACACTTCAGAGGGTTTCTTTTTAAAGACAATAAACTAAAAAGTGCTAGAGAACATCATAAAACTTCATTCGGTAAATACGTTCTTTGAGATGGTCTTGCTCTGTCACCCAGGCTGGCAAATATGATCATGGCTCACTGCAGCCTCGACTTCCTGGGCTCAAGCGATCCTCCTGCCTTTGCCTCTCTAGGAGCTGGAACTACAGGCGCACACCATCACACACGGCTGATGTTTAAAGGTTTTATAGAGATGGAGTTTTTCCATGTTGCCCAGGCTGGTCTCAACTCCTGGGCTCAAGGAATCCTCCCACCTTGGCCTCCTGAAGTGCTGGGATTACAGGCATGGACCACCACACCCAGTCTTATTTGGTAAATATTATAAAAATATACTAGGAGTGGCTGGGCACGGTGGCTCACGCCTGTAATCCCAGCACTTTGGGAGGCCGAGGTGGGCAGATCACCTGAGGACAGGAGTTTGAGACCAGCCTGGCCAACATGGTGAAACGCCATCTCTACTAAAATTACAAAAATTAACTGGGCATGGTGGCAGCCACCTGTAATCCTAGCTGCTCGGGAGGCTGAGGCAGGAGAATCGCTTGAACCCAGGAGATGCAGGTTGCAGTGAGTTGAGATCGCACCATTGCACTTCCACCTGAGCAACAAGAGCGAAACTCTGTCTCAAAAAAAAGAAAAATTATATATATAGAAATACACACACACACACACATACACACACACACACACACACACACACACTAGGAGTGTCCTCAAGGCCCAGTAACTTGGGAGGATTGAAAAAAATAAATACAAGAGATAAGGAGAAAAATAAGGAGAGATGAGTCACAATTAGACTAACAGTCCCATCCCCTCCCCTACACCCTGCAACTTTGCTTTGTGACTTGAGCAGCGTCCCACCCCACCCTGGGGTGATCCCTGGGCCTCCTCGAATCCCTCTGACCTTACCCAGGAGACCCCTGCCACAGCAGACAGTGCTGCTAACTGCTCCCTCAAACACCCACCTCTGCCCCTACCTGAGAACTCCCCAACTTCTGGGCAATGTGCCCAGTGCCAGCTGCCAGCCAGGTGGGCCACCCCATCTCAGGTCCCTGTCACTGTCCCTGTTGCTGCTGTGTGAGGAGTCGGGGCATGCCAGGTGCACCAGAGCTCTCAGTGCACCTGCTGGGCCACTGCTCTGGGGCAGCAGGATGTTTGGGGGCTACAGTCTTACCCCAAAGGGCTGCAAATGGCAGGGTCCTGCATGGCTCCAAACTGAAAGAGGTTACACCTCTCCCTGCCCCTGCATGTTGGCCTTGACCTGGACTTGACATGTGCTGAATGCTTGCTACATGATTCCATTTAACCCTTACACCTCCATGAGACAGGCATTGTTTTCAGCTGCATTTTAAAGATAAGAAAGTCTAGACTTGGGGAATTTAAGAAGCCTTCAAGGTCCCACAGCTGCTAACTGACAAGACGATGGGATGTATTACACGCCTGGTCAGATTCAATGGCTGTGAGGTGTGTTGAATTTCCTCTTGACCAGCATGGATGGAAGAGCCGCCTTTCGCCTCTTCCAGAACTGTGCCGTGTTTCTGAACTCCATGGTTGGTGGCCGCTTCTGATCACTTCTGTCTTGCCTGTCTGTAAAGTGCAGAAATAGACCCTGAACGCCTGTGGGAAGAAACGCTTACTCATTTGACAGTCCTAGCACCGAACAGATAGTTATTCTGGAGCAGGGAGTCAGTATTTGTCTAGTAAGGGTTTCATTGTTGAAGAAATGATTGATGAGTGAGCAAGTGAGTGAATAAATGAATCAACAGGTGAGTACAACTTCCCTCCTTAACCCGTAATTCCATGTTAGTCACAGGAGAGAAGTGAGCCTGTCTCCTGCAAAAGGATGCATAAGTCAACCCTGCAGGCGGTCTGTGACTAGGAAGCCAGGAGGCCGGTTCTTGGGGTGGCCTATAAGCTGGTACGAAAGCAGTTCCCAAACTCAGGTGCTCCCCTTCTCTTGCACACAGACGGTGTGCCTGGGACACAGAGCTGGCTTCCCAAGAGGACCTGGTGAATACCCACGAGGCGTATTCATCTGCATGCATGAGTCCTGACTTCTTTCAGAAGCTCTCTGGAGACCTTGGGCAGAGTAGCTTCACTAGCAACAGTGCTGAGGACGCCAGGAAGTGGAGATGTTGTCCACAGACTGTCTCTTGTGTCCTTCTAAGCTGGGCATCTTCTGAGGCTTTTTCACACTGAAACGGAAGAGCACAGCTCCTTTGCTTCAGGCAGAAGGTGAGTGCCAGCTCCCTCACATACTCGGAGGACTCACAGTTACGTCGTGTGCCTGGTGCTGGGGACCAGCAGCAGGTGTAACCCAGCTCGGCAGTCATAGCAGGGAAAGGCCAGTGCCAGCCTGCTGCTTGTACTTGGTCGTGGAGGCAAAGGGCGGGTGCTGGAGTCTGCCAGACCTGGGCTTGAATTCTGGGTCAGCCCTGTACTATCTGTGTGACTCTGAGAAAGTCATCTAACCTCCTGAGCCCCAGTTTCTTCATGCGTAAAAGGAGGAAATAAGAGAAACCATCTCATGATTGTTGGAAAATTTAGATGAGATGATTTATGTGAATTCCTCAGCACTCATAAGCTCTCAATAAACAAGAGCTCTCTTTATGAACTGGCATCAAGCAAGGACGGTGTTCATCTCCTGGGGCCGGGTAATACTCATTTCAGTATCGTCACAGTCTCCTTGCATTGCATTGAATGCACCACTTGGTGCAAAAAGCTTCTCTTCTTACTGCCAACAAGTGTCCACTTCATTTGGGGAGAGTGCATTGAACTCTGATAGATGTAACCTGATAGTTATCTCACAGTAAGTGCTGCTGTGATTCAGGATGGAGATAACACCACAGGGTGGGGCTTTCTGGAAGAGGTGAGCTTGGCCATACTTTGAAGGATGGGCAGGACTT
Source organism: Homo sapiens (assembly GCF_000001405.40). NCBI lineage: Eukaryota > Metazoa > Chordata > Mammalia > Primates > Hominidae > Homo > Homo sapiens. Next base: position 22,884,885 of record NC_000008.11, on the reverse strand, counting down.
GAATGAGCAGAGATTAAAGGGGAGAGTTTTTTCAGGTGAGATAAAGGGAATAAGACAGATCCCAGACCAGGAGGCAAACATTCACATTGGAGGATGCAGCAAAATTAAGGAGAGGACATTGGGAGAAGAGAGAGAGGATGTTGAATTGAACTTATGTGAAGGCTGGGGACAAGGAAGAAAATGCTCATCGGGGAACAAAGGAAGTCAGAAAGCACCCCGGGCTGGGGGAAATGGCCCTTTGTCAAGGGGGTGGATGCTGCCTTTGGAAGAGGTTCTTTCTTCTCCCTTTCCCCCTCTTGGTGCTCTCAAGTCATGCACTGAGTGAGTCTTGTCAACCAGCTCTTCCCTGATTAACTCTCCTCCCGGAGCCTTAAGTCACGATCTGCACTTGCTTCTCTGTAATAGCCAGGTGAACCGTGCCATCCCACTAGGAGAGAAGAATGCACATCCTGACATTCTAATAGGCTCAGCAGCAAAGACAGTGCTATCATCGTGGTGGTGACAGCAGGCTCCAAGCCCTGCCAGGTAGTTTTCACAACTTTCTAGTCATCCTTGTCTTATTAATTAGGAGAGTCTATCTCATAGATTTGGGGCTATAAATCTCAGATAACAGCTCTTCAACCTTCATAACTGCTTCTAACTAGGTGGTAGAACCAGGTGCATTTCATCTTCATTTTAAAGAGGTCCCTGTGTCTGCTCTCTGTGTGGGAGCCCTCTCTGCAGGATGGGAGCAAGAGGAGCTGCTGATGATGGCAGGCAGCGGGACATTTTCTACGTGGCTCTTCACTGGCCTCCAAAATTGCCAACTCTTCAGCCCTTAAGTCAAGATGCATCAACTCCAGCCCCTTCCCTGGTTCCCTTCTCAGATTGGAGGACACGTGTCCGGGCATCGGAAGCCTTTGCACTCCAACATAAATATGTGTGAACCCTGGAGCGGAGAATTGGTGAAATCAGCTGATGGTGGAGTTGTCCCCCCTTTTTTTTGTATCCCCCGCAAATAGTATACAGTAATCAAAATTTAAGCCACCTGAGATGAAATAATTGCTTAACAATCATATAAGACAAAATGATTCAACAAATGACAATGAGGCCCTGTGATATACAGAACAGATGCATTCAGTGTACCATATTATAATGCGCTAATACAAGATTGACAGCACAATAATAGGAGTGAGCAGCAACTCAGCCTATAATTCCAAACCAAATGTGAGGCTGTCCACGGAACTCAAATCCTAGCAGGCTGCAAAATTAGAGGTAACACCACGCAAGGTTCAAGACGACTCATTAGCAGGTTGGCAGAGTGTTTCAGGAGCAAATTTTTCTGTCGAAGGAACTAATTTTGTGCCACCTTCAGCTCACCTTTTTTTTTTTTTAAGTGTGCAGATACAACCTTCCCTGGAGAGGGATGTGGGGGTGGGAGGTTGAGATCTGGCCAGAGCCCCTTGGGGCACAGGGAGATCAGGTCACTGGTGTGGGTTTTTGAGTGGGTTTGAGTATTGGGACAGTGATCTGGGTGTGTTAATGGGTGATGCAAAGCAGTGGTGATGTGGCAAACACTATGCAGGCTGATCTCAGTGTGAGAAACTGATGGGACTTTCTGCTGCCTCCTTGGGGCTGTTCTCACATCAGAAAGTGTTTGGATCAAGGATATAATGAAGGATAATTGTGATAAGCATCCTTCCAGGTCCGAATCTCTGAACCTTTAAGCAAGCATCATAATCCCTGCTTTCTATAGATGCCCCTGTTGTTTTGATGGTGTCGGGGATTTGTTTTAATCAGGTGTGGGAAGACATGCAGACACAGAAATGGCTCTCATGAAGGAGGAAGTTTTATAATCACAGATCCCTAGAGGCAGGGGGTATGTCTCGCAGGGCCACATGGGGGATACCCCAGGCTCGGTTGGGAGGCAGAGGGAACTAGGGAAAAACCTGAGTAGGAGTCTTCATCGTGGGAGGAACAGGTGGGGTAGGGTGAGCAGGGTTGGGTTGGTTAGTATGAATCATTTCAATAGGCTCTGGGTATAAGGACTGTTCCTAGTGGTCTAGTACCCACCCTGGGGTGGTTTGGGCAGGTGGATAGTGGCCTGGAGTGTAAAAATCTGATAGAGGAGGTGGTTGGTGGTATGGGCACTGGACTGGTAGGTTTTCATAAGCAAATTGTTCTCACAGAGGAGTTTCCTATTTCTAGGAATTAGCCCTGGGAGGGGCAGTCCCTCCAGGATCAGTGAGGCCCCAAAATGTCAAAGCACAAAAATTACAGAATAAAAAGACACGATTAATACACCTTCATAGTTTCACATTTGCGGCTGCTTTCTCTCCGGGAGCCACGGTCCCTTTTCTGCCAGTTTGAGGCCTCCCTCTGTTCATGATCAAAATAGGGCATGGTAGCATCACCATGCGTGCATGACAAAAAGTCGTGGTACATTCTCCACACCACCCCAAATCCTGGATCTGTGAGGTCAAGAAAGAAAAGCACCCACCTCCCTTCAACTGGGACCCCCTGCTGGCTCCGCCCCCCTCTGCTCAGTGCAGGGCTGCCTGGGTGTGGCCAGCACTGTCTGGGTCACTGGTGCTGTTGACGCACACTTTCCTAGAGTTGGACTAAGACATCCCATGTCTCCAGTTCTGCCAATAACAGGCTGTGGGCCTTGGCAAAGCTGCTGTGATTTCCTGTGTCCCCATTTCCTTCCCTGAAAAGTGATAGGATGGATCCCAGTTCTAAATGCTTATTTTCTCTGAAGAACTGGGGAAAGGATAGGGAGAAGCAGGAAAAAGGTGAATGAGATGGAGGGCTGGGGGGTTCTCTAATCTTCACAGAAAACCAGTGACAGCCACATGTTGGAGAAGCCTCCCAGGTATCATTGACAACCCCTTCCTCATCTGCCCCATTGAGCCAGGGATGGCAGTGATTCAACACCCACAAGGTAGCCAGGCTTCTACGCTTATTACCTTGAGTAATTCTTACAACAGCCTGAGGACAGAGTAGCCACTCTCAGCACCATTTTACTGCTGGGGAAACTTAGGTGTGGAGAGGTTAAGTCAATAGTCCCCACCTGCTCACGGCCACACAAGTAGTAATGGAGCGTGGCCTCCCACTCCACAGTTTCATCCCTAATTGCTGTATGCTACTGCCTCCCTCTGTCATGGGCAGGATCATCCATGTAGGACTGGATGGCTTGAGTGTGATCCAGGCAGCAACAGAGATTCATTCCAGGGGGAGTTATTCCAAAGAGGGAGAGTGAATCCCAAAGGAGAAGCATTGCCCCATGGGGAGAACGCTATTTGGAACTTAAGGGATTTCCACTAATTTCTTCTCTTAACAAGTATTTTGTGTCTATTAGATACCTGGCATGGCTCTAGGCACTGGGGACATACAACTGCGAGTGAGATGGTCCCAGTCCTGCACTCAGGAAGTTTTCAGCCTGGCAGAGCAGGACAGACATAAGAAAAGTGAACAGATAAATACAGTAGCTGCAGGAAGCCCGAGTCTGAGGGGCTCTGGCCTGTCTGCATCCAGGTCTGTAAGTTGGCCAGCCTTGGACACTTGGAAAGGCACAAGTCCTTGTAGGTGATAGGAAGGTCTGAGGAGCCAAAAAAGAGGGTGAGAGGCACCCCAAAATGAGCAACTACCGCCCTTAGGCTGGATGGAGAAAGGGAGGATGTGGGATTGGGAGAGTCCAGAAACTGGGGCATCCCTGGGGACACTGGAGCCCTGTGGGGCCCCATGGACACACTCAAGGCCACAGTCACTTTTGGACGCCAAGAGGGAGAGGTAGGAATATCCTGGCTTCTTCTTCCCTCCTGCACTTTAATTTCCTGCCAGTACCTCTAGATGGCTCAACCCAAACTAAATCCAGAGGATCTGGGAAGCCTGGGAAGTGCAGCCATGGGGGTCAGTCCCCACCTCTTCCCCCAGGCAGAGCAGAGCAGGAAGGGTGGTGGGACCTGGCAAGGGCAAGCAGGGCCCAGGCCCTGGCCCTGGCCCCGTGCTTCCCCTTCTTTGGGGACTGCATCAAGGTCTTGAGGTCTATAGAAGCTCCTGGTGGGCTGGAGAACCAGTGGCTTTGAGCAGAGTCTGGGTCTAGGCTGCCCCTGCCAGAGCCCCAGTGGGTCCCTCCCCACCCTCACTGGTCCACCTGGGCCACTCCACATCCATCTCTGCATGGCCGAGAGAAGGCTGCAGAATGGGGAGGAAGGTATCGGGAAGGGCAAGTAGGGAGAGCACCTGGCGGAGAGGAGGGCACGGGCCACCTGGAGCTGTCCCCAGAGCCCACATGCACCTGCCATACAGTAGGCACCTGCTCAGTGAAGGGATGGAGATCCGGTTCAGGAAGGGTCTCAGCATCAGAAACAAAACACGTACACCAACAGCTGCCCTGAAAGAGAAGTCAATGCGAGTGTAAAGCTGGTGATCGCTGCCTCAGGAGCGGTTTTGAACAAGTTTTTCCTTTAAAACCCCAGGGCGGCCATCTATAGCCCCCATCTGCATCCTCCTGCCGAAATAACAATACCTCACATTTATAGAGCCCTTTGAGCTTCTCAAAGCAAGTTCTCATGTCATTTGACCCTCACAAAAGCCCTGTGAAGTAAATGGCAGGGACAGTAGTTGAGGTGGCTAAGGTCACATGGGCACCCACTGAAGAGGTGGGGCCCACTCAGGGCTGCTGTCTCGCCTTCTAGCTGAGTCTCCCCTAGGCTCGAGTGCCTGTGCTTTGTCACCCCTCCCAATCATCCACTCCTTTCAGGGTCCTGGCCCTGGGCAGAGCCCCAGGCGGCTCTCTCCTCCCCATCCCCTTGCTCAGGCCCCACTTTGGGTAGAGCTATTCCCACTTGAAGCCAAATTTGGATGCATGTGGCAATCTACTTTTCAGTCTGAGAGATCAAAAGGAACAATATTTTCATCTGCGGAGACAACCGCCACAACAAAAATGGTGCTTAACACCCTTTTCCCAAATGCAACATACCCCTCTGTGTGCCATAGAATCTTACCATATTTTGCCATGAAATAAACACACCAGAAAATTTTTTTCTTCTGTGGAAGAGGATGGAGAAATTTTGGTAATTAAAACTCCCATCGATCAATGCTTAGATCTCAGAGATAATTGCATTGCTGCTGCAGATGTTTGTTGAATTACACAGTTTTATTTTCAAGCGTGTGTGTGCCTTAAGGCCTGAAATCACACCTCCCCCGGTGTGAAGCACCCCTGGGCAGGCTCCCTGTCCTCCCCGACCCTCGACCCTCGTGGGATAACGTGGTGACAATAGCCCGGTGGTAGTCCTGGCTCTGCCTCCAATTAGCTATATGGGAATGAGCCTGTGATCTATCCTATCTGGACCTCAGTTGCTTCTGTAGATTGAAGAGCTGGAATTGGAAAATCTCAAGGTTCTTTCCCTCTTTTGATGTTTCTTGGAGTCAACATTCCTTTTGAGAGGTGTTCTTCTCTCCCCACTGGCTTGAAATCTCATCTCTGCTACTCACCAATTCATGCGTTCACAAGACGTTTACTGAGTGCCCTTTTTTCGGCAGGTCCCATTGTGAGGCTTGAAAGTACAAGGGTGACTAAGATATAGTTCCCACCTCTGGGGCGCTCACGGCCTGGTGGGATAGGCAGTCCAGAAGCAGACATGTCGCAATGCAATATGTTGAGTGCTGTTCTGTCAACATTGAGAGCGTTGAGGCCACACTCTCGTTCTGTGGCCTCACACAGATCAGTTAAACCTCCATGTCTGGTCTTCATCGTCACTGGGGATATTTGCTTCCCTTCCTAGCTGAGATCTATTCACTGTGAGTGGGCTCTGAGATGAGATTAGGATAGAGCATAGTAAAATGTTTCCCATGGGGAAGGGCTTGTCCTCTCTTTCAGTCTCTAAAGAGATGAAGGAACACAGAGGAGATACCACCCGCCCCATAGCCACGCTAAGCTGGGAACAAGAACTATAATTTTTAGCTCATCCCCCTACCCGGTGCTCTGTGATAAGAAACCAGCCCAACATCATTCTGGATGCCCTCTTCCAGCCTCCAGGGTCTGCCCGTGGTGGCTTAACTGTGATGACAGTTAAAATGCAAGAATACTTTCAAAAGGAGGGCTATTTTCCCCTTGGCATCCAGCTTGGCCTAGACATCCAGTTTGCTCTCTGTTCCCTGAGCTCCAAGCCTCCTCTCTGATGAAGCCAGGGAATGCACCCCTGTTTGGAGATCCTGTGCTCTGCCGACTTGCTCAGGCTGGCCAGTAGCAGAGTCCGAGTGAGCATCCCAGAGGAAGGAGGCCAGAGTACCCAAACCCAGAGGTGCCAGGCCCGGAGAGGGAAGCCCTCCCCACCTGTCTGCGCTTTGTGATTAGATATGAGCAATAGGGTAACTCACAGGCAGCAATCTCAGTCACTTGGTGTGTCAGGTAAACTGACGGGCAGAAAAGTGAGAAAGCACCACTTGGAAACCCAAGGCCACTGCCACACGGCCGGGTCCTGCCACCTCTCAGAGCCCTCCCACTGAGCATGCACTGACCCTCCACCCTCTCCCGCAGAGCCCATGCTGGTCTGACCTGCAGGATGTGTTTTCCGTAGAGGCCCCCAAATACCATCTTACCAGGCCAGTCCCCTACTATATTCTCTAACCTTAAATTCCAGGGATTCCGCCCCTCCCTCCCTCCCTCCCTCCCTCTCCCCCTCCCTCTCCATGCTCACCCTCCACCCCCTTTCCCTCAGGAGCTGCTCCTGTACCTGGAGTAGATTCACCTGCAAACACTCAGCTTGCAGGAGCACAGCAGACTGGGGAGTTTCCTTTCCCAGCCAAGCTGAGTTTGGAGGGGGGTGTGGGAGGAGGTGGGGAGGGCTGGGGACACAGGTTGAGTCTCTAAAGAATGAGGACTGCATTGCCTTCTTCCCTGCCTCCTGGTTACAGCTGAGAAAGTAACCAACTTCGTGTGTGTCTGTGTGTGTGTGTGTGTGTCTGCGCACGCGTGTGCAGTGTATGGATGCACAGACGGCCCCTCCATGGTGGGGTGGGGAGCCGTTCTCTCACCCTGCAGCTTTCTGCCTCTCCCTCCACCCTCCTCCGACTCCCTGCGTCCCACACTGCAGGTGTCTCTGAGGCAGTGTTTATGTAAGCAGCTCATGTTCTGCCGAGCGACAGCGAGAAGCTGTTGTCAATTCGAGGAAAGCCCCCGGCTGCCCACATGTGTGGTTGTCCCCGTGGGTTTCATAACAGGAGGGGGAGGTGGGGAGGTGGGGTGGTGGGCCCCTGGGGTGAGGGTGGCTGGGCTCAGCCCAGCCCAGGAGCCTCCTCCCCGCTGCCAACAGTGAGCCCGCCCGTGTGTTCACAAGCTGCTGGCCTCACCTCCTCTCCTCCCAGCTAGTTTCCCAGCCATTTGGCTACGGAGAGACAAAGTCAGTGCCTCCTGGCTCTGGCTGGCTCTGCCCAAGAATGTAGTACTTGGGTCGTGCTGGGCTACTGGAGTCAGGGCAAATAACCTGACATTTTGAAGGCACAAAAGTCCCAAGGACCTGCCAACCAACCAGGAGGTTGGTTTGATTCTGACCTCAGAATCAAAACATGGACCTGACGTTTTGATTCACAATAAGGACACGTAGCCCCATCATCTTTCTATTCCAAAGTCAGCTGTCCTCACCTGGACAACTGAGGACAGGGAGAGACTGGACAAAAAGGGCTCTTAGCCATTACAGTAGAAATGGCTGGGACACCTTATCCCTGAGGCTGAGGGCTGTTTGAGGATTCCCATTCAGCACAGCCTGGTTTGAGGAGGAAAGAAAAGACCAAAACATGGTGTCCACTTGATATGTTTATAAGGGTGGAATAAACTCCCTGAAACCCAAATCATAATTCAAATAGCTAATATATATGGAGTGCTTTTCTGATCCAAGCATCATGCTATGAAATGTACATTTCAGTCCTGGCAAAGACTTAATGAAGGAGGCACTATTAGCCTCATTTTAAAGATAAGGGTCCAAGGCCCAGAGAGGTTGAATAACTAGTCCAGCCTCACACAGCAGTTAAGGGAGAGGTTCTCCTTTCTACCCTGAACATTAACAGAAATGTGTTTACATTTTCTGGCTAACCAAGCCAGATTTTGGCTTTGCTCCAAGGAAGCTAATGTCCCACCTGAGAAGTAGCTTTGTTTAAACAGTGGAGAAAATAATTCCTAACTCATTTATTTACTTCTAATTTTACACTTCAAGTGCTGTTTATTTTCACAACAACACAAGCGCTATAAACATACACTGTCATCGATGAAGCACGTTTGTGAGGTGCCCCTGGGCTGCAAGTTGAGGTAGAGACAGAACATGTCATCACTGGTAGTGCCTTCATCACTGGATGGTGACCTCTCTCCTGAGTTTCTTGCTTTTCAAGTGCTCCCAAGTATTGTCCTGCCAACCCTCTCCTGGAATGAGGCCAAAAAGAAAATCCTGAGCACTGGAAGAATACGCTGGATACTGTCTCTTCTGGGTGGTTCATCCTTTCAGTCCTTCAACACACACTGGATGCTGTTAATTTCACCATGGGCCGTATGCACTGGTGATGCAGAAAGTGCTGAGATCTGATCTCCACCCTAGAGGAGGCTGGCAGAGCCAGTAGACACGCCACCGTTGTACGCATGGTACGTGTTAGCAGCTGCGGTAATAAGGGAAGAAGTGGTTGCAAAACAGGTGACATCTGTCGGCCAGGCCCAGTGGCTCACACCTGTAATCCCAGCACTTTGGGAGGCTGAGGCTGGTGTATCACTTGAGGCCCGGAGTTCTAGACCAGCCTGGGCAACATGGCGAAACCCCATTTCTACTAAAAGTACCAAAATAAGTCATGTGTGGTGGTGCATACCTGTAATCCCAGCTTACTCCAGTGGCTGAAGTGCAAGAATCACTTGAACCTGGAAGGCTGAGGTTGCAGTGAGCCAAGATCACACTACTGCACTTCAGCCTGGGCGACAGAGTGAGAGTCTGCCTCAGAAAAAAAAGAACAGGTGACATCTGAGCAGAATCTTGAAGCTAAAAATTCTAAATCTAGAAAGAGCATTGCCGGTAGAAGGAAGACTCAATGCAATACCAAGATCTGGAAAGACCAGGGTGCAAGTAGAAGTGTGGCTTGAGACTTCGCCGGGTTTCTGGACAGTGCGGGTGGGTGACGTGCTGGGTGACAGGCAGGAAGGGTAGGCTGGGGCCAGTTTGTGAAAGCCTTGGGGACTGGAACTAGACAACCTGGACGCTAATAATTCCCAGCTTCAGCCTTCGCAGACGACAGGGGACTAAGTCAAGACTAACTGTGAAGCGGGGTCCCAAGTGTTTACGTTAGAGACAAGAAGTGCCAAAGTTTGTAAGCAGTTTCCTCTTTTAATAAAAAAATAAAAAGGAGTGGGGCTCAGAACAACAGACACTGGGATCTATTTGAGGGGGAAGGTGGGAGGAGGGAGAAGAGCAGAAAAGATAACAATTGGGTACTGGGTTTAATACCTGGGTGATGAAGTAATCCGCACAACAAACTCCCATGACACGAGTTTACCTATGTAACAAACCTTCACATGCACCCCTGAACCTAACATAAAAGTTAAAAAAAGAAGAAAGGGGAAAAAGAAAATAAAAGGGGCTCACATATACATTATTTCTAAAATACTATCCTATGCGATTTCAAGATTAGAGAGAGGAAGGAGTGAGTTCCCTTTTTGTGAGCAGGGAATTGTGTTGAGCTTGCAACTCATCAGGCACCTGAGTCTCGGGGGCGAAAAAGCACAGCTGGCTCCGAGGGCTAAATTCATTATTTCACTAACGAGGCTGAGTCCTGAGGTGGCGAAGGAAAAGGATGGTCAGGCTGTGAGTATATGGGCTGAATGGAGAAGCAGAGAAGAAGTCACAGACCCCACCCAGAAAACAGGATGGGCAGGTAGACCACCAGAACCTCCATTTCTTAAAGCCCCAATGGACAGCTGGAAATTACTTGCCCCTGAAAAAAAATAATAAATTCCAAATTATCATTTCAATGGCTCTTCACATAAATACCAAAGAATCAGAAAAGCTGATGCCTCATGTTGCTCCCGGAATCTAAGAAATGGTATCTTTCAGTTATCGGATTTTCTTTGCAGCATTACATTTTATACATATTTATTCATGCAGAACAGAAGCGCTGCGTTATTGAGGCTGCCATAGGAGTGGAGGAAAAGCTGTTATACATAAGAAAGCACTGCATTTACATTGTCGCACTTTGCCACAATTGAACTATATGCAACTGGTTTTTTAAAATAATAATAATAAAAACCTCTGGTTTGCATTTAATTTGCTGACTTTTTTCTTTCTTACTCCTGAATTTTCATATGCCGTAGAAATACGAAAGGGGGGTTGTATCAAAATGCTTGAAGATACAGAGGGTTGGGGGCTGGCAAGAGACAGCTTTAGCGGGGAGGGTTTGAGGACCCACAGCAAGTTTATAACTATTTCTTTTTTAACGGATGCAGTTAACTGAACTGAGAAACATTCATCTTCCAATTTAATAACTCATTCTCCCTGCATGGAGGCAGGGGTATTATAGTGCGGGATATTGCTTTTCGGGCTTTTGAGTGTCAATGATGAATCCCCATCTTCTAATAAAATACATTTTCATAGTAATTGAAATAATAATTTTTTTTCCTCTTCATTTTCCCAGGTATTTAAACAGGGGCTTTCCACTTCTTTCCCTTTCCACTATTCTAACCTTATTTTCTTTTAACTGAAGTTCCTCAAGCTTTTGAGCTGCACAAGTCAGGGCTTCTGGCATCCGTGTTCTGGTGGCCTCCACACTTTCCCCAAGGCCCCAGCTGCGGGATGGGCTCCACACACACACAGCTAGTTAGGAAGACCAAGATGTCGAGACCTGGAATTTTTTGCTGGGTTTGGCTTTTCACCTCCATTTGCTTAGCAAACTGACTGCCCCTAGAGCTAGGGACAAATGTGGTAACCAGCCAGCTGAGGGAAGCTAGAGAAACAGGGAGGGGCTCCAATCCTACAAATCCTGAAGTTCACACACTGGGGGAACTCTTAAATCTCTCCTAACACCCCCAAGATCAAGATCTGGGACTCCCCCCGACCTCCCGATCAATATTCCACATGTACCCATCAAGCTGCAAGTAATCTCCCCAGGAATAAAAATGAGTATCGGTATGTTAAAGACAACATTAATTTCTCAAGCAGGCCATGATGATGTTACACTGAGTATAGTATGTTTAATCTACAGCTCTATTCACAGGGTTACTTTGTTCGATTGTTTGTTTATTTTTGAGACAGAGTGTTGCTCTGTTGCCCAGGCTGGAGTGCAGTGGCACAATCACGGCTCACTGCAGCCTTGAACACCTGGCCTTAAGCGATCCTCCCACCTCAGCCCCATTGAGTAGCTGGGACTACAAGCCTGTGCCACTAAGCCCAGCTAATTTTTTTTTTTGTACTTTTTCACACAGATAGTATCTCAGTATGTTGCCCAGGCTAGTCTCCTGGCTTCAAACAATCCTCCTCGCCTTGAGCTCCCAAAGTGCTGGGGTTATAGGCATGAGCCACTGTGCCTGGCCAGCATGGTTACTTTAAATGCTATCTTGGTGAACTTAACGTAAATGGAAAAATATAAAGTTGTCTCCTAAGACATCTTTTCATCGCATCCTTTCCTCCATGGCTGACAATGAAGAGAAAGAAGAAATATATAACTAAGACTCTAATGGGTTTAAAAAGACCAATGCAGGTGCAGTCTCGCCAATAACTGTACCAGCTTCGGGAGATTCTCCAGCCCCTTTCTCTTTATACTCACCTGGGGAAGAATGATTTTGGTGAGAATTTACTCAGTTTAGGCTGTAATTTAATTTTGCCTATAAGAATCTTCCCCTTTCTATGTCTAATCTTCCCTGATCTAGTAAAAAGACCCTGGAAGTCAGGAATCAAAATTTAGGCTGGGCGTGGTGGCTCATACCTGTGATCCCAGCAGTTTGGGAGGCCGAGGCGGGCGGATCACCTGACATCAGGAGTTCGAGACCAGCCTTGCCAATATGGGGAAACCCTGTCTCTACTAAAAATACAAAAATTAGCTAGGCGTGGTGGCGCATGCCTGTAGTCCCAGCTACTCAGGAGGCAGAGGCAGGAGAATCACTTGAACCCAGGAGGCAGAGGTTGCGGTGAGCCCAGATCACGCCACTGTACTCCAGCCTGGGTGACAGAGCAAGACTCTGTCTCAAAAACAAAAATTTTAAACCAGTTTTACCTAGAAAATCAAAGTAGCTAAGAGTAAACAGTCAGGAAGACTTAAAACCATTGAAGGCAGTGCCTTCATCATTTAAGGTATTGGAAAGATCACTTTTCTGCCTCTTCATTTTTCCACGTACTGAACAAAAGACTTTCATTTTCTTTCCCTTTCCCCTGTCCTAACAGAAAAGGCACACATGGCCCTGGCAAGTCCCAGAGAGCAGGTTCCACTGCACAGGGCTGCAGCCAGCATCCTCAGCACCTTCGTGCAAACTGCAAAAAGGGGTCCTGTCTCTTGGCCTGATTCATCCCTAGGCCAGGAGGTGTGGCTTGGCAACGGGGACAGGGTCTGGATTTTAGTCACCCTCTTGCCTGAGGGCCACTGTGCAGTACACACATGACTTAACTCTACTGACAATGGATAGAGTTAAAAAGACCCATGTCCAAATCCTGACTCCACCATTTTCAAGCTACTTGATTTCATACATATATCATAAGAATGTTATAGGCCAATGAGCAGCTAAAGAAAATATGGTGTATACATACCATAGGATACTACCCAGCCATGAAAAGGAATGAAATAATGTCTTTCACAGCAACTTGGATGGAGCTAAAGGCCATTATTCTAAGTGAAATAACTCAGGAATGGAAAACCAAATATCATATGTTTTCACTTATAAGTGGGAGCTAAACTATGAGGATGCAAAGGCATAACAGTGATATAATGGATTTTGGGGACTTGCGGGGGGAGGTTGGGAGTGAGGGATAAAAGACTACATACTGGGTACAGCATACACTACTTGGGTGACAGGTGCACTAAAATCCCAGAAATCAGGGCAGGCGCGGTGGCTCACACCTGTAATTCCAGCCCTTTGGGAGGCCGAGGCGGGTGGATCAGGAGGTCAGGAGATCAACACCATCCTGGCCAACATAGTGAAAACCATCTCTACTAAAAATACGAAAATTAGCTGGGCATGGTGGCACGTGCCTGTAATCCCAGCTACTCAGGAGGCTGAGGCAGGAGAATAGCTTGAACCAGGGAGTTGGAGGTTGCAGTGAGCCAAGATCGTACCACTGCACTCCAGTCTGGCAACAGAGTGAGACTCGGTCTTAAAAAAAAAAAAAAAAAAAAATCCCAGAAATCACTGCTAAAGAACTTAACCATGTAACCAAAAACCACCTGTACCCTAAAACCTATTTAAATAGAAATAAAAATGAAAAAAAAAGAATGTTATGGGGACTAATTATGATAATAGATGTAAATCTCTTAGTACAGGACGAGGAGCTAAATCTGTAGTGACTATTATTATTCCAGAGAGGTCTTCCTAGGTCCTTTAGTGCCCATGGGCAGAAATGAAACTACATTTCCCACAACAGTGATGGGGGTGCAAAATGTGGGCCCAAGCCTAGAGGGGAACTGTCCTTAGGACAGAACTGCTGTCAGAGAGAAACCAGTAGGTTGTTTGATGTTCGCTTCTAGACAGAGGCTGGACTCTTGCTCCTGCTTTCCGGGGTCACCTATCCCAGCTCTTCCTGCTTCTTTTTCCACCCACCCCCGACCCCTCACCCCCAGGGCCCAGCAGCATTTCAGTGGATTAAAGGATCCTGCTTCACCCAACTTTGGGATTGGGGGTCAGGCGTAGCAATAGGAAGTCTTTCTTTTATTTTCCTGGGTTGAGCAGGAAAGAAACAAGTCCAAGTGCATCTGTAGAGGATCCTCCAGAACGTTCCCTTTCCACCTTCATCAATGGCCATCTTTGATCCTGAGAATCTTGAGGTGAGGGTTGCTCCAAAACAAAACCCCTTCTCTGGCAGAGGTCCCAAGGGCTTCTCTGGATAGGTGAGAAGTAGCCATTTAGAGCCTGCAGATCTACTGTTTGAAAAGACCTGTGGCCCATTCAACTTTTTCTCAATAGACTTTACTTTTTAGAGCAGTTTTTGGTCCCCAGCAAAACTGAGCAGAAGCTGCAGAAAGTTCCCACATACACCCCTGACTCCTCCCATTCCCCCACTCCCCACCACTCACTATCAACATTCTCCACCAGAGGGGTGCATTTGTTACATTTGAGGAACCTACATTGACATGTCATTCTCACCCAACGCCCATACTTTACATTAGGTTACGCTCTTGGTGTTGTACATTCTATAGGTTTAGATAAATGTATAATGACAAGTCTCCACAATTGTAATATCATACAGAGCAATTTCACTGTCTAAAAATCCTCTATGCTCCACCTAGTCATCCCCTCCCTCACTCTTGACCCCTGGCGACTGCTGATATTTTACTATCTCCATAGTTTTGCCTTTTTGAGAATGTTGTATAGTTAGGATCCTACCGCATGTAATCTTTTTAAATTGGCTTCTTTCACTTAGTAATATGCATTTAAGATTCCTCTGCGTCTTTTCATGGCTTGGTAGCTCATTGCTTTTCAGTGCTGAATAATATTTCATTGCATGGATGTGCCATGGTGCATTTAACCATTCATTGACATTTTGGTTGCTTCCAAGTTTTAGCAATTATGAATAAACATCTGTGTGCAGGTTTTTGTGTGAAGCCTGGATTTGTTCCAGGCTGGCTGGTGCAGGTTTTGTGTCTTGAAACCTAAGTTTTCAAGTCCTTTAGGTAAATATCAAGGAGCATAACTGCTGGATTGTATGCTAGGAGTATGCTTAGTTTTGTGAGAAACTGCCAAACTGTCTTTGAAGGCAGATGTCTCATCTTGCATTCCCACCAGCAATGAATGAGAGTTCCTAGGGCTCCACATCGTCATCAGCATTTGATGTTGTCAGTGTTCTGGATTTGGGCCATTCCAATAGGTGTATAGTGGTATGTCATTGTTGTTTTAATTTGCAATTCACTAGTGACATATCATGAGCACCTTTTCATATGCTTCTTTGGGACCTGTATATTTTCTTTGGTGAGGTGTCTGTTCAGATCTTTTGCCCATTTTTTAATTGGGTTATTCATTTTCCTATGGTTATGTTTTCAGAGTTCTTTGTATGTTTCGGATCCCAGTCCATTATCAAGTATGTCTTTTTCCATGGGTATTTTCTCCCAGTCTGTGGCCTCCTTCAGTTTTGTTCCCTCTTCTTGTGTGTCCAGCAGATTCACAGCTCCTTATGAAAGAGGTGCCCAAAACAAGAGCAGCTATGGGGGAGCATGGCTTCCTGGGGAAAGTCCATGAGCCTGTAACCACCTTTCACTTTGAACCCACATTTGTTTATTCTTTAAACACTTGCACTGTGCCCGGCACTAAGTCCTGAGGACGCATCTGTGAAGGAACGAGACAAAGCCCCAAGTCTTGTGGAGCTCACTTTCTGGTAGGGGAGACATACACAAAAATAAATAAACAAACATAAATATATATAGGGAAAAACATACACAAGTATACCATACAGCGATCTGGAACCCAGTCCAGTGTAAGAGCAGAACAAGGGAGACAAGAGGCACTGGCACAGGGGACATTTACAACATAAATAGGATGGCAGAGTGGACTTCACTGAGAAAGGGATATTTAAGCAAAGAGGATGAAGATGGAACCAAGAAGGCAGAGAAAGAAGGCAGAGGGGCCAGCCAGTACAAAGGCCATGAGGCAGGGGAGTGCCTGGTGTGTTTAAGGAACTGCAAGGAGGCCAGTGTGGCTGGAATGAGTAGCGTGGAGGAGAAAGATGTAGGATGATTTTGGGGTGGTATCTGCAGATCCTGTAGGGTCTGGTGGCTTTTGCTCAGAGAGAAATGGGGAGCCATGGGAAGGATTTGAGTAGAGGAGCGAGATGACCTCACTTAGGTTTGAACACGACTTCTCTGGCCACCATGTTGAAAACAGGCTGCCCAGGATGCCCAGATGGAAGGAAGGAAGGAGGCTAAGTGTGATAATCCAGGTAGGAGATGACAGAGGAGGTGAAGTCGGTGAGACGTGGTCAGATATTGAGCCAACAGCATTTCCTGCTAGATTCGATATGGGGGTGAGATAAAGAGGAATCCTAGATGATGCAAAAATTTTTGACCTGAGCCACTGGAAGGACGTAGTTGCCATTAGTTGAGAGGGATAGGAGCAGGTTTAGGGGTCAGGGGGACATGTTTTGTTTACACTGTTTGACATCCTGCTGGAGAGGTCAGGCACACAGATGTTGGGCAGATGGGTTTAGAGTTCAGGGTTGTTTGTGTATATGAAATTGGGCTGAGTTCTGTGGGGAATAAAAAGGAAAAATAAAACCCAATTCCTCCCACCCCTACCTCTACCCAGGACTTACTGGGGAGTTGGAGAGAATGCAGGCAGGCAGCACACACACCGGGCACACCCAGAGGAAAGCAGCTTTTCTGAGACTCCCTGGAGGCTTGAAAGCAGGCGAACAAATCCAGGCTACCAAAAATCACACTGAAGAGACAATCACAAAGACAAATCCCCAAACACCTTGACTGCTCACTACTAAAAAGCAGTAAGAAGAGAAAACCAGGGGGGTGTTTTCCCGTCTCCAGCAGCAAAAGCATAGACATTTCTGACCTGCAAAGATGCTCACAATGGCTCCTCATGGTCTGTCTTCCCTCTCTACTGACAAGGCAGCTAAACAGAGGGGGACCCAACCCCCAACATCTGGGGCAGTGGCTTCAACTCTGTCGGCAGCCACTTATCAAACAGCCAAATCTACCCTGGACCCCTGCCAGCCGGGCTGGGCTAGATCCTATTGCCTACGGTCTGTGCATGCACAGAGGTGACTGTTTAAAAGGAGATCTGTAACTATGGGTTCATCACCTATTGGACAAGTATCAGGCCAAATCTCTAATATTGGTAACCCAGGTCCCAGGGTTAACATGCCAGATGTGGTCCTCACCCTGAAATCCAGTCAACTGCCCAAGCAAGAGCCGAGTTTTCACATTCAACATCCCTGAGTCTCTCTTGTTGAAGTGGCAGATGGTGAATTTCATGCAATGACGTGAGCAAAGGCCCCTCTATTTCCAGCTTGGAACTCAGAATCTGCGGAGAAGCTGCTAGTCTGCATTCTGTGCACTGAATGCTGCAACTCTTGGGGTGGGGTTGGAGGAGGGGTCAGGCTTGTTTCCAAGAAGGCTGGAGCCAGAGGGGGAAGGGCAGTGAACTGGCCTTTGTCCAGGGTTCCCCAGCATGGAAAGGGGGAACCCAGGGCACTTTGAGAAGCTGGGCCAGGTGTGGAGGACAAGACCTGCCTTCCGCAACCTGAAAATCTAGTGCTTTAATAAGCTGGTGTGCTAAGGAGACCTCTGTGAGATGGGCAGAACGGCACAAGGGCTGGGGGGTTATTGACACGACATCTTCGCAGGCTCGGATCTGAGCAAGAGTAAACCTGAGTTATGAAGCGGGCCCGATTAATGAAAATGTGCATGGTAACAGCCCATCCTCGATGATCTCCACCCAGCACTTTGGCACCTTCTGACCCAAATATGTTGACAGAGTCTAATGTCCTACATCCAGCTTTTTCACCTCCAAAGATAGAAAAAGATTTATAACACAATAATAACTTTCAGGAATCTCAGCCCACTCTGGGATGGCTCTCTTAGGTCTTCAAGGGAAAGGGCAGATTTTAGGATAATGTTAGGGGTCTGGAATTCTCTACCCGAGGGGCTTCCCCAGAAATGTGATTTGAGGCCTCATCTCCTGCACCCTTTCCCCTCTTCGTTCCTATCACACAGATTTACTTGCAATTTCTTCAACCCGCCTCTATGCTCCTGCCGATCCTTTGCACAGCTGGGGTACAAAGTTCTCCTTCCTGGGGTCCCCTTCCCCATCTCCCAGCCGGACTAGCTCCTCCACTTCCACTAGGGCAAACTCACACATCACCACCTTTTGGAAGCTTTGCATTCAAGCTGTATTTTAATAACATTTATTGCTTTTTTCTTATTATAAAATTCATATTCCGTGAAGAAAAATATGGCGCTTATAAAAAAAAAAGAAGAAAACAAAAATCACTCATCATTTTGACATATATTCTGTTTTTTTCCTGTGTGTTTATATGTATTTTAATTGGAAGCATACTGTACATACTGTTTTGTGATTTGCTTCCCCCCACCCCACCCCCTTAAGGCTATATAGTTAAGCACAAAAGAGGCAGTTTAGTATAGTGGTTATGTGTGGGTGGCCTCTGGAGTCAGACTGTCTGGGTTCAAATCCTGGTGGCACCACTACAATATTGAGACCTAGAGAAGTTACCGAATCTGTTTCCGTGTTTAGAACAGTGTGGTTTACAGCATATTTTAATCTGTAATTTTGTTTTCTCTCTTTCTCACCGGACTGTGAGTTCCTTGAGGTCAGAGAGTGGCTGTTCATCTCTCTGTCCTCAGCGTCTTGCTGGGTACAAAACAGGCATCCCCAAAATGTTAAATGCTTGAAAAGACCCCGGAGAAGGATAGCGAAAAGGACCAGATGAAAGTTTCTGAACCACAGGACCCAAGATTGGCCTGCGTGGCCTTGTGTCGTACATATATTAGCTAACGCAGGCTGATAATTAAGTTTTCTTAGTCTCCCATTTCTTCATTTGTCAAATGGAGACGCCAGGGTGACTGTGAGACAAGCAAGACGGTGTCGTGGAATTGCTCTGAAAACTAAAATTTGGCAAGTGAAGTTATTTCCTGATTTCTTGGGGCTCGTCTCTGGCTCTGAAAGGGGACAGGCGTGGAGCCGATGACGCCCTGGGTTTGGGAGAGCAGAGTGGGCGCAGCGCTGGCGCGGCCGGCTGGGGGCTGCGCGCTCTCCGGGCAGCACCGCCCGGCGCCGGGCCACACCTCGAGGCGCGTGTCCTGAGTGGGAGCTGTGGGTTTGGGGCGCCCGAGCTGGGACAGCCGGGGTGGGCCCTGCGCTCAGTCTTGTCGGGAGTTCGAGCCCGGGGTGGGGGTCCCTCTAGGCGCCGCCGCTCGCGCCCCCGGGAGTGGCCGCCGATCTCCTTCCCGCGTGGCCCATCTTCCGCCCACCAGATCCGGTGGGGAGATTCCTCTCCCCTTTCCTCTGGGATCCGGGCGGCGGGAGGTGGCTGGAACGGAGTCTTCCTTTGCCTCCTCCTCCCGGGCAGCATCCGAGGCTTTTCTGAGCAGGATGGGGCGGGGGCGGGGGGCCGCGTGCGCCCGGGCGGAGGGAATTCCTTCCCCGGCGGCTGCGGCACCGGCACCGGCAGCAGCGCCTTGCCTTTTTTAGCTCTTCCCCGAGGCTCCTTCTCGCTGCGCGGCCGGGGGGGCGGTGGCGCGCTCCACCTCGCGGCGGGGAAAGTGCGGCCCCCGCCCAACGCCCTGGAGGCGCAGGTGGAGCGCGCAGCCAGGCCCGGGGTCCCGCCGCCGCCACCGCCACCGCCACCGTCACCGCCCGTGGGTGGGCAGCGGGAGACGCCGCAGGGGGACCCGGGGTAATTCCCATCCGCCCGCCGCTCTTCCCGGGCTGCCCTGAGCAAGGAGTTGTTTTGTCATTTTCGCAAAAACACCTTCCCTCCCCCTCCCGCCGCCCCCCAGGCTGTTTCAGAAATGGCATTGAGTCAGACCTGAGTCACAGGAGAACGTGGGCCTCTAGCCCCGTCCAGCACTGGTTCTTCCCCGGGCCGCCCCAGCCCTTCTGTCTACCCCCACCTCGCATCCAGGGCTCGGCGTCTGGCCCTGCAGGTCCCCGCCTGGTGACCTACCCCTTGGCCTCGCCGCCTGCCTCCCTCTCTCACGGTCACACCTGCCCCCTCGTGCTGCCCGCCCCGCACTCCTGCCCCCTAGTGGCCGTGAAGGGGCCTCATCGGGGTCCAGCACCGCCATCCCGCCCTGGGTCCCCTGCCCCGACCTTCCCACACAGATGGGGTGCGCTGCGGGTCAGTTCACCAGCCTGGCGCTCGGCGGTGCCCAGCGGCCCCCGTGGTGTTTTACTGTGGTGCGTACTACCCGCTAGGACTTGGTCAGCTACTTCCACCTCTGGCTACCTATTTTCTCACCCCTTCCGCCCTTTCCTGAGCTCTGCCGAGAAGGTGCTACACAACTCTATTTTTAGTCCTAACAAGCTGCCTGGCGGAGCAGCTTCCATCTGCAGCGCTCAGAGCCCTTTACAAATGCTAATGAATGGAAGCCGCTTCCTCCGAGTCACTTCGATTCCTACTGCTTCTCCTCACCCCTCCCCCAAGCTTTCTCCTGGAGGAAATTGAGGCATAGGGTTAGGATATGCGGATGGGACCCAGCTGGGACAGAACCCCTCGTCTCCTATGGTCTATTGGTGGTTCTATCTTCACCAGAGCCTTCTCACTTCCTCTTAAGTCAGTGCTGGGTCCTGGGTTAGGTTCAGAGGTCACACAGTCCCTGTCCTCAAAGAGCTGAAGAGGTGAGCCTAGAAGCAGATCATCACAATACAAATAGGTGGCCTCACAGAGCTGTTTCTGCCGAGAATGTTATAAGGGCACAGAACTCTCACTCCAGGCAAGGAGGGAGGGAAGGGGCTGGTCCTGTGTTTGTCCTGTTTATAATCAAGTAAGGTGTCCTAGGTGACACCTGAGCTGAGACTATAATTGAGATTGGAATTAATCATGCAAAAGGCAGGGGGCCTGAGAGCAGTTCACGAACAAAAGCGCGAGGTTCAGAAAAAAGCAGTATGAAGTTGGAGGTGAAGATGTTCTGTGTGCCCAGGAGCAAGGCGGGGCTGGAGATGATCTGGTCAGACTGGAGTTTTAAGTAGATCATTCTGGTGGCTGTGAGGAGGGTAGGCTTGATGGGTTAGGAAGCCCTTACAGTAGTCGGGGCAAGAGATGATAAAAGTCCGGACCAGACATCATGGAGAAGTGTCTTGGAGAGGACAGCGTGCATTTGAGAAACATTTGACAGTTCCTTAACTGGAGATCCAGAGTGACACATCCTTCTTTTCTCCTGTAGCATGCTGTTAGGCAGGCCTAACATCTCCCTAGTCCTTCAGCCAGGTATCATCGCTCAGATGGAACTCTTTTTTCTTATGTGCTGGACACTTGGTACTCCTGGAGGGCAGAGACCCACCCTCTGTCTCTGCTATGGCAACTAGCAACGACGCACACAGCGCCTGTCTGAGCTTATGAATGAATGTGCGTTGAACAGATCAGAGCAGTGAGAAGGGGTGGGGAATACTCTCCTGGTATCTGAGGCGTATAGAGATAGAAGGATGCAGGGAGGCAGGACCCTAACCACTGTTCATCCTCATCAAAAGCCCCATGCACACTTCAGCCAGAAGCTAACCCTCCCTCCACGCCCTTCACCATAAATCAGAAAACGCTGCCAACTATCTATGACTGAGGTTTCAGAAGCTGTAGGAAGCCTCCTTACCAGTTTCAGCCTCTGCTTTCCAACCAAAAAATTATAGTGTCATTTTTTGAACACCTGAATTGTGTTCCAATTGGAGCCAGCTGTGCAGAAGATGGGCTTGGATAATGGCCCTTAGGACACACAGAGAGGAAGGGAGCATGAGGGACTCCCCTGCATTCAGCAGCT
The DNA here is from genome assembly GCF_000001405.40 of Homo sapiens. Taxonomy (NCBI): domain Eukaryota; kingdom Metazoa; phylum Chordata; class Mammalia; order Primates; family Hominidae; genus Homo; species Homo sapiens. Next base: position 22,863,243 of record NC_000008.11, on the reverse strand, counting down.
TTGTCTACTGGGGCAGCAGGAATGTGGGGCCTTTCTGCATCTCATTCTCCATGCTGTTATTATTGTGCCTGGACATTTCCACAGCCGCCTTTCACTGCCAACAGCATCCAGGGTCAACTTTCCAGTATTAAATCCCAGTCTGTCGTGACAATAAAAGAAGAGGTTACTGTAATCCCAGCACTTTGGGAGGCCGAGGCAGGCAGATCACGAGGTCAGGAGCTCGAGACCATCCTGGCTAACATGGTGAAACCCATCTCTACTAAAAATACAAAAAAATCATCCAGGCGTGGGGGCGGGCGCTTGTAGTCCCAGCTACTCAGGAGGCTGAGGCAGGAGAATGACGTGAACCTGGGAGGCGGAGCTTGCAGTGAGCCAAGATCGCACCACTGCACTCCAGCCTGGGTGACAGAGCGACACTCCGTCTCAAAAAAAAAAAAAAAAAAAGGTTATGAGGGTGGGCCCTGGTCTGGGCTCACACCTCAGTACCTCCACTCCTACTAGCTGTGTGGCCATAGGGAGGTTGTGACTTACTTATTCAGCCTTTTGAAACCTCAGTTTTCTCACCTATAGATTGAATATATATGAGAATCCTTTGAAGCTTAAAAGAGTTTGTGTTTAAGCCTTTAGAATGGTGTGAGGTACCTAATAAATGCTCAATAAATGGTAATTACTCTGAATACTGCCAGAGCCCTCTATCCTATCCTTGTTATGACTGTACTCCCAGCTCCTCTCCCGGCTGATCTACACAAGTTGCTGTTTTCGGATCCTGTGAAGTCTTCCCTTGGTCCCTTCCCTTAAGTCTTAGATACTTAGGGAGGAAATCAGGGACCCTGACATTAATCGCTGAATCACTCTTCTGGGGCAGGAAAACATACTTAGGAGAACAGTTCCATTTTTTATGCAGACGAGATACTCCTGTAGGTAATTGGCTAGGCTATGGAATCATAGAATGTTATAGCTGGAAGACATCATGGGGGTACTAATTCCAGCTTGAATTTTTCTGAGATCCAGAGATTGAGTTACTTGTGTGGTTAGGGGAAGATTGAGGATGGATCCCAGGCCCCCGACTCCTGTGGCCTCCTGAACAATGCTGCCAGCTTTCTCTGGGATCTGTTGTCACCCCATACCTTCAGTTCAGCCGGAGTGCTTTTGATCTTTTCTTTCTCTTCTCCCCATCAATACTCCTGATCAAGCGGCCGCTTTTGTGTTGGCATCACTCGCTTGGTGCTAGCTAAACATGCAGGAGAAATTAATTCAGGGTTCAGACTTAGCGGGGACAGAGAGAATGACTTCGTGCTCCCGATCCAACCAGTATGCCGCTCAAACTCTCCTCACAAATTGCTCCTAAGATCTTATCGCTAAAGCGCAAGATTGAGACTAGGTTATTATAAGTGGCAACTGAACCCATTTTCTGTTTCTTTTCATTTTCTCCTGTCCACCACCCCTACCCCATACCTCTCTGTCAAGAGAAGTTCTTAGTTCTTGATATTTCTCTTTAATCAAGTTGACATCCTTTGGACCTAAGGAAATTCAGAATCCAGATGGGCTGCAAGACTCAGAACGAGAGCCAAAACAGAAAATAGATCCCTGACATCAGAGAGCCCTGGTCAGGCCCCCTTTTAATGTTTTAAAGAGATTCTCCAGTGAGTTCTGCTCAATGTAATCTCTGTCAAATCTTGCCACAGAAAGTCCAGGAGAATAGCATAGGATTGGGAGTTTGCCCGCCTGCATTTGCATTCTGGCCGTATGACTTAATTTCCTCTGTATTCAGCGGGTAAGGTGTGTAGCCTCTCTGGGCCTCAGTTGTATCATTTGCGAAATGGGGATAGTAGTCGATATTTATTTATCCTAGCTAAAAACCTATCTCTTAGGCTTGTTGTGAGGATTCAATTAGTCTATGGAAAGCACTTGGGAAGTCTGGTACATGGAAAGAGCACAAAACGTCTGAGCTATTATTATTAGCTGTAATAGGGCAAATTGAACCTCCACTTCTCCCTCTGCTGACTTCAGTAGGCTAAAGTGAAATTCTTTTATAAAATTCCCCACTCCACTGGTGAAGGCTTGGAATCAAAACCTGAGGCCCTGGACAAAAACCAAGTAACAGCTCTGGCAATAAGTGGGCACTGACTTCCAGCTTATTGTGTCAACTGGCCAGTCACTTAGAAGTCAAGAAGCTCTACGTTCCAAGGAATGCAAATTTAATTCTATTTTAACAAATATTTATTGAGCATTTTCTATGTTGAATATACTGTGCTGGGCACTGGGGATACTGAGATCAGATGTGGCCCGGGTCCTCAAGAGCTTACAAATGAGATGACTAATACAGAAACCATTAAGTAGACCTCGTGGCAGCACAGTGTGTCATGAACATGGACAGTCAGGGCTGTCACCGAGTCACCTGCAGTGTGCTCAGTAAGCTGGGCTTGGATGGACCGTGCAGGAGAGACTGTGGCTACTCATCCTTGTGTCCCTGTTGCCTAGCATGGAACAGATGCTCAAAAGATCTTTGTACATGACTAACTTGTAACGGAGGGTCTTGAGGAAAGCTCCACGGAGTACGTATCCTGGGTTTTAAGCTTTGAAGATAGAGTCAGATTTTGAGAGGGCAAAAAAGATGGGAATGCATAAACACAACGTGGTATATCCACACAGTAGAAGATTATTCAGCCTTAAAGAGGAAGGAAATTCTGGCCCATGCTACTACATGGATGGAACTTGAGGACATTATGCTAAGTGAAATAAGCCAGTCACAAAAAGACAGGTACTGTACCATTCCACTTAGGCAGGATACCTAGAGGAGTCAAATTCATAGAGAGAAAGCAGAATGGTTGTTGCCAGGAGCTGGGGGGAGAGGGAAGAGGGAGTCGTTTAATGAGTAAAGAGTTTCAGTTTTGCAAAATGAAAAGCATTCTGGAGATCAGTTGCATATCAACGTGAATGTCCTTAAGACTACCGAATTGGACACTGAAAAATGGTTAGGATGGCAAATTGCATGATATGTGTATTCTGGCACCATATATATATATACATATATGTGTATATATATATATACATATATATGTGTATATATATATACATATATATGTGTATATATAATTTTTTTTCTTTTTCTTTTTTTTTTTTTTTTGAGACGGAGTCTCACTCTGTCACCCAGGCTAGAGTGCAGTGACATGATCATAGCTCATTTGCAGCCTTGACTGCTGGGCTCAAGAGGTCCTCTCACCTCAGCCTCCAGAGTAGCTGAGACTTTAGGCGTGCACCATCATACCCAGCTAATTTTTAAATTTTTTGTAGGGATGGGGTCTCCCTATGTTGCCCAGGGACAGACATCTCCTGGGCTCAAGTGATCCTCCTGCCTCAGCCTCCCAAAGACAATATTTTTTAAAAAGATTGGGAAGGGATCTACAAAAACAAAGATGTAAGGCAAGATAGAGAGGCATAAGAGTGTAGGTTGTATGCAAGGAAAGGATGCTGGACTGATAGGGCCCAAAGTTAAAGTACGAGGAGGGACATAATAGGAGATGAGGCAAGATGGAGACCAGATGGGCCTCAAATGCCGTGTCAGGGAGTGTGGAGTTTAAAATGTGGGCTTTGATTTCATACATTGCTGAAGTGGGTCTTCTAATATTCTCAATCTTGGCTACTAGACAGCCGTCACAGGTACTCTGTGGGCCAGTATGCCAAGCTGCTATCTCAGTTCTATCCCAACCCAACCTCTTCTTCTAAATAGGTCCCGAGGCTCATCTCACCTGGGCCAGAGACAGCCCACTGCACCTGGACACTTCTGGCTGCTTCCTCTGCTGGCTTTGTTTTGGACTGATCCCCCTGGAGTATTCAAGCTCCAGCTCACTAAGGGAAACTAATGAGATTCCAGCCTGATGAGTCTGACTTTTTTCCAATTGAATAGTTGTAAGCAACCTCAGTGCTGCAAGCTCAACACTCGGCGAATTACTGGCTCTGCCTCAGAAGCCACTTGGATTTTCCATCTTTGACTTTCTCCTGGGGTGCAGGCTCCACGGGGGGAGTCTGATGGCCATGTGATAGTGCTCCCTGGTAGATAGGTGCTGCCGTAGTTTGCTTTATAGGCTGGGCTTCTCTCAGCCTAAGACAAAGGTTTACTTATTGAAAGTAGAAATGAGCTGGTCTATGACATCTTGGAATTCCGCATGTTGGGTTTTTTGAAGTGTTTGGGTATTATGGGGACACCCGTGCCATGCTGACTTCTAAATGGAGTCCAAACCAGATGACCACAAGGTAGTCCCTTCTGTGTAGTTCTGTTTTGTTATTGTTGTTTTTTGAGACAGGGTCTCATTCTGTCACCCAGGCTGGAGTGCAGTGGTGCAATCTTGGCTCACTGCAACCTCTGCCTCCCAGGTTCAAGCGATTCTCCTGCCTCAGCCTCCCAAATAGCTGGGACTACAGGCACCCGCTACCATGCCCAGCTAATTTTTATATTTTTAGTAAAGACGGGATTTCACCATGTTGGCTAGGCTGGTTTCGAACTCCTGGCCTCAAGTGATCCACCTGCCTCGGCCTCCCAAAGTGCTGGGATTACAGGCATGAACCACCAGGCCCAGCCTCTGTTATTTATCTAACATGAGAGTTTTAGGCTTCAGTTGTCATCTCAAAGTCTCAGTTTTTTCATCTCTAAGATGAGTCTAATTATCCCTTTCTTGCTTTCTAAGAATATTGAGAAAATGAATGGGATAGAGAGAATGCCATACTTTGAAATCTGAGTAACAGGATGAGATACTTAATACTCTGCATTTTCCCAGGATGCTGGGGCCAAGCATTTGACAGTGAGGATATATTCTGTATGCTCCTTATCTCTGCATTTACCAAAATGAAAAGAGAAGAAGGAAATTCTCATTCTGAGATTGATGATAAGGGTTAACCTGTGGTTATTCATTAAGGCCATGTTAACTCCTTTCTTAAGCCACGTTGCTAAAAACAGCTACACTCCTCAGATGCCGTCACTATTTTGCTGCCCAACATCTGAGAAAGGAACTTAAGAAGAAATGCAGGAAGCTGAACGATTCCTTTCACCATTTCAACACCCACACTATCCCTCTTTGACTAGCTGGGTCTGTGGGTGCTGCTGAAGCTATCCCTTCTCACTGGGACATGGAGAGGACCCCGCCTTAGTTATAATAGCAGCAAGAACAAAATGTCTCAGCCCTTGTCACCTAGAAGAATTCTACCCCATGGTCCCCACGCTCTGAAAAGTGGTGGAGGAGATGGTTGGGTTAACAACTAAGAGTTTGCCCCATGGACGGTCCGTGAAGCATCGCCCAACACACCATGCACCAGGGGCATGTAAGTCAGGTGACGGACAATTCCTACTATTGCAGGTAGTTCTCATGGACAGCTCTCCTCTTGCTCCCCATCCCTTGCCCCCTGTTCTTCTCCATGGCTCACTGCTCCCTGACTTGGTATGCTGCCTTAACCATGTCATATACAAAGTCAGATAGATAGAGAGAAAAGCTTATGAGGAATGCTTCAGTATTCGATGCTGGCTTCTGGCTTTTCCATTTAGTAACCCACTTCCACCTCCCTCTTTGGTCCTGGACTCTGCATCCCACCAGAATCAACTCTCTTTGCTCCCCCAACTTCAGGTTCTCCTGTGACTTCAGATGAAAGACTCGTTACATCAGTCCTGGGTTCAAGGACCCTACCAACCAGGCCAGCTTCTGGCCTGCTGTCATCTTAGCTTCCAATTCCAGTTCTGCTGTTTGCTTGCTGTGAATCTCACTCACTGCTTAAAAGCCAGAATATACTGTGCACTGAGTCTTCCACTCCTGGCGGTCCTTCAAGAACTTGGCTCTGGCCACAAGTGTTTTCTGGAATGGGTGATGGGGAGCAAGAGGCTGAGAGAAGGGTATAGCATTGGTAGGTGATGGAGCCCCGTATGGTATAGATGCTTTCTCTGTAAACTGCCTCAGGATATTAAACCAAAATGTGTGAGTGAGTAAGTGTGTGTGTGTGTGTGTGTGTGTGTGTGTAGGTTTCATTTTTTAAAGTAGGAAATGTCCACTATAAAAATTTGGACTACCCAGATTTTTTTTTAAAGAAAGGGAAAAAAATTAAATGTCCCTACTCCCACACTAAAAGATAAGCCAGTATTAATATCTTGGTATAAATTCCTCTACATTTTTATACTTACCAATTGTATCTTACTTCACAGACTGGCTTATAATTTTGTGCTTTTTTTTAACATCATAGTGCATCAGTTCATGTCATCAAACACTCACCTATCATTTTTAATGGCTGAATTGTGTTCTGTGGAGTTCAGACTCTATCTTCCTTCATTTAATCAGTTCCCCTTTGTTGGACATTGAGTTGTTTCTGGGGAAGTTTTTCTTTCACTATTATAAATAATTTGGTGTCAGGAAAACTGAGGCCTAAATCTTTGACTTTATTTTTAATTTCTGGGGGTAAGATCCTAGAAGAGGAACTAATAGATCAAAGGGTATGCACCTTTTCAAGGTTTTTTATTTTTCTATATATTTATTTATTTATTTATTTATTTAGAGACAGTTTCCCTCTATTGCCCAGGCTAGAGTGCAATGGGGCAATCTCGGTTCACAGAAACCTCTTCTTCTGGGCTTAAGCAATTCTCATGCCTCATCCTCCCCAGCAGCTGAGATTATAGGCATGCACCACTACGCCTGGCTACTTTTTGTGTTTTTAGTAGAGACGGGGTTTCGCCATGTTGGCCTGGCCCGTCTCGAGCTCCTGGCCTCAAGTAATCCGCCTGCCTCGGCCTCCCAAAGTGCTGGGATTACAGGTGTGAGCCACCTCTCTCAGCCCTTTTCAAGGTTTTTGATATTCATTGCCAAATTTGCCCCAAGAAAGTTAACCCAATTTCTATTATCATACTGTCAACATTTCATCAACACTGTATTTTAGAATTTGTTAAAATAATTACCAATTTGACAAGTAAAAAATAGTACCCTAATTGATTATAAATTAGGCTGGTTATTTTTTCATGTGCTTTTTGGCAATGTGTATTTATTTTGTGATTTTTCTCTCCATTGTTGCCCATTTTTTCTATTTAGACTTTTTTCTTACTGATTGGTCAGACTTTTTAGTACATTAGGTATATTATCCCCTTCATCATATATGTTACAAATATCTTCTTGGTCTTTTGTTTGCTTTTTATTATATTAGGTTTCCTTTTTTTTTTTTTTTTTTTTGAGACAGGGTCTCACCCTCGCCCAGGCTGGAGTGCAGTGATGCAAATATGGTTCACTGCAGCCTCAGCCTCAGCCTCCTAGGCTCAACCATCCTCCTCCTGCCTCAGCCTCCTAAGTAACTGGCAATACAGGCGTGCACCACCATACCTGGCTATTTTTAAAATTTTTTTGTAAAAATGGGGTCTCACTTTGTTGTCTAGGCTGGTTTCAAATTGCTAGGCCCATGCAATTCTTCCGCTTTGGCCTCCTAAAGTGCTGGGATTACAGGCGTGAGCTATCATGCCTGGCTGCTTTTTACTATATTTGTGGTATTTTTATGTAGAGAAATTGTACCTTTTTGCATAGTCTAATAAGTCTTTTTCCTTTATAATTTTGATTTTGATATCATCATTGGGAAGGTCTTCCCCACGCATAAGGACATTCTTTCTCATTTGATTTAACGCTGAGTTCCAGGGACATAATACTTCCAGCAATTTTCTCTGCAGAAGACTTAACCTCAGGGGTGCACAGCCTCCAAAAGGCCTGCAGGGCCAGAGGAAGGGATGTGAAAATACAGATCATGACACAGACCCCACATCTAATAGACTCTCTGAGGGCTGGGGAAGGACTTTAAATGTGTTCTAGTCTTGGTGACAATCTGGGCTCCACTTGAACACCCCTAGAGATCTCATCTGGGGGATTTTACTTTTTGTTCAGATCTTTACAAAAGTTCCCTGCATTCACAGTAATGTCAACATCTTCCCAAGCATCCCTCTCCCAGGAGCTCTCAGTGTCACTACACGGTGTGACCCGTGCACCGACACATTCACCCCATGCAGGGCACAGGTCACCCAGGCAATTACAGGTGGGAGAAGCGCAGAGAGAGAGGAGGAGTTGATCTTGGATCACAGAATTCTTCTGTGTCAGCCATGGGAACACTGACTGTAAGACTGGTATGCTGTTCACACCTGGACCATGGTACGTCTTCCAGGGTTTAAAAAACGCCTTTCTTTCCTGGGGTGCATGTGTGTGTGTGTGTGTGTGTGTGTGTGTGTGTGTGTGTGTGTGCGTGCATACTCACACATACACACTCATTTGGACAAGCTTGCACGCACACACACACACACACACACACACACACATTCTAATCTCACCCTTCTGCTAGTTAATCCTAAATGGGAGAAACTGTCTCTGGAATTTGAAAAGAGGGAGGGGGAGGGAGCAAATAAAACCTTCAGTAGAAAGAGTCAGGAGAAGATATGCATTGAGCATGTGCAGAGTAATTTTTCTTCTGCATGCTTTATTAAAGAATTATATGACATAATTACACGTTATAATGTCTTTACACATATTTATGGTAATTACGTCAATGCACATTTGATGTTCTGTAATTACAGTAAATACACAACAATCCTGACAAATCGCTTGATCAAGAATTCAAATTCCCTAAGTGAAGACGGGGAGAAAAGACATTAACTCCTTTGCTCCCTCATTGCCCCAGCCCCTGCTTATCTCTCTGTCCTTTACTGGCAGTCGTGGAGGTGGTTTGTATTCCTGGCTCTTATCAAGGCACTATTACATTCATTTCCACCAGGCACGTTCCTGAGACTGGTCCCTACGGCAAGACTACTTATTTTTATCATTCCCCCTATAATACTATTGTGTATGCATGTTGTGTAGGAGGAGTGGGTGCCAGACCTGATAGTGTCCCAGAAGCAGATATGTAGTGAATATACATATTTTGGTGAGCCCTCTGCAAAAAGATTTGTCCTGGCAGATGTAGGGAAATACAAAGGAAGTCACCAGTCAGGTTTCATCTCCTATGGAAATTAGAGTTAAAATGAACACCAGCAAAGCTCCTCACTTACCTAGAGGCTGCTGCCAATCTCAAAGCCACTTTGTAACTCAGTCGATTCCTGAAGGGTAGGGCCATATCCAGTCCTCTAGCACCTGGAGTCATGCATTGGGATTCTTAAGTAGTGAGGCTGTGAGACCACCTATCTGTGTGCAGCATTGCAGGCACTGATTATATTGGATGGATCATTTTTTTCTCTTATATGAATTTCTTTTTTTGGTCTCATGGTCTCTGGATTCTGGCGTTGGTGAGGTTTGTTGTTCTTGCTAACTAGGATCTGTGGCCAGTTTATCAAAAACAATAAGCAGTTGGCATAATTGTTGTCCCAACCAAGATGCATCTCCTGTGATCTGTTCATCTGCAGATCCCAACTCCTCCTAAGGCCTGGAGGAAGCGTTTCTTTGCCTTCGTCCGGACAAGTTCCTGGTCAGAACCATCCATGGACTCAGGCTGTCATTTATTAGGCCCAAAGAGGGAGTGCTGGACTTCCAGGAGGCAATAGTAGAGTCCAGGATTTGAGCTCTGTATCCCTAATGGCTCACCTTCTGGATTTCCTCCTGTGAAGGGAATTTGCAGTGAGGCAAGTTGTAGAATTGAAAGAAGGTCAGGACTGAGGCAGGAAGCCCTGGTTCCCTCTATTCCTACCTAACTCTGATCAGCAGCTTTTTGACCCTCTCTCTGAAAAGAAGGGTACCTTCCTACTTACTTCACAGGGCTTTGAGCTAATAGATATTAAGCAGCTTGAAAATTTTAAAACTTTAAATAAATGTAAGAACTTTGCAGTAAACTCCAGTGCCCGGCATTGACTTCCTTTAGTATGAAAGCAGAAATAATGCTCCAGGTTTACATCCACTGATTTTATCCCACCTCTGTGACCTGGAGAAACCAATTATCCCTGGAACAGGTGGTCTTGCAGGGTGTTTTCACTGGTCCCCACAGGAGGACAAAAGAAATCTGTCACACTGGTTCAGGCCAGTGTGGGAAAGGAGTAAAATGAGGGCTAATGATTCATAACAGTAGCAAACTTATTGACTAATAAAATTCTTGGTCATGAAGCCTCCGTGTTCTACGCATACCGAAATCAAAGCAATTACAGATTGAAATGAAACTGGAATGCTTAGTTCGGAAAATGCTTGTTTTAGCCCAAGATGGGGGCTGGAGGTGAGTGACCCCTCAGTCCCCCAGTAATGAAAGCGCTTCGCAGCTCGCTTGGAAGCATGGTAATTGCTGCAGGCTAAGATAGGGATCTGGCTGCGCTAATGATGCCCTGTTCCTTTTTAGAGGCCTTGCTCCAGTTTTCCTGGAGTGCCAGGATTGCAAAGGAATGCAGTGTGATAGAAATGAACACATGAACACACGCATCTTAGCATTTTGCATTTTTTCAAACGTTGCCATCATCTTTTAGTCTTTTTTTTTTAATTGTTAATTGCTCAGGACCTGGTAAATTTAGACGGATGCCTCATCGATGTATTTAAACATGTGAGCAACTGAAATGGAAACAGATGTAGCATTTTCTTTCTTTCTTATTTTTTTTTTCTTTTTAGTGAGGACTTTGCACGGCCAGGAACTATAATTCATATTTTCTTCACACTCACAAAAGACTCCGTTGGAACCAAGTTTGTGTTGGGAAACAGATTTTTTCTAGGCTCTTTCTGGTTGGACGCTCTTGTGGTGTGTTTCTCGCTGCTGTTCATTTACCAACGACTAGAAAAGGTGGGCTCGGAGGGAAAGGAGACCCAGGCTTGCTCCTTTTTACATGGGTTTGGGAAAGAAATCAGGAGGTTTGTGCTCTTGGGATGGTCGTTGAAGATGGGAGGGTGCCGGAATCTGCAAATGTGTTCGTGTAATCAGAGCATGGTCGCTCTGCCAAAGCAACTTCTTGCCTCACTACAACAGATAGGGAAAAAAAGAAGAACAAGAAACTCAGTTCTTCTGTACTCTAGGGGCTGACGCTTTGGAGGTGGAGGGCAGGAGTTTGAAATTAAATATTGGGAAGAGAAATCGGCAAGAGACCAAATCTCCAGCAACAGAATGTCCATTAAATCTCAGTGATGGGATTCCCAATAAAAACTGTTCCAACCCCTCTCCCTCTTTCCTTTGCCACCTCCCCACCAGCACTTGGGAGTTCAATAACTCCCCCAGAGGGATGGTGCCCTATTCTCTCCGGGTCTGTGTAATCCTTGGCTGCTGAGCTACCAACTGCAGTCCCCAGGGATTGAAAATTAATTTCTTTCCCTGCCCCACACAGCTGATCCCAGCTGGCCCGTGGCTCAGCTGGGCGCTGGGGTCAGAGCTGCAAGACCACCAGGTGCTCGGAGTAAATGATCAGGGCCTTGGGCTGAGAAGGCTCCTAACAATACGAAAATGCCATTTTCCACTTAACTCAATTGCAGTGCATCCGGCTGTCTCTTTGCACCGAGATTCAATTATCAGGGCTGACACACACTCCCTCTTCCCCCCAAGTCCTCGCTTGTGCTTTCTGGGGAACTATTTAATGCCCCCTTTTCCCAGCAACTATGGGTAATGGGATTCTGATAAGCAAAAGAGAGAGGATTTTTCTGCTCGTTGTCAGCTTTAGGTGTGAGGACCCGAGTAACTCTAATGTGTGGTGGGTGGCGCCCTGGGAGAGCACCGCAACATGAGTTAGAAGACCTTGCTTTTCCTGTGTGGTCTTGGGCAAGTTGCTTAGCTTTCCTGAGCTCAGTTTCCTTCTCTGTCCTATAATAAGGTTATACCAGATGATCTCTGGGTCTCATCATCTAGTTCCAAAATCCCAAGTGTGTACCTTAAGTAGGCTTCACTGAGGGCCCCAAAGCACTTCCTTGATGGGAGTATATTCCTTCTCAAGAATCGACTCAGAAGGAACTGGAATGCAAAGTCACAAAGAAAGGCCATTCAGTGCCCCAATAACTGGTGCGCCTGGAACTCAAGCCAGATGTTCCGGCTTTGGGCTCCGGGTCTTTCGCATCCGTCTTCCAGAAGCCCAGGAGTCTCCGTGGAGTCCTGCATGTTAGAACTTACTAGAGGCACCATGCAAGCCAAATGTGGAGGAGAGGAAAGGAGTGGAGACTGTCACCCAGGGCAAGATCCATTTGGATGTTGTCCCAAAGAGGCTGCCTTTCCAGGTCCCCCGCCTCTCGATCTTCAGTTTGTGAAGCTGTCAATGGAAACTGGATCCAAGTGTTGCTGATTCAATGATGTTTGCCCAAATGCTGTTTCCTAAGAACTGTTGGATGCCCAAGATGCTTTCTGAGTCTGTTTTCTTTTTCCAACAAGCCCGTTTCTTTTCCTGGAAGTGGGACATGGCATGAAGCCGTGTCTGAACCCAAGTCTATTCCAACTCTTTTCTAAACTTGGATCACATTGCAATGAGAGGCCCTTCCTCCTACCCCTCCCTGAGGTCCTGAGAGGCTGTGGCTGTTAGTAACACTGACTATATGCAGCAGTCTTCCTGCGTATGCGCCTAGACATAGCTCCATACATCCGGATTTCATTTCATTTTCAAACCATGTTGGGAGGAAGGATGAGTATCTCCATCATATAAATGAAGAACTAAGACTAGAAGTCACAAATGGCAGGTTCCACAGACAGAGCTAGGCTCATAGCCCCTGCTCTTTCTAGCATCACACAGACACACAGACACACACACACACACACGCTTGCCATGGAGATGTTTTCAGACCAAGAACAACCCCTCCTAGTGGCGCTGCCCAGCCCTATCACAGCTCCCGCCTCACCTGGCTGTTTGGACATGACTTTGCTCTCTGGCTTCCCAGTTCTCCCAGAAGACCAGCTTGCTCCAAGAAGCCCCTGGCTTTGTTCCTTTTCCAGTCCCTCTTCAGTCCCTTCCCACCATCAGGCAGTCTCTTTTGACTGGTTGTCCTGATTCGAGATGCTGGCCAGCAAGCATTCCTCCCATTCACTCTTGCCTGTTCACCTTTTCCATTGTTTTCAGGAGGGTCTCATCAACTCAGACCCTAAACCAGGGGAGGCATTGCAGTAAGAAGAAGAACAAGAATCATCCCAGCTCAATCACTCACTGGCCAAGTCCTCAAGCCCATTATTTATTTCTTCTAAGCCACGGATTTTTTTTTTTTTTCTTAAAGAGTAGGATGATATCTTCCTCTATCACAGGGCTCCTGGGGGATCCAGGAGTCCTTACGTGTGGACATATTTGGTGAACTGTGAAACACAAGTCATACACAAGCTCTTCTGTGCCCACTGCCCCCACCCTAATTTGATCACTATTTCTTTCCACCCAGCATTTACCAAATGCCCACATGTGCCACCTCCTTCACGGAGTACACTGAGGTCCTCTCTCCCAACCCCACTCACAAACCAGTTGCATTCCACAGCAACAAATGACAGATTAAAGCCATGGACATGTGAATGTCTTGAGTTGACTGTATGTGAAAGGAATCAGAAGCATCAGATTTTGACATCTTTAACCTTTATTTGCATAAAAAGTAGATATGAAGAGTGAAGAGTTGTAGTAACACCCCAGGCCAAGTAGCATATTCAAGACAGCATGGCAGGTGACACCCAGGATGTCAGAGAATGCGACAGCAGCACTGGGGACATGAATCACATAATGCCACACATCAGCATTGCCAGCAGAGCCAGGATAACTTGGCAGTGGGCACGGAAACACCGTCTGGGTCAGAAGGTGCTAAGAAGAGCTGGTGTGTTATCATTAGCAAAGTAACACACAGATTCAACCAAGGCTGCTAATACCAAGTTGCCATGTCTTCCACCCTCTCCTTCTGCCCTCTAACTGACCTCAGGTCGGTAGCTTTCCTTTCCCTGCCTGTGCAGTGGGACGCCCCACTTCCTGTCTATACTGTAAAGCACATTGAAGGCAAGAACCAGGTCTTAGATGCCAGAAACGCATCTCCCAGTAGAAGGCACCTAATATCTATTAACTCATTGGTAGCCATAATCTATTTTTACTCAGTGCCTCAGCTTCTCCATTTGTAAAATGAGAGAATAATTACCTTCTAAAGGATGAATAAGTTTAATAGCCATGGAGAATACTGAAGTCATCTATTAGAACTGCTTTATGTTCATCTTCATTTCATTATGTGACCTTACCCAGCCATTCTTGCTGAAGTCTTTAGGGTCTCAAGCACAGAACTGAGAGTCCCAAGCACTTTAAGATCTCAAGGGGACAGAGGCTGGGGGTTGCCCTCTTGCTCCATGGACATGCTGCCTGGAGCTGGTACTTGCTGCTTTCCAGATTCCTGCCACTGGACTCTATTAGGAGAAAATAGTGTAAGGTTATCTGGCTCTCTGAATGATGGTGGCTAGTGCTTCTGAGAAGAGTTTAGAGACTAGACAGTGTACGTTTGTCTTTATCGGATAGTTCTTCAAAGGGAAACAATTCCGCTCCCTCAGCAGTCTGCCTTTTTCCCCAACTGCCTGTCTTCTTGATGACACTCATCATCGTCTCTTCCCTGAAAACACAGCAGAAGAAAGGAAATTTCTCCTTCCTTTCTCCTTGCCACAGCTACTACTAAGAGTCCTGTGTCTCCACCTTTGCAACTCTCTCTCCTCCCTCCCACCTGCCTCTTTTTCTCTGGCTACCAAAAATTGATCTGTTTCTTATGGCTCCAAGTGGAATTTGACCATGTGCATGGGAACAGCCAGGCAGAGCTGACAGCACCGTCAGACAGCACAGCTCCTGTCACACCTGCACAGGAGTGAGCACACACTCACACACACATGCACACACACAACTTCCCCTTCTCTGAGCCTGCACAGGATTTCCTCTCCCCTATCCCCCTTGGCTGGTCCCACACACTCATCCTCCCCTGGCACAGCCCACATCGCCACCACCCTGCTCGCCCCATACTCCACTCTCGGCAGGCAGACAACCCTCCCCTGCCTCCCTACTCCTCACAAATCCAGGAAGAGCTGCACTCCCTTGGATAATGAGTTGAGAACTTACAGCCTCTCGTCTCTCTCTGGCTGGTGACTGACACAAATGGAATTCATCTTTAATCATCTGTTAACTCGTTGTCTATTATAGCTCTTTAATAGCACCATAGATATTCTTAATGAAGCATGATTTAAGGTATTTACAGCACATGGACCGACAGACATCACTCACAGTGTGCAGGTAATGAGGCATAAAACGGCTTTTGAATTCCCCCCAAAAGAGAAAGCGACAGAGAGAGAGAGAGAGCTTTAGCACTGGGGCAAAAGAAAAAAAAATTAAAAGCCTTGTGTTGTAAGGTTTGTTTTAAAATGTTTAGGCATTTAAAGTCATTTCAGCTCTTTCTAGGTGTTTGGCTCACAGAGTTCAGCGATTACCCCCACTGAGAGTGGCAGGCTCAGGTTCTGAGCATTCTCTCGAAGCCACCTGAGGTCCAGGCATCTTTCCTGGAGCATTTTGGGGGCTGGGGTTGAGCAGGGTTGCTCAAGGAGACACGTAGAACTCAGACCATCCTCAGCTTCCTCCACTCACCCAGTCTTCCCTGATGCTGTTCCTAGGGGTGACAACCATCTTTGTAGGGAAGGGGACAGGGGCTAGGGTTTACCCTCCCCCACCATGGACCTACTTCCTGGGGCTGCCTGGTGACTCTCTCTTGCCTCATGAAACCCAGGCTGCTTTAGCCTTCAAAGTAAAGCATATGAGAAGCAGAGGGGGACCTAGCCTGTCATCTTAACAAGGAGGAGACCCGAAGTTACCCAGCTAGTTAGGGATAAAACCAGAACTGCAACCAGGATCTCCTGTCCCTTGGGGGTCTTCCTGCCACCCCATGATGGTGTTCTGAATTTCCAACTAGACAGAGTTCATAAAATCTCCAAGAAAATGGAGATTTCAAGAGAGCAGAGAAAAAGATGGAGGTAGAGTAGAAGACTCTTTTCCAAGGATATATTTTAAATATAGAGATCTCTAAAGCAGAAGTGACACCTTAAAGCGTTGTATGCCAGGGTAGGATGGGAGAGGATGGCAGATCTGACTTTCGGCTCTGACCCTGCTGCCCCAGGGCCCCTGACCTTTGAACATGACTTGCTGACATTCCTCTACTTCCTTTCTCCGCCTCAGAGGGATGGGCCCACCTTCTGCATAGTCAAGGAATAACGTAAAGAAAAATGACTTGTTTTGGGGGTGTGGATTGGACATGCACATCATTCACAGTGATGGAAGTGATTTCTCTTGAGGACCAATTTACCAGGATCCCCTTTTTTTTTATTTTTTAAAAATTTTTTGTAGAGGCATGGTCTCCCTGCGTTGCCCAGGCTGGTTTCAAACTCTTGGGCTCAAGTGATCCTCCCACCTGGGCCTATCAAAGTGCTGGGATCAGAGGCATGAGCCATCGTGCCCTGCCAGGACCCCCTTTGTTATGTCACCTTTATGACCCTCCATTGTCTCTACACAGGCAATCTCTATTTGGCCCAAACCCAAACACTACAAGTTTTTGGTGACATTTGTATTGAGTCCCCTTTCTGCAACTCACCAGTGTTGGCCACTGTGAGGCCATGGTAGATGTGGGCAGGGAACTGGAGACTCCGGGCCCAGTGGGTTCAACCTCATGAGGGAGTGGAGTTGAGATGCTTTGGGGATCAGTGACACAACCTCTTACTTGGCTTGGGGTGCAAACCTAGACTCCCTGTCACCCTGGCCTTCTCCTCTCCAAGAGAAGGAGAACTGTGGGCATCGCAGTGGTGACACTTCAGTTATCACAGGCTCAGCAGCCAAGTGAAAAGGTAGGTTTAGGGTGGGGCGAGGGAACCTGATGCGATTTCTCAGAATGGGGTGATGACGATCCCATGATGGCTTGACCAAGGCCACCAGATTCTCTCCCAATCCAGGGTTTAGTGCCTTTAAAAGCAGGAGCTCCTACTTCTAAGAGCCACATTTCCCCTTTTCCACTCAAAAGAAGGTGGCACAGGGAGAGGAAGGAGCCAGCCCTGGTCGTGCAGGACCAGAACTCTGGGGCCCGGGACTCCCCAGGCTGTTGCTTCTCCCAATCTGCCTCCCAGTGTGCAGCCTCCCCTGATGCCTGTGAGAGGCCACTGACCATGGGAGGGAGACAGATGCCCTGATCTGTGCACACAGTGTATGCAGGGTGGCATTCTGAGGACACAGACAGGAGAAGCAACCCACCAGAAACAGCCCAAAGATGGAGGTCCGCATAGAAGAAGGACATTTCTCCTGGCATCTCTAGCTCTTTTAGATGTACCCCCACTTAGCGGCTGTCCCAGTCTCTGCCATCCAAGCTATCCCCTAGGCGGGCCCAACCCCAGCAAGCAGGAATACAGGAGCAGAAGGTTGCCCATCCAGGGCCTGGCTGACCACGCCAGTCATTTCGCGCATTCATTCTGTGCCGGGCCAGGCCCGTGCCAGGTCCAGAGAGGAGCTGAGCAGCTTGTCCAGATGAGCCTGCGATCTGATCAGAGGACAGATTTCTAAACCAATAATGCCTGATAGTGGCTTAAGGAGGCGAGAGGCGCCTTATGGGGCATGAGGGCAGAATGACTGTGGGTGGAATACCTGTGATATTGAGAATGGATTTCTCAACCTGAAGGATGGCAAGGTGTTTCCCCCAGCAGGCCACAGAGATGGATGTAGAGCTGACCAGCCTGCCAAAATACACAGACTCATGGAATGGCAAGATCAGAGGAGGCTCTGAAGCTTCCCTAGAACATCTCTACCATG
The DNA here is from genome assembly GCF_000001405.40 of Homo sapiens. NCBI lineage: Eukaryota > Metazoa > Chordata > Mammalia > Primates > Hominidae > Homo > Homo sapiens. The sequence goes on along the minus strand of NC_000008.11, from coordinate 22,845,548 downwards.
TGCTGCTGGGTTTATTCACTTATTTTTGAGACAGGTCTCTCTCTGCTGCCCAGGCTAGAGTGCCATGATGCACCCATGGCTCACTGCAGCCTCAACCTCCCAGGCTCAACCTCAGCCTCCTGAGTAGCTAGGACTATAGGCACACACCACCACACCCAGCAATTTTTTTTTTTTTTTTTGTAGAGATGCGTCCTGGTATGTTGTCAGGGCTGGTCTCAAACTCCTGGGCTCAAGTGATCCTCCTGCCTTGGCCTCCCAGAGTGTTGGGGTTACAGGCGTGAGCCACTGCGTCTGGTCTGATGATGGATTTACTTTCCTCCCTAACCCCACCCTCACTCCCAGGCAGCCCATTGCAGAGCTGCTCAGCGCTGACTGTTGGAAAGTCTTCCTTCATCCTTCAAGGACTAGAAGGCTGATATAGGGGATGCATGAGGACCAGATAGAGAATGGAGAGCTGGCAGGCCTCAGGCGGTCTGGGCAACTGATTCCCCTTTATACTGCTGCTCTCCCCTTTGCATCCTGGGTAAATTAGCTCCTGGGGGCCCTGCCTGCATGGGGCTTTAGTTTGCCATGACCCTGATTTCTCCTGCCCCCTGCTAATGGGCCCTGGTTCATAGGGTTGAGAGTGGCCCACCTTTCCTTGTGCCAGGGCATACACTGGCTAGCTTATGGGTTGGCTGCCCCAGGTCAAGTGCCCACCATGGTCCAATCAACTAAGGACCAATGGCTTTGAGCAGGGGTGGGAGTCAGAGTCAGATCCCAGATACGTCAGATTCTGGCTGGGGGCAAAGCAGTAACCCGGCCAGTGGGCCAGGGCACACCTCTGAAGTCCTTGGCTAGGAAGGAGTGGTCTCTCCCTGAACTCCTGGAGGAATATATCCCCAACAGAACCAACTTTCTGAACAGAACAAAACAAATCAAAATAAAAGAGAGAGAAAAGAGAACACAGTTAAGTGAAAGGGAAGAAAATCGCAGGGGACCCCTTATTGAGATACTTGAAATTTTCGGCTGGGCATGGTGGGTGGCTCACACCTGTAATCCCAGCACTTTGGGAGGCTGAGGTGGGTGGATCACCTGAGGTTGGGAGTTCAAGACCAGCCTGACCAACATGGAGAAAGCCCGTCTCTATTAAAAATACAAAATTAGCCAGGTGTGATGGTGCATGCCTGTAATCCCAGCTACTCAGGAGGCTGAGGCAGGAGGATCGCTTGAACCCGGGAGGCAGAGGTTGCGGTGAGCTGAGATCGTGCCTTTGCACTCCAGCCTGGGCAACAAAAGTGAAACTCTGTCTCAAAATAAATAAATAAATAAATTTTCTAACCGGGTACAGCCTTGCAATCCAGGATTTCCTTTAGTACAGTCTCGTCCTAATTTATAGCAACTTCTTTCTCTGTCAGCTGGAAAATGCCGGTTTATAGAGGCAGAAGCATCTTTAGAAAATTTCCGGGGCCGAATCTTGGTGTTTCTTCTGTAATTACTTCTGTGACAATATGAGCACTCCAGTTATTATTTCAGTAGTGGTATTTTTTTCCCCACTTTTCCAACTGAATCAGCGCTTTTGTGCTTTCTAAGGAGGATTTGAGTTGACTTGCTCTGGCAATGGAAAAGCCAAGGCCCCAAGAGCGAAGTGCTTGTTAGAAATGTTGCTTCAGAGCCGTCAGAGGAGAGATGAGAGGAGCGGAGGGGCATCGCCTCACTCCTGTGAGGGTCTTTGTTTTCCCTCTTTCATCGTCTTCACCCTTGATCCAGAATCCAGGCTCTTCGAGCTTCCCAGATAACTCAGGAGTGGCCCTTGTCATAAGCTTAAGTCATTACTTAAGAATATTTCTGAAAAACACACGTGTCTGGGGCAAGGCTGACATTCAACTTCCAAACATCCACTCAGGACCAGGCCCAATAAGGCTAATTTTATTTTCTCTTTTCTAGATGATGTTGGAATTTCCTAGATGATTCCATTCATGGATTGGCCATGCAGCAGGTGGTTGAGCACCGTCAAGTACACCCCAGGTTCTCCCAGGCCTGGTTTCTCTTGGCTGATTCCCTGACATTAGGAAATGTTTTCAGCAAAGCCTGTGTATGACACTTAGATGGAGCAACCCATTTCCTAGGAAACTGTTCATTCTATACATGTCCCACTTCCTGGTATCATTTGGATCCAGCTGCCTCGATTGGCCTTTCTTCCTTGGCCCTTCTCTGGCCCCTCCACTATTAGATCAACTGAGTAGTTGCTAACCAGACCAGCAACATAATTTGTGGGGGCCTGCACAAAATAGAATTGCAGGGCCTGGCCAGGCGCAGTGGCTTACACCTGTAATCCCAGCACTTTGGGAGGCCGAGGCAGGTGCATCACCTGAAGTCGGAGTTCAAGACCAGCCTGGCCAAAACATAGAAACCCTGTCTCTACTAAAAATACAAAAAATTAGCTGGGCATGGTGGCACGCACCTGTAATCCCAGCACTTTGGGAGGCCAAGGCAGAAGGATAACCTAAGGTCAGGAGTTCGAGACCAGCCTGGCCAACATGGTGAAACCCCGTCTCTATTAGAAATACAAAAATTAGCCAGATGTGTTGGCGGGCGCCTGTAATCACAGCTACTCAGGAGGCTGAGGCATGAGAATCACTTGAACCTGGGAGGCAGAGGTTGCAGTGAGCAGAGTTAGCGCCACTGCACTCCAGCCTGGGCAACAGAGCTAGACTCTATCTCAAAAAATAAAAATAAAAATTCAGGGCCTGTAGTTCAAAAAGTATCGAGAATTTCCAGATGGCAACAGCAGAGCATTAAACCAAGCAGCTGCCCTTCTAAGTGCAGGGCCTGTGCAGCTTCAGAGGCTGCACGCAGGTGAAGCCAGCCCTGCGTCTTATGGCAGTAGGAACGGCCCTGCACACCCTTCCTATGGCTGTGCAGGCCTGTTGGGATCCTGGTCTGTTGACAGAGTCATGCTCCTTCCATTTCATCGCAAGAGTGTTCCAAAGCCCCATGGATTTTAAACTCAGGTTTTTAAGGTTCTCCCTGATGACATGGCTCATATATTTGTAGGGAGCAGCAATTACTTTTTGTAAGCCATATTCACTCTACTCAGAATATGCACTTAATATTTCCTACCTCCTTCAGCCCCACAAGAGCATCAGAATTGGCACCCTGGGTCCAAATGAACCGTTTTCCATGTGGCTGGAAATGCTGCCTCTGGCCACCATACCCAGACTTTTAATAACCACAGTTCTCCTCTCTGCTCTCAGTCCTTAGGGATCCCCTCCTAAAAGTCACGATCTACCCAAGAATCCACTGTGAATCGACCATCCGCCAGTTTCTCCAAACGTTTTAAAGAGCAATTTGTATTTTCAACCTGTCTCACCTCTTGGGGATAATGAATTAGACGAGTTGACTACCCACTGTGTAAGTTAGCAGTTCCTTTTATCTGTACTAACTGCTTCCTTTTCAAGTGTCAAGAGTTTGCTCTAGTTCTGCCTTCCAGGGTTTGATAACCAAGACTGTGTTTGAACATTTGTACTCCTAGTAACTTGAAATACTTTGAACATACCTCGTCTCCTTCTTCTGTCCTTACATGGCCTCTCCCTCTCTCTTGCCCGTTTCTTATATTTGGCCATTTGAGTGGCCCTTTCTGCAGCAGCACTGGAAACCAAAGACAGCACTCCTAGGCAGGCCTACGATGGTTCTCTGCGAAGGCAGTGCACCAATATATGTGTGTTTCCTTCCCAGTGAAGCTTGACCTTTCATTGTCTTTTCAGGTCTCAGCGGCCCTTTGGGCTGGTGTCTTTAGGGAACAGTCTGTAGCCATTCTTATCCTTTTCCAAGCTGTCCTCCCAGAACTACATGCAGGGTTCATTCTAGCACAGGGCTGCCAACTTTCTCTGTTCTCACATAGCCTCTTGGCATCAGCCTGGATTTATCTGCACCAGGTGGCATTTGCACATGCAGAGGGCCTCCCTGATCCTCTGATTACCTGGAGGCCTCATTGCACAATTCCTCTTCCATGAAGGTGTAGAATAAATAGGCCTAGAGTTGAACCCAAAAGAAAGCAACCTAGAAGTGAATAGAGAAAGGACCCGTTTGCTGTTTTGTTAGTTGTTGTCCCTAAGCTGTTCCCTATCAATGACAAAATATTTGGCACCAAAGGTTCTTAATTTTGAAAGTAACCTTGTCAAAAGCTTTTGAAAAACTAAATACAATTTCCTTTCCCACTAAGTTATTTACCCCCTAAAGAACTCTGACAGATGAAGTAGGAATGATTGTACTTTACAGAAATCCTGCTTCCACCCCCTCAAAGGGCCACAGAAGAGAGTGGCTAAGAGCCGCTGCTTCGCAGTCAGACAGAGCTGGGTTTGATTTTTGCCTTTGCTACTTACTTATGATGTGCCCTTGGGCAAGTTACTCAGTCTTCTCCCTAAGCCTCAGTTTTCTCTTCTTTAAAATGGAGATGATAGTGCTGAGCTGGTGTGTTGGCTGCAGAATAAAATGCGTCAGGGGATATGAGGGGTTTGGCATGTAGTTGAAAAGGGCTTGACTAATGGTAGCTATTATTTCTTCGAGAATCTTTTATTGCTGATTACATCAATTTATACATCCAGGGTTTGCTTTTTATGGAAAAGGCACTTACTTGGTGGTAAACTCCTTGGCAATTGGTACCATTAGTTATATATTTCCTGTATTTTGTTCATGCACTCAGCATGCACATTTATTGTTTGTCTCATGTGTGTCAGGCACTGGGCCACAGTACTCAGCAGAGGACACTAAGAGCCAGCCACCAGTCCCTGGCAGAGATCACAAGGTGGTGATGGGAGCAAACACACCAAAAGCCAGTGCGATGTAACTAGCCTTTAACACAGACATTCTCCCAAGCAACTGATTCACATTTTCCCCACATTCTTCCAACCAAGTCTTTGACCCAAGAGGAACATGTGGGTGTTCCTAAGGTAACTCTGAAAATTTCTCAACAGGCAGGAATTGCTCACAGTTCTCACCCTTCCAATTCCCTAACAAAAGAACCAAGGCTGGGCACGGTGGCTTATGTCTGTAATCCCAGCACACTGGGAGGTCGAGGCAGGAAGATTGCTTGGGCCCAAGGAGTTGCAGACCAGCCCAGGCAAGATGGTAAGACCCCATCTTTAAAAAAAAAAAAAAAATTAAAAGAAGAAAAAATTTTTTTAAGAAAAGAAAAGAACCATGTTCTTTTGGGACACCCCAGCCAATAGGGTCACATTTTCATCCACACCTGTGTGTTTAAAAAATTCTTTGTTAAAGGCCCACCAGTCCCCACTGAACCTAGTTTCAAGGAAAATCTAGGCCACGATGCTCAGTTTAGAGGGTAATATGAAGTAAGGAAGACAGGCAAAATCTATCCGAAACCTGAACCGTGTTTTACACTGTGATCACGGTTAGATATAATTCATCTGATTCTCTGAGCCTTTCTGGAATTTTATAAAATCTTCTGATGGGTATGGAGAATAGTATAGTGTCCCACACACAGAAAAAAATTTCCCCAACAAATGTCTTATTTACAGCAGACCGGTCACATTCTGTGGATTTCTTTTAAATGAAAACACTTCCTTGAAATTGGAAGAACACTTAGAAATCTCATGGCTGTCTTCCCTTAATTCATTTCTTTCTTTCCCCAACAAGTTCACTCCTAAAAAGCTCAACATTGCCTCCCTCCTCAGCCATTCCAATTGGGGTTTGGGCGAGGGGGTAAAAAACACCATTTTCAGCCTCACAGGATGAGATGGGCCCCTCACGTGGAAGAGCTGGCAGTGGGAGGGAAGGAACCGGAACAAATCACGAGGGTCTGTCAGGTTGTGGTTCTCAGTTATGCCTTGTTTAGCACCCTATGGGAAGACAGAAACCCACACACACTAGGTTTAGAAACCAGAGGCTTCAACCCTGCAAGTATTTGTTTTGTGCCACCAGTAGCTATTGTATTTCACACACCAAGTCTTCATCATCCCTTGTAGTCCTTTTCGCCAGAAGAACCCTCACTATGTTGTAGTAACCCATTCATTCTCCTAACAGCCCTTCAAGAAAGCAAGGTGTTGAGATGAACCTCTCCCATTTTGCATGTGGAGAATCAGAGGCCCAGATAGGACCAGTCATTTAGTTCCAGCCTCTGCCTCCCCACCAGCCCTTCTTGATCCACCAGCCTTTCCCCCAGGCCTTGAGCCCATCTAGCTCCTTTGAGCAGGACACCGCCATGCCACCCCCAAAGCCCCTGCCTCTTCCCAAGAGCCCCGCCCCTCCCAGCTGGGTAGCCCAACCAAGGCTCCACCCACCTCAACTGGGGCTGAATCCCGTGATGACCAACACCACGTCCTAAAGACTGAGCCGCCAGCCCAGCCTCTCACCCCCATCTATCTGGGCTTGGTCATCCCGAACAAGTGTGAAAAACGCCACCTTTGCAGGCCGGAATCTGAAAGAAATTGGAAACCTGCTGCTAGCTCCATCCCCACTCTCTTCTCATGTTTGCTGTTATTTTTTAACACTTTTTTTTTCTCATAAAAGCACTATCCTCTTCCCCAGAGCTTGCCTGTAGCGAAGGCATGGTCTGTACAACTGCAATTATTTCAGAGAACAGATGGAGTGAGGAGCAGAAAGTCTGTTAATAGTAATAGAAATGCTACATGTTAACCTGGACAGCACACGATGACAGTCCCATGACTACCCGTTCTGTTCCCACCAGCTGGGCAACCAAAGTAGGAATGAGATATTCACAAACACAGCCATCAGCCACGTAGCCACCTAAAGTTAGAACTCAAATTCCTTCACACTAGGGGCCCTGGCGACTGCGGCGGCTTAGGCCGAGAGCAGAGGGGGCCGAGCCACAGCTCAGCGCCAGGCCTGGCAGCATCGCCCCAGCTCTGGCTTCACCGCCGAGGCTTCCTGGGTCGGCTGAGGCCCCGGCCTAGCTTTTAGGCAAACGCTGAACTTGCCGGCCCTAGCCAGGAGCCAACCCCACCAGTGCTTTCTGTGGATGCTGTTGGGAGGGAGCGTCAGGTCTGCTGAGCTGGTCTTGACTTTCTAGAAGGCAGTGTCATGTGTGAGGGAGGAAGTAAAGGACCAGAGGCTTCGAGTCTCCCAAGCCAAGGTGCAGGCTCCTTAGCAAGCAATACAGTGTCAGGGCCAGCAGTCCAACGGGCTCATCCAGCTCTGTGGCCAAAAATTTCTTTCCCTTTCCAGAACATTGAAAAAAAACCAAAAAACCTGTTTCCTAACAGAGAAAATGGGTACAGTTCATTTCAACAAATATGTCTTAAGCACCTACTGTGTGCAAGAAAGTATGCTAGGCACTTCAGGAGCAACAAAGAAATAATAGTTCTTCTGTCAGGAATATAATAATTGAAGTCCAGGCAGGTGGCTCACATGTATTACCCCAGCACTTTGGGAGGCCAAGGTGAGAGGATCGCTGGAGCCCAAGAGTTTCAGACCAGCCTGGACAACACAGGGAGACCCCGTATCTACAAAGAAAATTTAAAAATTAGCCAGGTGTGGTGGCGTGTGCCTGTAGCCCCAGCTACTCAGGGGGCTGAGGTTGGAAGATTGCTTGAGCCCAGGAGATTGAGGTTGCAGTGAGCCGAGATCACACCACTGCACTCCAGCTTGGGCAACAGAGCAAGACCCTGTCTCAAAAAAAAAAAAAAAAAAAAAAAAAAGAATATAATAATCTAATAAGAGAGGCCAAAAGAAGCCCACACAGAACCAAATACATAGCAGAATATGGAAGGTGCCTCAGCAAAGGTACAAGCAAAATGCTATTGGGGTTCAAAGAATGAGGACAGCTTCTCTGGTCCAAGGGACTTCAAAGAAGTATTCATAGATGAGATGAGTCTTGAGGAAGGGGAAGGATTTTCTGATGGGCAGAGAGACTACACAAATAAAGGCACAGAGGTGGGGAAGCAAGAATCACACTGGAGATCAGAAACATCCTCCGTCTGTGTGGGCATGTGTATGGGTATGATGGAGTCCCCTGGGCAGGCTAACTGACAGCTAGAGGTGCAGGGCCACAGATGCCAGGTTATGAAGTTTATATTTAGGGCCTAAGTCTGTAGCGAGTTGTTCTTTAGGAAGATTATCGGGCAGCAATGAGCTTGCAAACGCCAATTCTACGTCTTTCCAATGCTGCAGCCACTCACCTCATGTTGGTAGCTTGGACAGACCACGGTGTGAATATCACCCGTGGAAATGAACAATCGCTACAAGTCACGGCCTGATTTTTCTTTTTTTCCTGAGAGAGTTGGTTTACCAAAACACCACTAGCTTTCTCTGATGGTAAGCAAGCATCTAGTGAATAGGAAGAGAGGTTTAGAGGTTAGAAGGCCAGTTAGGATGCTATCGAAATAGAGGCAAGAGCTAGCGCAGACCTCGCTCAAGGGTGTCAGAAAGGATGGGGAAAGGTGAGGATAGATTCTAGAGACTGTAAACTCAGAAATCAGTAAGAATTGGGCGTGACTTTGAGAGGGAAGAGTCGAAAGATGATTCATACTTTGAATTTCACAAAATGGCAGTGCCATTCATAGAAACAGGTTAAGTCAGAGGAGGAAATGGTTAGGATGGTGGATATGAATGTAGCTTGGGAGATAGAGATATTTGTCTGATTGCTACTTTACTAAAGAAACGATCCACACCCTTTGTTGCTTAGGAGCTCTTTTTTTTTTTCTTTCTCTTCCATCAGTTTCCTCTTCTCTCTCCCTTTCATGCAGTATGGATAATATCTTAATTCATCATTTGACATGTAGTGATTTTTGCTGCCTGCTTGGCTGCGGATGAAGCTTTGAAATTTACATACGTTTCTCAGCTTTGTTAAGACAAAAAAGTTGCAGTGACCCGGGGTACGCAGCACAGCACAGACTTTGAGGAGGGGACAGAGTACAATGAGGATTTGAACTCGCCACCCGGCTGGCCCACACCCCTTGGCACACAGCCAGAGCCATGTGAGCCAGGCGAGAGCGTTCCTTCCCCAGCCATCTTGAGTGGGCAGATGCTCTAGAGGGACTGTCTTCCCCAGAGGACTGGGCAGCACAGTGGCAGAAGGCACTTGATTCGGAGATGCCGGAACATGTTGCCAACAAGTATATGTTTGTAGCATGGATGTTTTAAATTGCACAAGTGTCCAGAGACCTAGGTGTGCAGGAATTTGCAACACACAAACAAATACCATATTGTTGTGAGTAAAAGTCAGCTCCAAATCTGTCCCTCTACCCTCTGAGCAGGGGGAAGAGAGTGGAATTTGGAGACAAGCGATATGATTTTGAATCCCAGAGAAGCCATTCACTTGTCTTTCATGTGTTGATCGCTTCACATATGCCAGGCATTATTCTGAGCCATGTATTAATTCACTTAATATGCATGCAGTCTAAGAGAAAAGCACTTTGATTATTATCTCCATCTTATACATAGTGAACCTGAGGCCCAGAGAGTTTAGGCAACTTGCCCAAGGCTGCACAGCAGCCGAGTAGGATTCACATCTGAAGTTCACTGCCTTAGGCAGAGACCCTGAGCCCCCATTTTTCCATTTATAGACTCAGAATAATAATGTCTGTTTAGATGATTTTCCCTGCATCACACTGTTGCTGTTTACACGTCTGTCTCCCTCAGTAACTGTGAGCCACTTGAGGCAGGATGTAGGATGGAGCCCCAGGGAGCTGAATTAGTGAAGAAACTGGGACCTTTTGCCTGAAGAGCCGGTCATTGAAAGCCGTGATAAATGCTTTCAAATATCTGAGGGGTTGCCATGCGCAAGCAGGACAGGGCCTGTTCTAATGTCATTCTTGGAGACAGTGTGAGTTTGAAGAAGGCATTTTGGGGCTCCATGGGACATAGCGCTTTCTAACAACCTAAGCTGTACCAGAATGAACTGCATTCCCAGGATAGTGGGGGACCCATTGCTGGGAGGCTGTGGAAGATCCTGGATGGTTCCTGCTAGGTTTACCATAAAGGCAACATGATCCCTATTCCTTCCAGTGCTCCAGGATTCTGTAACAGTCCCATTCCCAGGTGAGCTTAATACCCCCTGGGGACATGGACAGGACCAGAGGGCTGCCTGTGAGATGCTGTGTTTCCATGTGCACCAGTGTTCCCGGGCCGCTTATTTCTAGCCCCACCAAAGATGCTAGGAAGCTCAGTCTCTCTGGCTCCAGGCAGCTGGAGATATGGACCATTTGGAGGAAGTCTTCCGGCTGTCAAGGTCACTGCTGCTCCAGGGGCCGGTGGAAAAAATTGCTGATGCCTTTTGTTCACAATAACAAAACCTGACCCACAGACATTGCTTCACAGTCTTAAAAATACTTCCATGCTTTTAACTCATTTTATTTTTAGAATAGCCCTGCTGTGTGAGACAGGTATTATTGCCATTTTGCAGATCAGTAAACTATACCTTAGTGACAGTAAATAACTCCCTAAGCCACAGCCTATATGTAGAACTGGGGCTGGAATCCACGTACCCCAGCATTTACTCGTTTACTCGAATAACCTCTTCACAACGTTAGGTCGCCTTTCTGGAGACCAGCCTCTGGCACCCACTTGTCAGAAGTGACCTAGGCGTTAATAGAAATGTGTTTGGGGACAAGGGAGAAAAATCCCTATCATAGGAGACTAAGGGGTTGGTTTGTGTCATGCAACAAGAAGTCTAGGGGCTGAATCCTGGGCTGATTCAGCCAAGGACTGGGCTCTTTCCATCTTTTTGCTTTATCATCTTTAGAACACAGGCTTTCAGTCACACACTTGTCCCCTCTCAGTCACAGGATGGCTTCAATACACCAACATCCCATTCACATTCCAGGCAGGAAGAAGGAAATGAGTGAGGGGACAAAAGACAGCAAGGATTTTCTTCTCCAAGTGAGACTTTGCCTTTTATTCCAGAAGAGATCCCTCCCTAGGGATTTTCTCCTACATATTCTGGGCCAGAATATGGCTGCCTCTCAATGCAGTAGAGCCTGGGAAATCCAGTGTTTTAGCTTCCCAGCTTCTAGAATAGAGGCAAGCAAGGGAGGAGGATCTCTGATCCACAGCAACTGCACAATACCTCTTTCTCAATGTGTCAGAGCATGCTGTGAACCCCAGCTCCTGGGTGGAGGTGCCTCTGTCCTCACAGCCCAGGATGTGTCTTTGTCCTCAGCAGCAGCAGTGGACACCAGCCTGGCTGCTGGACACCAGCCTGAAATTCGAACCCGTCCTTGGGGATGAAAGGCTTTCGGCTCCAGGGGCAGCACCCGGCTTGCATCCTGGCGGGCCCATCAGCCCTGGCGAAGAGCAGCTGTTACACTCAACCTCCCCCAGGAAGAAGGCTCTTAACTAGATTTCCCATACAGAACTTGGTGGGGGAGGCTCAAACACAACCAGCCCACTATGGGCTAAATTTGTATGGCAACCAACATCATCACGAATAGTGGGAGCGCAGGGCGACTTGTGTTTGTGACTTCAGCTTCTCAATTGGGTGCTGGATCCCCTTCATCTCCAGGACCCAGGACACAAGGGTCCCCAGCTGAGGTCAGGGGAAGATTGTCCTCTTTATGAAGAAGACACATAGTCTTCTAATGAACCGAACTGAGCTCACTGATGAGGAGGGGAGAAATCTGGGTTGTAGTCAGTCATAGATTTGGCTACGGACTTCAGGGGAATTAGACTTTAGGGTTGTCATTCTTGTCCCTAACTCTACATTAGATCACCTGGGAAACTTATAAACCAACAGCAACACCTGGGCCCCACTCCAGACTCCTTCAATCAAAACCTCCACCCAGTGGGGCCCAGCCTTGGTAGCTTGAAGAGTTCCCCTGGTGATTCTCACATTAAGGCAGGGGTGAGACCATTGCCTTGGAGAAAATGGCTCTCCACTAATCACGATCGTGAAGCTTAACCTAGCCAGGTCAGCTCAGTCTCCTACTCAAGGACAAGAGAGTGCTGGAGACAGTAACCCACATTCGAAATCATATCAGAGCCTGTAATCCCAGCACTTTGAGAGGCCAAGGCAGGCAAATCACTTGAGGTCAGGAGTTCGAGGCTAGCCTGGCCAACATGGTGAAACCCCATCTCTACCAAAAATACAAACATCAGCTGGGCGTGGTGGCATGCACCTGTAATCCCAGCTACTCGGGAGGCCGAGGCAGAAGACTCGCTTGAACCCTTGAGGCGGAGGTTGCAGTAAGCCGAGATCGCGCCACTGCACTCCAGCCTGAGTGACAGAATAAGACCCTATCTCAAAAAAACAGAAAGAGGGATCATGCCATGCTTGATGGTCCTCAGTTTCCTGTAGACTCCAGATAGGCTTGATGGATAACTGAGCCTTAGGAGTCAAGGGCCCTGTTTTAAAACATACCAGGGATTTCTTCTAATTGGGTATGGTAAGACACACAGAGGGACATGATGGTGATGAAGGAAGTTCATACTCACAGATATCTAGAAACAGGAGGCACAGCACACCACACAGGGCCAGTCAGGAGGCAGAGGGAATACGGGGGAAGCATGGGCAAGAACCTTTATTGTGGTTTTTGCTAGAAGGAATGGGTGAGACAGGGTAAGCAGGGTAGACAGGTTTAGGATTGGCTGATCTGAATAATTCTGGTGGGCTCTGGGGCACGGGGGCTGCCCCTTGTTGTCCAGTGTCTGGTCAAATGATTGGGACTAGGGACAGTGACCCAGCCTGATAAAGGAGATGGGTGAGGGTGGGGGCTGTGGGTGGGTGGCTGGCATTTGAAGAATGTGCTCTGGGGTGGGTGTTTGCTATCTCTAGGAATTAGCCCTGGGAAGGGCAGTCTCTCCAGGTCAGCAAGGCTCCAAGTGTCACAGCATCAGAAAATACAGAAAATAAAAACAGTCCCCACCTTGCCAGTGCTTCTAGGACTCAGGACTGTCTCAATGTCTGCTGAAATCTGATCACATTCCATCCTAAGGATACTTTTCGTTTCTCCTCTTGGGGAAAGGCAGACACGCAAAGACTCCCCAGTGGCAAGGCAGGAGAGGGCCCCAGAGATTTTCTCTCTGCGTCAGGAAAGCCCCTCTCCCTGAACATCTTAGGTCAGGTTGCTATAACAAAAATTCCATAGACTGGGTGGCTTAAAAAACACACATTTATTCTCACAGTTCTAGGGGCTGGGAAGTCCAAGACCAATGTGCCAGCAGATTCAGTGTCTGACAAGGGCCTGCTTGCTGCTTTGTAGTTAGCCTTCTCACTGTGGGTGCACTTGGCAGAGAGCAGAGAGAGAGGGAGGAAGTGAGTTCTCTAGTGTCTCTTCTTATGAAGGTACCTAGCCCATCACAAGGGCTCCACCCTCATCACTACCTCCCAGAGGCCCCACGTCCGAACACCATCAACTTGGGAAGTAGGGCTTCCACACATGCATTTTGGAGTTGCAAACATGCAGCCCCTATCAGCATTGCTGCACTACAGAGGGTGTGGCACACTGGTCTGCCTCCAGGAATGACCACTTTTGTGCCATGCTGACCCATCCCTCACACGAATTGGTCTGCTAGCCCCCACTGGCCTTTATCGTGCCCATTCTTATCCACCCCCACCACATCACATGCAGGAATTCTCTCTCTACAATCCAGCCCTGATCATGTCAGCCCTACTCCTCCCCTGCCCCTGCCCCCGCCCTTTTCATCTACAAACCTCCCCTGGCACATGCTCATCTGCCCTCATCAATCTTGCTGGGCTCATCCACTGCCACTCCACTTCACCTCTTGGCCTTGTGAACTCCACCCTCCAGACACACAACACAAGTTGCTGCTCCCTGCCTGTGGATGTGCTGCTTCCTTTGCCAGGCATGGCCTTCCCTCCTGAGCACACTCCACTCCTCAGGACCAGCTCAGCGGTAGCATCCTCTGCTGGTCTTTATTTGGTCACCCTGAGCAGGGTCCATCACGTCCTTAGGTTTGCTTCTCCAGTGCTAGGTATATGCCTGGTTACAGCACAGAGGGTCCTTGGACCCTCTGCACACACATCCAACTCCCCCTGTAGGCTACTATGTCCTCAAAGGCAGAGGCATGCCTCTCTCATCTCTTATCCCAAGCCCTTAGCATGGTGCTTAGTATATGAAAAGAGCTCAATCAATGCTTGTTGAATGAATGAACAATGGGACTACCTGGGCCAATATATAATTTATTTATTCAAAAATATTTATTGAGTGTCTACTGTGTGCAGACACTGTACTCTACTGGGAATATAATGGCAAGCAGAAATAGATGCCATCCCCACTTTCAAGGGGGTCATACTCTTGTGGGAGACACTGACATTAATAAAAAACTATGCTGATTAATGTCTTACTGATTATAAACTGAGATGAGCATCAGAGGGAAAGAAATGCAAGGATGATTAACAAAGGAACATAATCTAGAATGGGGCTCAGGAACACTTCTCCAGAGAAATGACCTTGAATTGAGTTCTGAAGAATGAATGAAAGTTAAGTAGTTCCAGGGATGGGGTGTTCTAGACATAGAGAAAACATATGCAAAGGTGATGAGTGGGGAGGGAGCAGAGTGAACCCTAGAAACTGGAATACAGGGTGCAGGAGAATGTGTACAAGATGACAAGGACAGTGGGCTGGTTGCAGGGCCAAATTGTGCAACACCTTGTAGAACACATTAAGGATCCAAGGGAAGCCAGAGAAGGATTTTAAGCAGCAGGATCACATAATCTATTTGTGTTTTGGAAAAAAATACTTTGGATCAGTGTAGAAAATTGCTTAGGGTTTCAAAGAGACCAGTTAGGAGGCTATTCCAGTAGCCAAGACAAAAGATGGTGGTTGATGTGGTGGTAGTGGTGATAGGGGGGAAATGGGTGGATTTGAGGGCTGTTTGAGAGGCTGAATTGACAAGAATTGGCGGTGGATTGGAAAAGGAGGAAAAGAGGGAGGAACATGGTAAAGATGGTGCCCCGGTTTCTAGTTTGCATTTCCAGATGCAAAATAGGAAACTCTGGAATACCAGGCAATGTTGTTGGACATGATGAGTGTGAGGTGCTCTGAAACAGCCAAAGGAAGATGGAAAGTGGGTCATTGGACATAGGGTCTGGATCTCAGAGGACAGCTCTGGTTTAGAGAAATAAATGTGGCTGTGGGTTGATGTTCCTGAGTCGGAGGTTAGGGTGATAAAAGAAGATAGCTGGCCAGGTGCAGTGGCTCATGCCTGTAATCCCAGCACTTTGGGAGGCCGAGGCAGGCAGATCACAACACAAGGTCAGGAGATTGAGACCATCCTGGCCAACATGGTGAAACCCCATCTCTACTAAAATACACACACACACACACACAAAAATTAGCCAGGCGTGGTGGTGCGCACCTGTAATCCTAGCTACTCAGGAGGCTGAGGCAGGGGAATCACTTGAACCCAGGAGGTGGAGACTGCAGTTAGCCGAAATCGCACCACTACACTCCAGCCTGACAACAAGAGCAAGACTCCGTAAAAACACACACACACACACACACACACACACACACAAAACCACAGCCTAGGACCCAGCAGTGGGGAAAACAAGGCTTGAGGAAGAAGAATAGGATGGAAGCACAGAAGTCATGGGAAGAAGGTATTGCTATAAAGAAGGGGTGGGCTGCCACGTCAACTGCAGCTGAGACGCCAAGTGTGATGAGGATTGGAAAACATCCATTGGATTTGGTGACATGGAGGTGGTGATCTTAGCAAGGGCTGCAGCAGAAGCGATGGGGGCAGATTGGATTAAGGAGTTAGTGGGAAGTAAGGAAACAGGCTGAGGGTGTTGACAGTTATTTCGTGGATTTTGCCTGTGAAGCAGGGAGGAGACAAGGATAGGGGAAAAGCAGGGGAGGATATGGGGCCAAGGAAGGTGTCTTTAAAGATGAAAGAGACTTGGTCATGTTTTAATGATGAGGAGGAAAAGGAGAATGGAATATTCAAGAGAGAGAAGGTATTGCTGATGATGGGGAGAGGATCCAAAGCATGACAGAGGAAGCAATCTCTTCCTTCCTGGGGCCTGAGCCACTCAGCTTCACTAAGACAATGGGAGAGGAGAAGAAGAGATTGGGGGCAGATGCACTGGGGAGTTGCAAGCCTTGAAGAAGATCTTGAAGAACTTACTATTTGATGCCTTCAATTTCCCCTGAGAAGTCATCAATGAGAATGTTACCTACTAAGAGAGGGGTCAGGGAAGTTAGGGGAGGTTGGAGGTTGGAGATTTAAGGATATTGGAGAAGGCTTGAAATATTGGAAAGTCATGAGTAAGGGTGGGAGGGCAAGTTGACCAGAGAAATTTGGAGTGGCACTCAGGGCCTGTAATGAAGCTGGTAGCCAAAAATATAGGGTGGGGCCAACCTCTTCTGTGATGTGACTTTCTGCTGCAGCACTCACTGCTCAGGTCACACATGGAAGTAAAGGAAAGCTGGGTTTACCCAGCTTTGGGGTTTTGTCAAGAAAATGTTCAAATGGCAGAGGACAAGGGAATTCAGGTTCTGGCCATTTAAGCTGATTAAGACACAAGTGAAGAAAATCGCTGCTGTGCAAAATTATCAGCTCCCACTGATGGGCTTTGAGAAAGGAGTTACCAGTGGCCTGGAGGTCCCCACTGAGGTTGAAGACTACTCCCAGTAGACATAGTTGAAGAAGCAAGCTGGAGAGAGGGGGGTTATGGCCAGAATTAGTGATTTTTGGAGGTGGAGCCGTTTGGGGGATGACAAGCAGCTTCAGGGTGTAGCTATGGAAGTCGATGGTTGAGATAGAGAGGGAAAGATTGCCCGAGATGGAAAGACCCAGGAACCAGAGAGGCCATGGTGTTGGGTGGCTGTTCCACATGTTTGCTAAAGTCACCAGAGTAAGAGCAAGACTCAAGGACACGAAGGAGATTGGGAGCAGGTGCCATTGTCTTTGGTGAATGTAGCAACCAAGAAGTCATAGATGACAGCAACCAAGACAGAGGATGTATTCAACTAATGGCGTGTGCCACAGAGAAGGCAACAGGGTGCAATGGCGTCTACCCAACCTCCTGACCCTGAGGTTTATGGGGTGTGAGAGAACACATACCACAAGAGAGCAGTGAGGGGAAGGGGATCTTCAGGGGAAAGCCAGGAAAACAGAAAGAGGTAGAGAGCAATTGCTGGAGAGACAGGATGCAGGGGAGATGGCTTGTTGTCAGTGGCAGTTCCAGAGCAAAGAATGGAAGGGTTTAGAGATAGAGGAGGAAAATAGGACTGTCTCAGAGACAAAGAAGAAAAGAACATTTCAGGCACAGTGATGAGGTTGAGGACCGATGGCTGGGAAGGCAGGGAAGGCAAAGGCTTTGTACAACCCCATGTACAGATGGGGATTGAGGCCGGAAACCAGAAGTTCAAGAATGAGGCAAGTCCAGCCCTGACAGCTGATCAGAGCAGAGTTCCAACTGGGTAGCCCCTCTCCCATCTATGGAAATATTTGCTGCCATCTTGCTTTCCACTCACCCTGCTGCCTCCATTTTCCCTTACTCCTTGGGACACACCTATTACAATTATTTCTGGATAGATAATCCAATTTTAGAAGATAAATAATCCAATTTTTAAATGGGCAAGAAATTGACATAGACATTTCACCAAAGATATAAAAATAGTCAATAAGGACATGAAAAGGAACTCAACATCACTAGTCCTTAGGGAAATGCAAATTAAAAACATGAGATACCAGTTTACACCCACTAGCATGGCCACAATCAAAAGACAGACAATTATAAGTGTTGACAAAGATGTGGAGAAACTAGAACCTTCTGGTGGAATTGTAAAATGGAGCAACCACTTTGAAAAACAGTTTGGTAGTTTCTTAAAATGTTAAACATAAATTTACAATATGACCCAGCAGTTCCACTCTAGACGTCTAAGCAAGAGAATTGAAAACAAGTGTTTGCACAGAGACTTACAGCAAATGTTCACAGCAGCATCATTCATAATAGCCAAAGTGGAAATAAACCAAATGTCCACCAATTGGATAAACAAATGTGGTCTCTATCCATACAATGAAATATTATTCAACAATAAAAAGGAATGAAGTACTAATACATGTACAGCATGGATGAACCTCAAAAACATTACGCTGAGTAAAAGATGCCAACACAAAAAAAAACAAGTATTATGACTCCATTTATATTAAATGTCCAGGAAGGGCAAAAAGGAGATTACAGAGACAGAAAGTAGATTCATGGTTGCTTGGAACTGGCGGGGGGAATAAGGAATGACTGCATACATGGTACAAAATTTCTTTCTGGGATGATAAAAATGTTCTAAATTTAGATTATGGTGATCGTTGCGCAACTTTGTACATTTTTTTAAAAATCATTGAAATGTACACTTAAAATGGGTGAAGTTTATTATATGTAAACTATACCTCCATATAGCTGTTTTTTAAAACTTTATCTGGACAAATCCAGATCTAATTCTGTTTCTATGTCATCATCATCCTCCCAAAGTATTGTGATTTGTTAATGTGGCTTCCTACACCTTGCTCATGCCCTGCTCCATAGCACCCAGGGTCTTATTCCAGCAGTTGCACTTCCCCAAATAACCTTCAAAAGTGGAATGAGGGTTCTCTGAGCTCTCCTTGCTGCAAAGGGACAAGGCCATCCTTCTTTACCTCTCAGCATCAGTGAAAGAGAACTAGAGACTGATGTCTCCAGGATAATGATGATACACCTCCAAAATATTATGTGACTGCTGCACATTCCACGTTATTTTATAAGTTTGGTTTATTTTTAGCAGGTAATAGGTATTCACATGGCTTTAAAAATCAGAATGATAGAACACACATATAGATGTCTCTATCTCATCTACCCATATCAATACCACCACCCACAGCCTCTCTTAGTTTTTTAAGCACCCTTCCAGAGTTTGTTTATGTAAATACAAGCAAATGTGAAGAAATATCTTATTTTCTCCTTCTTCTATAAAAATAAAGCAATAGATATGCTGTTCTGCGCCTTGCTTTTTACACTAAAGTTATCCTGGAGAGCTTTTCATATCAGATCTTAGAGATCCTCATGGTTTTTTTTACAGTTACGAAGTTTTCCACTCTGAGTACATATCATTGTTTATTAACCAATCCCCAGCTCATGGGCACTTGAGTTATTTCCAACAATGTTCACTTATTTTCTACTGTGACAGGGCTGAAATGAATAACCTTATATACAAGTCATTTCATAAGTGTGCAGATATCTTTAGTTGGAAAAATCACGGAAGTGGAATCACTGAGTAAAAAGGCACATCACTCATATTGTGCATTCCTACAACAATGCATGCAGCCTCAGTTTCCCCGCAGCCTTGCCGGCAGAGTGTGCTGTCAGGCTTCAAGATGTGCAGTGTCTTTGGAAAGAACTTGGATTTCATCCTGCCTTCTTCAAGTGGGTTTAGTTTATTTTTATTTTATCTTATTGTGATAAGAACACTTACCTTGAGATATACTCAAAAGATTTTTGAGTGTACAATATGATATTGTTAACTATGGACACGGTATTGTACACCAAGCTTTCTAGAATTTCCTTCATGACTGAAAGTCTATACTCATCAATGAGCAACTCCCCATGTCCCCCCACCACCCCACGCCAACCCTGGCAACCACCATTCCTCTCTGCTTCTGTGGGTTTGACTATTTTAGATATATCATGTACGTGGAATCACACAATATTTGTCCTTTGGTGACTGGCTTGTTTCACTTAGCATAATAACCTCAAGGTTTATCCACGTTGTCACCAACTACAGTATTTCCTTTTTAAGGCTGAATAGTGTTCCATTGTACGGATATACTACATTTTCTTTATCCATTCATCTGTTGATAGACATCCTACTGTTTCCTCATCCTGGCTATTGTGAATAGTGCTGCAGTGACACCTGGATTTCTATCCCCCAAAGTGTGATTGCTGGATCATATAAGCAGTCTTATTTTTATGGTATGTCTAGATAGCTCTGAATCCACCATGTGGATGTTAGAACCCGAGGGAAAGTAGATCACCTGGCTCAGCTACCTCATCTTTTAGGAGCAAGCCAGAAAAGAGAAGGAATTAGCTAAGAACCACCAGTCCATGGTGTAATAAGCATTCATGGGCACCTATTAAAGGCTGGCATTTTACTAGGTCTATACCCCTACAGAAGTATAAAACAGTCTCTATCCTAGGCAAGAAAACATGTGGCAAGTATAAAATTCCCTAGATTCACTTCCCTTGTTGGAAGTGTTGATGGCACGTTCTTCTGTCTTGGCTATGCTTAAAGAATGGGCTGCCATGGTCAGAAATTAGTTTCACCGGCCAGAAGGAAGACGTGCTCATCTCCTCTGAACACTATTCCATCCTGTCAGCTCCATGGACCTACAGAAGTGGGTGGGCCCAACTTCAAGGAGCCTGGCTAAGGGCTAAGCTCTTGAATAGGTTGTTTTCCACTTTCTTTGGTGAACAAGCACTCCTTTGCCACATCTGCCAAACATTTGCTAAGGAGCTTCTGTTGGCAATGACTGTTATGAAAGGTCTGGGACCCAGCTCCCTGATTGCATTGAGAGAGATCTGCAAGACCACCACAGAAGTCTTTGAAAACGTCTCTTCTGGGGCTGCTTAGCAGAGAGGAGATCTAGGGTAAACCTCAGGATATGACCATCTGCAACAGTGCCCTGCAATGCAGACTCACCCTACAGCAGGAGTCCCCAACCCCCAGTACCGGTCCATGGCCTGTTAGGAACTGGGCCACACAGCAGGAGGTAAATGGTGGGCCAGTGAGTGCAGCTTTATCCATATTTACAGCCACTCCCCATCATTCCTGTTACCACCTGGGCTCCACCTCCTGTCAGTTTGGCTGTGGCATTAGAGTCTCATAGGAGCACAAACCCTATTGCGAACTGTACATGCAAGGAATCTAGGTTGCAACGCTCCTTATGAGAATCTAATGCCTGATGATGTGTCACTGTCTCCCATCACCTCCACATGGGACCCTCTAGTTGCAGGAAAACAAGCTCAGGGTGTTCACCGATTCTACATTACAGTGAGTTTATAATTATTTCATTATCGATTATAATGTAATAATAATAAAAATAAAGTGCACAATAAATGTAATGTGCTTGAATCATCCTGAAACTACCCCTCACCCTCATCTGGGGAAAAATTGTCTTCCACGAAACCAGTTCCTGGTGCCAAAAATATTGGGGAGCGCTGTCCTAAAGAATCAGGCAGCAGTGTAGGGTTAGGGACAGGAGGGGCCACGGGGAACATCAGGGCAGGGAGGGAGAGCAGTCTGCCACTGAGAAGACTTCCCTTGGCTATTGTTTAAACAGGAGAAGAATGAGGGTTCTGGGATTTCTCACCATGACTTTTTTTTTCCTTGAGTGCAAATCTTTTTGTCTAAGTATAAAAGCAATGCATTTTATTGCATAAACTTTGGGAAATGCAAAAAACTACAAAGAAGAAAATAAAGTTCATAATTATCCCATCATTTAGAGATCATCGGTCAGCATTTAACTTTCTATTTTTCTGGTTTTCTCTCCATAGAGTCATGTACATGTGTACAATATGTGGTTTTGGTCTTCTCTCCTTTTTAAAAAATAGACAATGACATTATAGAGTTCATAGGATTTGGAGATCTACCCATTGTTTCTACATACCTTAAAAACTCGAGATAAACATGAAAACTTTTGTTAATTTTATGGGCAAAGATTGGATCTTATTTTATTTTTTGCATACCTTTTATGACTAGTAAACTTGTTCGTATGGTCTTTGATCATTTGTGCTCCTTATTTTATGAGTTACCCATTCATGCTGTTCATCCATTTTTCTATTGAGTTATTAGTCTTTTTTTATGGATTTAAAGAGTACTTTGTATATTAAAGATAATCACATTTTTTCATAGATATTGTAAATATTTGCCCTCAGTTTATTGTCTTTGAATTTTATTTTGGACTTTTTTTGCCATATAAAAGAGTCAAAATTATATCTAGTTAGATATATCAATCTTCCCTTCATGACATTTACTGTTAACAGTTTGGTGTGTATTTTTTCAGACATTTTCTATGCATATGCAAATATATCTATAAAGATATATATATATAGTTAGATATATAAAGTTTTCCTGCACATTTGAGACATCATGCACATTATTCTGTAACTTACTTATTTCACATACTAGTATATTTTAGAAAATTTCTTATATGAGTATATAAAGATCTAACTCTAACAGAGTGTTCCATTGCATAAATTTAATATTATGTTATTAAACCAGTTTGAAAGCTTGTTTTTCATTTTCATATTTAAATATGGAAGTTTTCTGGTGTCTGAAAGAAATAGGGACCTAAGTTTGTTTATTCCACATAGTGAGCCAGTTTTCCCAATATCATTTATAAAATAATCTATTTTTTCCCCACTGATCTGAAATTACTTTGTCATATATTAAATAACATTTTAAATTATAACTATCATGTAGTAAATATACATATATTGAAAACTCAACTTTCTCTCTGGATTTTCTATTTTGATTCCTTTACTTATGTATTTATTAATCAACACCATATTGTTCTAATTATTGTAGCTTAAGATATGTTAATATCTCCAAAATTATTATCATCCCTATTTTATCTTTTTCAATATTGCCTTGGATAATTATTTTTCCTTTATTTACTTGTTGTTTACATTTATTATTACCTTTAGAATTATTCTGTGATGTTCACAAAACATCTATTTAGGATTTTGATTGGGATTGTGCCAGATTAAAAAATTAATTGAAGGTTTATTGACATTTTTGCAAAATGATTATTTCAATTTAAAAGCATTGTATTTCTTTTTCTATCCAAGTTTCCTTCTTTTGTGCATCAATAATGTTTTTGTTTTCTTCATATAATCTTGCATTTACCATCAAGCTCATTCTTACTTATTTTACATTTTTTGTTACCATTGTTAATGGGATCTTAAATGTATACTTTAGGACTATTATTAATATGTAGAAAGTACCAGTTTTGTGTATAATTTGTAACAGTTTACTGAATATTACTTTTGTTTCCAGTTGATTTTTTAAAATTTCTCATGTAGACAATCATGTCATTTGCAAAAAAATAAAAAGAAGAAGAAGAAGAAAGGAAAAGAGAGAGGGCATATGGCTTTATTTCTTCATTTCTTCTTTTATCATGTTTACACTTTGTTTCTTTTTATTTTCTTATTACTTTCTTGGATGTGTCAGATACTATGTACAGTTTTCTCTTTATGGGATTCTACTGGGATTTTACACACACACACACACACACACACTTTAGTATATATTCCTTCTTTTCACCTACTATTTTCTTTTCTTCTGAGTCCTTGGAGATTTTCTTGGGTTTATCTTCTCATTATCTGATTTAATTTCCTATAGCATCTAGTTTGTGGTTTACAGCTTCTTCTGGGTCTTAAAATCCAACGGTCATTATTTTTACCTTTAAACTAATCATCTTTGGAAAGGTGTCCATAATCCCCTCATTGTCACAACCAACAATCACTTTGTGGCCCTCATCTGCCTTGATGACTGTGATACTGACACAACCTTTATCCCTTCCTTCATTTCTCTCTTGGCATCTATGACAGTAACTCCCCTGGCTCTCTTCCGAACTCTCTTCTCCTCAGCCTCTTTTTTTTTTTTTTTGAGACGAGGTCTTGCTCTGTCGCCCAGGCTGGAGTGCAATGGCGCGATCTCGGCTCACTACAACCTCCACCTCCCGAGTTCACACCATTCTCCTGCCTCAGCCTCTGGAGTAGCTGGGACTACAGGCACCCGCCACCACGCCCAGCTAATTTTTTATATTTTTAGTAGAGACGGGGTTTCACCGTGTTAGCCAGGATGGTCTCAATCTCTTGACCTCATGATCCGTCCACCTCAGCCTCCCAAAGTGCTGGGATTATAGGCATGAGCCACCGCACCCGGCCCTCCTCAGCCTCTTTCTCCCTTCCTTGTCCCGCTTTGAGTTCCCAAGTTCCACCACACTCTTTCTTTTGTTTTCACTCTACAGATTCTCCCCAGGCAATCCATGAATCTCCACTGCCCATTTGCCAAGTCTTGAGAGAGCGCTAACTTCATTTACAGGGCATCTCTCCCTGTTGATTTCAACACCAAACTCACTGCCTCACTGTCCCCCTGACTTTGCTACCCCTAATATCCATGGCTTCATTATCACCAAGCTGCCCAAGACAGAATCTCAGAGTCGTCCTGGCTTCTTCCTCTCCTACGTCTGCCCTACCCGGTCACCTCATGCTGTGAGTTCTGCAGTACACATGTCTCTCCTTTCTATTACTACTATTTGAATGGAAATCCCTGTGGTCTTTCTCCAGAGTATTGCAGTTTTCAGGGTTTGTTTGGATTTTTTGCTCTGCTTTTCATCCTTTATTCTATCCTCTTCATGTCTCATCATGTGTCTTCCCAAAGCCCATGTGTTTTTTGTTTGTTGAGACAGGGTCTCACTCTGTCATCCAAGCTGGAGTACAGTGGTGCAGTCATGGCTCACTGCACCCTCCTGGGCTCAAGCGATCCTTCCACTTCAGCCTCCCGAGTAGCTGGAACCATAGGCATGGGCTACCATGCCTGGTTAGCTTTTGTATTTTTTGTAGAGACAAGATTTTGCCATGTTGCCCAGGTGGGTCTGAACTCCTGGGCTCAAGCAATCAGTCCACCTCAGCCTCCCAAAGTGTTGGGATTACGGATGTGAGCCACCATGCCCAGCCCCAAAGCACACATTTGATTATATGAGTTGCCTGTTCAAACAATTTCAGTGGGTCCTGTTGCATAATAAATTCTAAACAACTTATGACGTACAGAGCTTTCTGTTCTCTGGTCCCAATACCCATTTCAGCTTTGTCACCCACTATTTCTTTTCAGATGCCTTACGGCCTAGCCATTCCCCAAAAATCCACCCCTGCCTTTGCACATGCCCTTACCAAGTACCTAGAGAGTGCTTTTCCTGATACTTTACTGATACTTTACCTGCCTTTGAGATCAAGCTCAAAAGACAACTCTGCAGCCTTCCTGGACTCCTGGGGTAGAGAGATTTAATCTCTCTTTTCCCTTTCCCCTCCATGGTTGATAAATGCTCCTCTGCTTAAGCATTTAGAACATCAGAAAGCATTTAGAACAACAGGGTGTGCCTGCCTCTCCCGGTCAAGGGGAGGGCCAGGACGGTTTTCCATTTACTCCATTCATCTTACTCACTTTTTCCTCTCTCACTTCCTTCTCTTCCTTCATACTCACACCTAAGTTCCCATTCAAGTTAAACCCAACTACCACGTATTCCACACCTGTACTTGAACAGTTAAAAAGGACACAACTGTGAAATGTAATACTATCTGGTAACCTACCACATACCTATGGTATATTCATTTTCTCACTCTCTTAAATGACTATCTCACACCTTTTTCTCTGTCCCCAAACTTCCTATAATCCCTCTTCCCCTGATAAACTTGCCTCTAACTCATTGAAAAATAGAAGCAATCGGAAGACAATTTCCTCATTCCTCACTATCTCACCTTCCAATTATCTTGCATCTGAACCCATGTCCTCTGCTTCTACCCAAGATCTAGCCCTTCACTTTCACTCTGGATCGTGTCCCCTCTCCACTGCCCAAAGCTCTTGTAATGATCCCCTTCCTCCTCTCTGTCATCTCTACCTCCCTTTCTATACTGGACCATTTCCATTGGTCTACAAACATCATCCCCCTCTTTAAAAAATATCTTGGGCTGGGCGCGGTGGCTCACGCCTGTAATTCCAGCACTTTGGGAGGCCGAGGCAGGTGGATCATGAGATCAGGAGATCGAGACCATCCTGGCTAACACGGTGAAACCCCGTCTCTACTAAAAATATAAAAAATTAGCTGGGCGTGGTGGCGGGCGCCTGTAGTCCCAGCTACTTGGGAGGCTGAGGCAGGAGAATGGCGTGAACCCCGGAGGCAGAGCTTGCAATGAGCCGAGATCACACCACTGCACTCCTGGGCAACAGAGAGAGACTCAGTCTCAAAAAACAAAACAAAACAAAACAAAAAAACAAAAACAATCTTGACTCTTCTTTCCTCTTTAGTTATAGCCACTCCATGTCTCAGCTGTCCTTCCTACCAAAATTTCCCTTTTTATGATCATCTTTAATAGCTATCTCTAACAGCTATCTCCAATTCCTCGTCTCCCATCTCAGCTCAGCCTATTCCAGCCAAATATCAGTCCTTTCTACTCCACTGAAACTGGTCTTATCGTGATAACAGTGATATCCAAGTTGTCAAATCAGATTGTCACATCTGTGTCCTCATCTGGCCCTACCTTTTAGCAGCATTTGATATAGCTGATCACTTTCTCTTCCTGGAGACACTTTCTATCCTGGCTTTTGTGACACCTGCTTTCCAGGTGTTCCCCCAAACTTTTTGGCTCTAAAGTCCCCTTTCCCTGATTCTCCCCTCCTCTCAATTGTAGCATGTTTTACAGTTCAGCCATGAGACCTCTTTTCTTCTCTGTGTCTGCTCTACTGATTTAAAGGCCATCTCTATATCAATGACTACCAAATTTATTCACCCAGTCCTGATCTCTCCTCTGAATTACAGACCGACATGCATACCTATATTCTGAGGGGCATTTCAAACTCAAGATATCTAAACCAGAACTCTGAATGTCCACCTTCAAACAGCCTCCTCTCCAAGTCTTATTTGTACCATTTAATGGCCCAGTTGCTCAAGCCAGAAACCCAGGATTCATCCTCAATTTCTCTTTCTCCATCCCCCTCCTTACTGCCGTGCCGTTGAATCTATCAGCAAACCCTGCCGATTTTACCTAAAAATACTCCCCCAACCCATCTATTTGTTTCTGTCTCCATTTCTGCCATCCTAGCCCAAGATACCAACATCCTTCCCATGCTACTGCGAGTCTCCTAACTGGCCTCCTGGCCTCCTCTCTGGCCTTTGGAGATCATTCATTTTCTACTCAGCAGCCAAAAGAATCCTCTAAAAGCATAAATCAGAGCATATCACTGTCCTGCCCCAAACCCTGAAACAGTTCTGTGTTGCACTTTGAATAAAACCCCACTCCCTATCCAGGCCTAGAGAGCCCCCTGTGGCCTGGCCTCTGCTCCCTCCCCTGCACCTGCCATGTCCACCCTCCCCCTTGCTTGTCCCTGGCCACAATGGTGCTCTTTCTTGCTCCTCAAAGCCTACTTTTTTCCCACCTGAAGACCTTCATAGCAGCTATTTTTTTCCTTCCAGAACACTTCCCACCTCTCATCCCACCCTGTTTTATTTTCATCATAGCACTACTCACACGTTCCCTTGCTTATTTATTTATTTTTATTATCTGCGTCTTTTACCTAGAACAAAAGCTTCCTGAAAGTATGGACCTTACTGTCTTGTGCTCTGTTGCCTCCTGGCACCTAGAGCAGCTTCTGGCACACAGTAGGTGTTCAGCAAAGGCTTGTTGAAGGGATGAATGAATCCTGGTGTTCTTTGTGATAGGTACCGTTCTTGACACAAAATAAGTCCTCATATATTTGTTGAATTGATAAACAAGTCACTCCAACTACACTGGATTCTTCTTGAGAGGACCAGAGACCTGTTTTAGGTTTCCTTGATTCCTCCACGGCACTCAGCACAGCGCTCAGAACTTCCCAGGTGCTTGGTATGTATATCTTGTTGGATTTATTCTTCCTCACAAAGAGGAAGCCAAGAGTCCTGCTGTCTGCTTCACAGATGCCATTTCTCTGAGAATAAACGTGATGTGAGAGGGATGTCACGAGAGCAAGGATAAACTGGATGGGACGCCATAGGGGCTACTCAGCCATTCTCGGTTGGAATGGCGGGAAAAGGAGGTCTGCCCCGTGGTATTTTCCTATTTCAGCCATGACGCTACATTACTTTTCGGTACATGTGTTACAGGGCGCAACCTATATCCTGGTGATGGTGGATCCAGATGCCCCTAGCAGAGCAGAACCCAGACAGAGATTCTGGAGACATTGGCTGGTAACAGATATCAAGGTAAGCAGGCCAAGAGGCACTCTCTGACGCATTTGGGGTTGTATCTGGAAGATTATCATTCAGTGCAGTTCCCACCTCTCATCCAGGAAGGTTGGAGCGAGGACTTCTGTGTCCCATCTCCCCCAGTGCTCAGCTATCAAAGCCCTCCCAAGTTTTCCAACAATTTCAAAAAGTGTCCCAGGGCCAGTGGTATGCTGGTAACCCAGCTTTCTAGAAGGGTGGGGAGAGTCCTGATTTCTAGTGTTTGCTGATTTTTATGGTATAAATAAATACTCCCACCACGGGAGTGGTGATTTAATTTCAAGCTCCTGATGATTTAACAACTGACTCACACTGTTTCTGAAACGTTAACAATTGGCTTCAGCACACCACTGGATTTGGGGGCACTGAGGGGATTCTGAGACGTGCAGGTGGCAGAACCGGCCAGGAGAAGTCCTGGAGCTCCTCCCCATGATGGGGCATGGGGCATGAGAGAGGCACAGCAACTTCCTTTTCTTTGTGTACAGAAACAAGTGGCCGCCTCTCATCTTTGTGTCTTTGTCATCACGATAATTGTGAAGGAGCCTGGCTCACCCTCTTCAGGGAGGGTCCTCAAATCTGGTGGCTTGTTTGTGCCATTATGTGGGAGGGAAAGGCTGTGTTGCCAAACAAGTTTTGGATACTCTGAGTTGAACTGAATTCATTCTGTTTCTCACTCAAGGGCTTTTGGAGCTTTTACTAGTCTAGTATGCTCTATATCATATACACTGATTTTCCAGTTGCATTTGATTATTGAATCCTTTTGTTCATGAGTGCCTGGCAGTGCTCTTTGGGGAAGTCCACACTAGCCTCAAACAGTCACGAATCTGTGCCTAGAACACCTGCAGATGGGTTTTGCAAACAGTATACAAAGGCATCAACTCTGTAAGATAGTGGGAACTCGGAACTAGAAAAACAAAGTTTGGATGTGGTTTGGACCTTGGCTGGCTACCAACCCAGTGACCTCTGTCGGCTCCTCTGGGCATTTCATCTTGCTCTGTAATATGGGAAATGTGCTGCTGACTTGCTGTGATTGTCATGATGAGCCAATGACTTATGAGAGCACTTTGGAAAACAAATAATTCTGCAACTATGAAGAGTTTATGTTTTTCCTTCTAGAACTGTGGGTGGAGGAAGGGGTTTAAATCTGAACTAGCTTGTGACTATCCTGAGCAAGGCAGGGTTTTCGCAGCCACTGGGTGGGAGTAGGGGGGTGAGAGGGTAGTTACCCTGGCAACCAGCTGGTGGCCCAGTGACCGGGGCCCCTCCCACGGAGCTCAGGTGGACAGGCATCCTTAGAGGCAGCCCTGCCTATGGCCCTGGAAGGGGCTTCCTCAAGGGAGACCCAAGCAGCAGCTTCGTGGGCAGTGCTGGAGCCACCTCTGTTACTCCACACACTTCCCTGGCCAAACACCATAAACACACAAAGGGACAGAGCTGGGAGGTTTGAGCCATCAGGAAGGGGAGAGGAGCAGTGGGCATGAAAGAGAAAGAACTGGCATCTCCCCCTCACCCCCCAAGGCTAGAGCGTTGTCATTTTCTGAACTTAGGCCTCCCCAGCGGTCTCAGGGGTGAAACACTCAAGAGAGAAGTATTGCCCTGAAGGTCACATTCACAGCCACCCCAGGCACACAGGGCTTCCTGTTAGGAGCTCTGCTCGGCGGTCCTGAGGCCGGAGTGCAAAAGCAGTTAGGGTGGGATGACTTCAGAATTGAGAGGACTTGGGACCATGAGGCTGCCTCTCTTCCAAGCCTGAAGACCCCCGACTCCTGCACTCCCCTTACCCCCATACTCAGAAGGGACCTCTCACAGGAGCTCTGTACAACGAACATGAATTTAGCCTCAGCAGCCCAGCTTAGAAGTAGAACAGGTGGCAGGTGACAGGTGGCAGCTGTCCGGCAAGGCTGCTAAGCCACAGAGCTTACCAGTGCCACCTGCCCGGGTGCGGCCCTCGGCCTTCCCGCTCAGGCCGGAGGAGGCGCGGGTTTCCGTCACATTTGCACTGCTTCCCTCGTGAGTGTTCAGCAGGAAGCGGCAGCGATATCCACTTGGCCCTGCCCACCTTCCCCAAAATTCCACCAGCCACAGAGACGGTGTCAACCAAATTCATTTAGGTCTCAGATTCTAGACCTCGACCAGAGGAAGTGAAGGCTCTGATCAAACCCAGAGTACTTCCTTTGTGTTGGTGTTCACCACTGCTAAGTGGGTCTCAAACAGTTGAGTGCATTCGAATTGGCAGACGAGCTTGTTAAAATGCAGCTGCCTAGGCACTACCCCACCCGCAGAACTTCCACCTCGGTCGGTCTGGGGAGAACACGGCATTCTGGCTTAACAAGCATCCAGAGGGGTTGAGCAGATTGAAGGAAGACCATAGAGCTGGGATGCCTCGGTCGTTCTTAACATCACTCATTTGTGGAGCAATTTTCAAGCGAAAAGCACTTTTAAAACTCTTGAAACTCAACACCACTTTGTGAAATAGACATAATCCTCATTTTATAGATGGGGAAAGCAGAGCCCAGAGAAGTTGAATGATGCCATCTCTTAGCTAATGGGTAAGAGAGGTGAGTCTTCAATCCGCGTCCCTTAACCCCAAGTCACATGCCTTTCCTGCCGTACCATGTGGCCTGAGTTCACATCACATCTCTCCCATCAACTCCACTAGGACAAGGAGCCACTATCCCCTCTCTATAACAAGGAAGACATCATCTCTGTGGTTCCCTCCACCACCCCCCGGTTCACTCCCAGAGTTCTTTTTCTAACTATCCTTTATGGGTAGATGCTTCCAGGGAACTGTCCCCAGTGAATACTATCTTGTTAAATAAAACACACTAGGTAAGTGTTTTGGACCCCATAATACTACACCCTAAATACCATCATTACCCAAGCAGCCTTAGTAGGAAAGCCTGCCATAAAGTCTCTGCAGACAGAGAGGGACCATGGCCCTGTGGTTCACAATGACCACAGAAGCAAACTTGGTGGAACTTCAGCTGACCCTGATATTAGGGGGCCAGGTCTAACTGGATGGTTGATCAGGCCATGGCCATAGGAACCCTTCAGTAGGGACAATTTTTTGACAGGCTATCTGGGTTGAAACAGGACAGCAACGAGTTTTTAGGAATACAAGAAATATCTGTGGCACCCCCCACCTCCACTCCAAAGAGGGGCTGGCAGGGTTTAGTACGGAGTAGGATAAAGCTCTGGAACTTTGGATAACTTAAATAAAAGCCAAAAGTTAGATGCCTGGCAGTAGGGACCGGGCATTAATTCATGGTACCCCTTTGTTCGTTTAATTCAAGAAATATATATAGAACACTATTCAGTATAGCACAGTGGTTAAGAGCAAGGACTCCAGAGCCAGACTGCTGTGGTTTGAATTCCTAATCTACCATTATTAGCTGTGTGATCTTGGGCTAGTTGCTCAACCTCTCTGTGTCTCAATATACTCACTCGTAAGCTGGAGATAGTAGTGTGCCTACTTCACACTGTTGTTATGAAGCTTAAGCGAATTATTTTAAGGATAGTGCTCAGAACAATACCCAGAACACATAGTAAACTCTACATCATTACTTGCTCTTATATTATTATTGCTGTAAATCAGGCAGCTAGGTTAGCATTGGTGACACAAACGCAAACAAAATTGAGGAAGGCTCTGCCCTCACAGGGCTTCTATTCTAGAGACCAAGGAAGGAATCTGCAGCACAGTGGTGGTATTACGAGACCCCCAGAGGCTGGCTTGGGGTGGAACTTCCTATACCTGTGGGTTTCCATCAACTCAGGAACAGGACTAGGCTCCAGTCTCCGAACCTGGCCAGGCTAGGACAGGCAGAGACAGATACATAAGGTATGCTGTCCCACTTGGCTCCCTCTTTGAAAAGTTCTCATTGAGCAAGAGCGATTTCTAACTGAGCATTGACAGATAACATCTTTCTCCCCGACTGCAGTGTCCTTAGCATTTCCTTAAAGATGATCTTCAGTTCTGACTCCATCTAACTAATAATCTTCATGCTGAAAGCTCATTAGGATATCAATTAATTTGCATCATTCATTTTCAAAGAAACACTTATTGGTGCATCTTTTATTTGTCTCTGAAGTTAGTGTTCAGAGCTTTTCATGCAGATATTTTCATTAGACTTTTTATTGTTAATGGGGATATTGAACACGGGAAGATGGTATATTAATACTTTCCACAAAGAATATCATGATTGGTGACAAAGAACACTAAGAACAATTAAGGAGACAAGAGTATCTTTTTTCTTCCAAAAAAGAAAATCTTCCTAGAAACCGTCAATGATTCTAAAATTTGCCCTGAATATCTTTTTTGTTTTAAGAAAGAAAAGGAAATTGGCAAGTTCATGGTTCCCTTTCATTCAGTGCCCTCAACCTTTGGCAACTGTAAATGCAACCAATTCTGGGTTGAATTAAAAGAGTCTCTAAAGGGTCATTATTTTGTCTACTTTTCTGTAGGGTTAAATTTTTCCATAATTAGAGGTTTTTTCCTAAGGGCTTCTAAGTGCTTTAGGTGAATAAGATAATGGGAAATCCAATAAACAGGGCAAGAATTATAGCTCCCTGCTTTCTAGTTATGTGGGTAGCACATGCCAGGACACTTGTGCTTGAGTGATCGGTTCCACTGCTGAGCGAGTTGTTTGACCTCTCTAAGACTGCAACTTCGCCTCTGTGAAACTGACAGAAATCCTCACTCTTCAGGGTGGAGACAAGGAAAAAGGAAATTACATATGCAAAGAGGAGAAGCGTCCCTAGAGAGAGGCACTATAGGAAGCGGCACGTGTATCCTTGTGCCTAATCAATGGAGCAGCAGAGCCTGTAGAAATTTAAATATATCGATATAAAAATAATGATATAATCTCATTTTCTATATATCCAGAACCACACTAATGATAATAAACAGAATAAACAATCTTTATCAGGCCTGCAAGTTCAGATGAAGAGGTCAAACCAAGGAGATGGGATTAATAATGACTTCTGTCTTTAGAGCTGTATTTGCAGTTTTGCCACTGATATTTGTGCAGTTTCCCATGCATGCTTTGACCTGTACTGTGAGGATCCATTTTAACTAATAAGCAGCTAAAAGGCGTGACTTAGGCTTCCTAACATGTAGGTTCAGCTCTATGGGCCATAAAGAGTGCTTGCTGATGGAGACAGCACAGAGGTGGCCATAAACCAGGTGATTATTAACCAGACTTGTATGTGGCCACCCTGAAGGGAAAGGGAAAGAGCTCGGACTTTGGGTCAGATGAACTAGAGGAGGTTCCAGGCTCTGCCGCTTCCAGGTGGGAAGGACCTCTAAGTACATTAGGTGAATAAGATAATGGGAAATCCAATAAACAGGGCAAGAATTATGGCTCCCTGCTTTCTAGTTATGTGGGTAGCACATGCCAGGACACCTGTGCTTGAGTGATCGGTTCCACTGCTGAGCGAGTTGTTTGACCTCTCTGAGACTGCAACTTTGCCTCTGTGAAACTGACAGAAATCCTCACTCTTCAGAGTGGAGACAAGGAAAAAGGAAATTACATATGCAAAGAGGAGAAGCCTCTGAGGCTCAGTTTCTTCATCATTAAAATGGGCATGATAATATCTATTTCCCAGCGTTCAATGAGATTAAGTCTTCTGACACAGAATAGTAGGACTTTGGTAAATGTAATTATCTCCCCTACAGCCCCCAACTTTGACATCTGACCATAGCAGCTACTTATGATTTAGCAAACTCCCTTAGACAATTGGACTCAAGTCTTGCAAAGTGAAAATTCTAGACAGTGCCCAACACAGCTCATCCTTTTGCCCTTTGAAACTAGATGAGTCCAGGCCCAGCCTGGAGGACCTAACGTGACCCCAGCTGGCTTTTGAGGAAACCAAAGCGTGTTGGAGCCTGGAAGCCTTTGGTCAGTCCCATCATTCCACCTCTAGGGATCCCCTGTGACCTCCTGAACCAGAGCAGACTCCCTGGAGCCGTCCCAGGCCACAGCCCAGGTGTGATGCTGGGCTGCAAGTGACAGCCAGGCCTATGGTGCACTGCCCACATTTGGGGCTGCAGCCCCTTCCTCTCCAACATTTCCCACCTCTATTTTTAACAGAAGCCAGTGCCCCTGCCATCTCCTTATCACTCACAGTCCCACTCTGCTGTCATTGTCCCGCCCTAGAGATGCTTTTGCTCCCATTCAAAATAATTTAAATAAAATGTTGCTACAAAGCGGAATATTATCTTTTGATGAATGTTTTTAAAGCCCTTTAGGTTTTCATGGTAATTTGCGATGTGAAATTATTTGGAGATAAGAGCCAAATTAGCTCTCGTATGCTGAGGTCGCTGTGTCCTGTTATCCATGTGAGCAGTGTTTAAATATAATCAGCCCTTAGACTAATGCAGCATAATTGTTCATTTGAAATAGCTTTTTTTCACTTCATTCAATGAGTCATTAAAATATTCAAGGGATAATGCAGTGAATTGGAAATGAGTTTATCATATTATCCCATACATACTGTAGTGCTTCAGGTAACTAAGGAGAAAGAGAGAGAGAGAGAAAGAAAGAGAGAGTGCGGATATGAATAAGGTATACATGCAGGAAGGGAGCCAGTATATACAGGAATATTGTAAACAAAGCTTTTTCGTTGGTTTATGGCAAGCGTGTATAGAGAGGCTGACTAGGTGGGGTGAAAGAGAAAGAAAATGCTGTTCTTCTAGGAGGTTTCTCTCTCTCTCTCTCTCTCTCTCTCTCTCTCTCTCTCAGCACTCTGAGATTCTGTGCTCCACCACAGCTCCACTGTTAACTTATTTTTATCAAATATGTTTATATCAGAAAGTCGTTATGGAAACCAATTCTGCCATCCAGGAGAATTCCTGGATCAGGCAGAAAACTCACTCTTTCTTTCTCTTTCTCTCTCTCTCTCTCACACACACACACACACACACACACACACACACACACACACACACCCCTCCATGAGACACCCCAAAGGGAACAGCACAGTCTCGCTCACCCAACTCTGAACTCAGCTCTGAGGGGGCAGCTGGTGGCTCCTGGCACTCCTTCATGGGCAAAGCCAGAAAATGTATAAGACCAACAGCCCAAATCCATCCTTGCCCTGACATGAGGAACCCGGGCTTTTCACTGTCCTTTGAGCCTCAGACACCCACCCCTGAGCAGATGCTCTTAGGAAGCGAGGGGGTTGGCGGTGGGGGAGGGGAGAGGGAGAAGGGTGGGCAGCATCTTTGAAGCATGGTGATCCTTCCTCGGTCTTAGAAAGTTCTATCTGTTTGCATTGTTTATGCCACACTGGAATAATGTCTTCTGTTCTGGCCGCAGTAATTTAAGAGGGATAATGACCAGCATAGGAAAGCAACCTGAATGGTCAGGTTCTGTAGAAACCACATCAGGTCAGCAGCAGCGGAAGGAAGTAGGAAAGGCTAGCCTATTGGAACAACTACGGACACACGAGAAGGAATGGCCTTTAAAGAGTTAAGGAAATCTCGTTGGAAAACAGAAGAGATCTTGCTGGACTCCACCAGGCGGAATCAGGACCAGTGGGGGAAGTTTTCCAGGGAAGCACATTTTGGTCCCTTATGAGGAAGAACTTTCTAAGAATTTGAACTGCACAAGAACTGAGCATATATCCCACCAAGGAGCTGGCTTTTATTAATGACAGTAATTATCCATGGGTGACCCAGGAAATTTTCCCACTGGGTAGAAGGCTGGTGCAGGTGACCTGTAAGGTGTGCCCCTTGGCATCTCCCACAGTGTCTCCACCTGGCATATTGTCTCTCCTGGCCACAGATACTCTTCCTGTAGCTCATATCCATAGAACATATTAACAACAACAATAACTAAAGAAGAGAGAATAAAAAGGAGGAAGAAAAGGAGAGAGGGAGAGGAAGAAGGAAAATAAGAAAAACATCATTGATGCACTTGGCAAGTGATGCCAAGTGCTGTGTTTTACATAAGCACCTCATGCAGTCCTCATAAAAGACAGAGGTAATGGAGATGAGAAATTGAGGCCCAGAGTGGGTAAGCAACTTGCCCAAGATGTCACAGCTAGCAAGTGGCGGCCTGAGATTGGAGCCCAAAACCTACGTGCCTACTCATGAGGCCATATTGCTACTCCAGAGTCTAAACGGGTTCCACACCCACCACCTAGGCCCAGCCCAGGTGACAGCTTATATTGTGGCCATGTGTGGGGGCTCAGAGGTGGTGATGCTGGTGTAAGCAGTTTGGTTTGAGATTGGTGGCACCTCTACCTCTAGCCACACCTGCCTCAGCCATGCACAGCCCTGGACCGGGGCTCCAAGTGCAGTGTGGACGCAGGAGATTGATTCTCTACTTACTATGAGCAAATTGTTTACCTCCCTGAATCTGTTTCCTCGTCTGTATAAGAGGAAACTAAAGTCGACCTCGCAGGAATGTTGAGGATTTAACGAGATAACATTTGTGAAACACCCAGCACGTAGCACCTGGTGCTTAGTAGTTGCTATGTATATGCTGGCTCTTTCCTCCTTCCATCCTTTACCACCCTCAATCCTCCATAGGAAGCTTAGAAAGTCGAGCCTTCGATGGTACAAAATGTATGTCACTCCCAAGAAGTAGGGCAGGGCCTGGCCAGGAGAATGAGCTGCCTGTGTGGTTATCGCTTTAAAGACCTTGAAGGAGAGAAGCCACCAGTGGGCATCAGACTTGACAGGTAGCCATTAGGATTGATTGTCTGACCCACACCGCTCTCAGCACTGTGGCTACTAATAAAATACAATAAATAAAAAAATCAAATCAAATCAAATCTGGTGAGTACATGTTAGGGATTTAAAATGTGGTTTTTCTGCTGCCCAGTTGGAAAGACAAGGCCAACATATAGGAGATAATGAGAGAGCAATACTCAATGGTTTAGTCAACTCCAAGTGGGCTTTTTAGACTCAAATTGCTGTGGGAATTGGGAGCACCCTCCTCATCTCCGTGAGGCAACTCCTCCTACTTCAAGGCCCAGCTCAGATGTCACCTCTGCCGAAAGGCTTGCTCTACCACCCCCAGACTGAGTTAGTCAGTCCCGCTGTGCTGCTGCCACACTCAGTTAAACCTCAATTAGTGCCCTCATTATTATTTATGAGTCTCTTTTCCCTCTTAGACCATGAGTTCCTGGAGAGCAGAAATGTGTCTTCTTATATTCTTAGCACTTAGCCCAGAACATTAAGTGCCCTCGGTAAATGTTGAATTAATGAAGGCATGAAGAAATGAATGAATGAATAAAGAATGGAGGAAGAGATGGGTGAATGGGTGAATAGAGGTGAGTGGGTGAATGGATAGAGGGATAGATGGAGGTTGAATAGGTGGGTGGTTGGTGGATGGATGGATGAATAGATAGATGGAGGGATGGATGGATGGATGGATGGCTAGAGGTTGGGTAGATGGGTGGGTGGATGGATGGAAGTTGGATAGGTGGATGGACAGATGCATGGATAGATGGATGGATGGAGTGATGAATGGATGGGTGGAAGTTGGGTAGGTGGGTGGATAGCTGAATGAATGGATGGATAGAGGTTGGATAGGTGGATGGATGCATGAATGGATGAATGGATGGATGGATGGATGGATAAAGATTAGGTAGGTAGGTGGATGGATGAATGGATAGACATTGGTTAGGTGAGTGGATAGACGGATGGATGAATGAATGGATAGAGGTTTAGTAGGTGGATGAATGGATAGGTGGACAGAGGTTGGGTGGGTGGATGGATGGATGGATGGATGGATAGAGGTTGGGTAGGTGGGTGGGTGGATGGATGGATGGATAGAGACTGGGTAGATGGATGGATGGATAAATGGATGGAGGTGGAGGTTTGGTAGGTGGACAGATATATGGATGGGGTGGCATCACTCTGTGATGACTTCACAATGTAGATAAGAGTTGAAATTATGAGCAGGCC
The DNA here is from genome assembly GCF_000001405.40 of Homo sapiens. Classification (NCBI taxonomy): domain Eukaryota; kingdom Metazoa; phylum Chordata; class Mammalia; order Primates; family Hominidae; genus Homo; species Homo sapiens. Next base: position 22,807,699 of record NC_000008.11, on the reverse strand, counting down.
TGGAAAAGTCAGAGGATACAAGCAATTGCATTTCAGGAAAGGAACAGCGTAATTAAAAGCTCAACATTTGAATGGGGTAGAAAAAAAGAATCATAAACATAAATTAAAAGACAAGATGGGTGAGTTAATTGAGGCCCTTGATTGTTATAGATGTCTCTAGATTGTTATTGCAAACATCTACTAAGAGTTTCCCCTCCTATAATCTCACCGTCTACAAAAATGTGAATCTTTCCTTCATGGGATGATTTTTCTAAAATCTAAATAGGATCATATTGCTTTCCTACTTGAAGAACTGCAGTGATTCCCCAGTATCTCAGACAGAGACCCCTCTCCCCAGTGTGTTACTCAAGACCTTTGAGGCTCTGAAACCTGCCTGCCCCACAACCCTCGTGTTCTCCTGCTGATCTGCTTCTATTGTCTCAGATCTGCTCAAACCTTCTAGGCCTCTGCGGACTGTTACCTGCTCTGTCCCCTCTTACAAAAAACCCTTCTGCAATCCACAAACATGCCATTGCTTTAAATGAGTTGAGATTGCTAAATGAATTACACCTCCAAGGTCCAGAAAGAGCTTAGATTTGCAATCACGAAATCATTTCCAGAAATAGGGAAGGAAAATGTGGATTCCCAAATTTAGGCTGGTAAGTGTAATATCAGTCCTCATCAAAACATCGGAATTCAAAAACAGTTTAATAAGCAGATGGTCTGAGACAATATAGAAAAGAAAACAGTGCACATTAGGAGTCAGCATAGATTCACCAAAAACAAATCATGCCTGACCACTCAGATTTCTTTGTTGGGAAATGCACTGACCCCTTGGACCAGGAAGATGCTGTCAGTAAGCACAGTACAGCTTGGCTGAGCCAGGCATTAGAACAAGTCAATTGTGGTAACCTTTTGGCCAAGGGGGAGAGATGTTGCTTCAATGACTGTTGTGGTAGGTGGGAGTTTGTGACTTGTTAACAAATCATTCCTGAAGAGGTGACAAATGAATTAGTACCAATCTTCTAGTTGGTCCCTGGTGACATGCTGCAAGATTCTGGCCTGAGTGCCTCACCTTGTTTATATCTTTTTTTTTTTTTTTTTTTGAGACACAGTCTTGCTCTGTCACCCAGGCTGGAGTGCAGTGGCATGATCTCGGCTCATTGCAACCTCCGCCTTCTGGCTTCAAGCAATTCTCCTGCCTCAGCCTCCTGAGTAGCTGGGATTACATGCACATGCCACCACACCTGGCTAATTTTTGTATTTTTTATAGAGACGGTTTCACCTTGTTGGCCAGGCTGATCTCGAACTCCTGACCTCAGATGTTCTGCCCGCCTCAGCCTCCCAAAGTGCTGGGATCACAGGTGTGAGCCACCACACCCGGCTACCTTGTTCAGTATCTTTATGGATAGCATGCTCACCAAATTTTAGGTCAAAGTTTCAAGGAATAGCTAATACGATGGGTAACACAAAACAGTTAATTTTGGCAAATCAAAAGGATGTGCCTGCATTGAGAAATTTAAATTTAATAGGTATTAATCTAAAGTTCTATATTTAGGTTCTAAATCAGTTGCACACATACAGAAGGGGGAAGATCTGGCATGTCAGAGGTTCATGAGGGGAAAAGATCAAGAGGAGTTTTAGCTAGTTTTGAAGCTAATTTTAATCTAAATTTTAAGCTAATAATAGAATGTCAAGCCACAATGTGGGAGTTGAGACAGTTAATATCATCTTAGGCCACATCAATAAAAGTAAAGGTTTCAGACCATTGAAGAGTTATACCTCTCCTTTCTGTGCATCTATCAGACCCCTCATTCATTCATTCATTCATTCATTCATTCAGCATGTGCTTAGCCCATTTAGGCAATAGGTTTCATTCAGGCACTGCAGATCAAAAAGTTTATGCAATCAAATCCCTTTTTTTTAAAAAAAAATAGACTTTATTTTTTAAAGCATTTTACATTCATAGCAAAAGAGAGCAGAGTACACAGTATTTCCATATACCTGCTGCCTGCTCCAAGCCTCCTCCACTATCAACATCTGGCACCAGAGTGGTATGTTTGTTATAATTGACGAACTTAATGCTGGCAATCATGGCCGGGCATGGTGGCTCATGCCTGTAGTCCCAGCACTTTGGGAGGCCGAGGTGGGAGGATCACCTGAGGTTAAGAGTTTAAAAACAGCCTGACCAACATGGAGAAACTCTGTCTCTATTAAAAATACAAAATTACATGGGCATGGTGGCGCATGCCTGTAATCCCAGCTACTTGGGAGGCTGAGGCAGGAGAATCGCTTGAACCCGGGAGACGGAGGTTGTGGTGAGCCAAGATCGTGCCATCGCACTCCAGCCTGGGCAACAAGAGCAAAACTCGGTCTCAAAACAAAACAAAACAAAACACGCGATTGCTAACAATCCGTGAACCTACATCTTTATCACCCAAAGTCCATAGTTTACATTAGGGTTCACTCTTGATGTTGCATGTTGTATAGGTTTGGACAAATGCATCACGACGTGTATCCACCATGACAGTACCATGCAGAGTAGCTGACCTGCCCTAAAAGTCCTCCGTGCTGACCTGTATGCAATCACATCCTTACTGTTAAGGAGCTCCCTCTCTGGTGAGGGGAGCAGAGGAGAAAAATCAATGACTCCATTACAGAGTGGGGAGTGTTAGGATGGAGTTGAGTCCTGAGAACCGTGGAGATGAGAAGGAGAGCGGGGAGAAAGTTCCCCAGAGAAGGAAACCTGTGAGCAGAGTGGGAATTCACCAGGCAACCCTGCGAGGACAGGGCAGCCGGGCCGAGGGAACAGCAGGAAGGAGCTGGCGTGTTCCAGAATCAGATGGGGACTGGTGTGGCTGCAGCAGGGTGGTCACGGGGCAGCATGGAAGAGATGAGGTCATGAGGCAGCAAGGGAGACCAGGAAGGATGGAGGTTCTAACCGTTTGTTAGAATCACCAAGGAAGCTGCACCCAGACCAGCTAAGTCAGAATCTCTGGGGGTGGAGCATAGGCATCCTTATTTTTAAGGCTTCTCAGGGGATGTGAATATGCATCTGGGCGAAGGGAGGAGGAAATGGGGCGTTGCTGTTCAACGGGTGTAAAGTTTCAGTAATGTAAGATGATTAAGTCCTGGAGATCTGCTGTACAACACGGTGCCTATACTTAGTAGTACCATACTGTACACTTAAAAACTGTAAAGAGGGTGGATCTCGTGTTAAGTGACCTCATCATAATAAAAAAGAAAGAAAGAAAGAAAAAATGTGCATCTGGGGTTGAGAACCGCCAATGTCCGGTCTTTATCCAGGCCTGGGCAAGGAGTCTGGCACACAGACTGTGGGAGGACTTCCAACACGGGGTAAAAACTGCCTTGCATTTTTGTTGTTTTCAGGAGACAGGGTCTCATTCTGTTGCCCAGGGTGGAGTGCAGTGGTGCAGTCATAGCTCACTGCAGCCTCCAACTCCTGGGCCCAAGTCATCCTCCTGCCTCAGCCTCCTAAGTAGCTAGGACTACAGGTGCATACCACCAGGCCTAGCTATTTACTTTTATTTTTTATAGATATAGGGCCCCACTATGTTGCCCAGGTTGCTCTTGAACCACTGGCCTCAAGCAATCCTCCCACCTCGGCCTCCCAAAAAGTGCTGGGACTGCAGATGTGAGCCACCGCACCCAGCCCCTGCCTTGCACTTTTAAAAGATCTATCTAGCTGCTATGTGGAGTGGCCCAAGACAGCTGTAAGAGACCATTTTGCTCCTTTGAGAGGAATGACGGTGACTTACACCAAGGCAAGAGCCGTGGCCATGGAGAGAGCAGCCTCAGAACCCGTTGTGAGGTTGAGAGCCAACAGGACGTGCCAATGAATTAGACGTGGAGGGTGAAGGATGGTGCGAGGATGGCCCCTGGCTCTGGGGCCTGAGTGAACAACGGTGCCCTTTACTGAGATGAGGATACTGGAGGCCTGGCAGGTGAGGAGACAAGGGGGAGTCTCAAGCTCTGTCTTAGACATGTTCACTCAGAGATGCCTTTTATTTTATTTTATTTTTTTATTATTATTTTTTAGTTGGAGTCTTGCTCTGTTGCCCAGTCTAGAGTGCAGTGTTGCCATCTCAGCTCACTGCAACCCCTGCCTCCCGGGTTCAAGCCATTCTCCGGCCTCAGCTTCCTGAGTAGCTGGGATTATAAGCCCGCAGCACCACACTTGGCTAATCTTGCATTTTTAGTAGAGATGGGGCTTCACCATGTTGGCCAAGCTGATCTCGAACTCCTGATCTCAGGTCTGCTCACCTCAGCCTCCCAAAGTGCTGGGATTACAGGTGTGAGCCACCGTGCCCAGCCAGAGGTGCCTTTTAGATTTTAAGTGAGAGATTGAAATGAGCCTGGAACTCCCAGGAGAGGCCAAGACAGGTGGCCTGGCTGTGGGATACGAACGTGATATTTGCAGCCAAAGGGCTGCTGTGTCTTCAGGGGCCGAGTGTGTTGTGTCTGGAGATATTCAAGGAGAAGTCGTCTGCCAGAGATTGGGCAAGAGGTCGGATTAGATTGGCCCTCAGGTGCTGCGACTTTATAAACAAGCTTAACCCCAGCCCACTTAGAACAGAGCACCATCCTGGGAGGAGAGTGAGGAGAGGCAGGGAGGTCTCACGGTACAGGGCCTTGGAGGCCATGAGGGGTCTGCTCTGCTAAGCAGGAGACTGAGTGATATTCCAGAAAGAGCTTGGGGCCAGGATGGGGAAGACATGTATGCTGGGCCGCTTGCTAGCTGGTGACGCTGCTCTAGTCTCTGCCGCCCTGTGGGTCTCTATTACCCCACCTACAAACAGAAACAGGGAGGTAGATTTTGATGATAACACCAGGCTCTGATAGTTTATAATTCCATACTTGATCCTCCACTAAGCAGCCCTCGACTTTTCTTTCTGCCAAAATGTTCGTACGCACAACACACTCCCCTGGGTCTCCAAACACATAAAACAAGCTCCAAGTTCCTCGCGATTCCCTGCGCGCTTGCTCTCCCAGTAACAAAGCGTCTTGGAACACCGATGAGATTGGCGTTATTAGAGGGAGAATGTGGAAGCCACTCTCATTTACTTTTGAAGGTAAGTCACTCACTGAAGCTTTATTATTAGCAACACCTGCCTGGGAACCTACTTCTCTAGTGATTTGTGACCTGTGGTTGGAACCAGTGTCAGGTCAGTGTTGCAAAGCTCAGCTACAGACCACAGAAGACCAGAGTGGGCCCTTGAGCAGGGGCGAGGCCCGAACAGCTCTCATTTTAGGAGAAGGAGTCAGCTAGCAGCTTTGGGCAGAAACTGGAGAAGGACAAGCCCCATGGCAGGAGACGTGTTGGGGGCAGCTACAGGAATCCAGGAGTGCCGGGTGAGAGACAGGCTTGGCACGGGGGTAGTGGGGATGGGTGGGAAGGCCCAGGGGCTTCTTGGGGCTCCCCTGCCAACCTCCACCCAGAAAGACCACGGTGGAGCTGGTGTGGAGAGATCAGAGACTGAGGGGCAGATTAGCCAGTGGCCCAGAGTCGGGAGAGAGCAACACCCTCCTCCTGCAGCGGGTTCTGTTGCTTCGCAGAGAGACGAGGAGGAGGAACCCACAGTCCGGAGCGTTTGGGAAGAATCTGGAGATGCTGGGAGGTGGGGGGAGGGGCAGCAGGAAGGGACTTCAGCAGGGTGGAAGGACAGATGCCCAGAGCTCCCTGGGCTGCTGGCCCATCAAGCCCTTGACTGAGAATTGGCTTTTTCCTTTCAAAGAGGATGGAAGTCACTGTTTTCTTGTCTCAGTTGATGAACAGATTCTGGGTGGCAGGAGTCACCATAGAAACAGGTGCTATCTTAAGCAAATGAGCCTTATTAACCTTAAGAGTGGTGGAGTTTTCACAAGATTGCACATATAGGGTAGGAGGGAGAGCGGAGTTTGGTGGGGGAGGGCCACGGTGGCTGGGAGCCGGGCTGCTGTGGCTCTGGGTGTGGAGGCATATGTGTGTGCATGTGTGTGCATGCATGTGTGCATTGCATGTGTGTAGATGCCCATCTACGTGTGCTTTTGCAAAACCATTTCCCAAGGGGTAAGCTCAGGTTCTGCCTTTTCCCTAAGAAATACACATTTCTCCCCAAAAAATCCTTCATCTCTTTGGGAACCAGCCTGAAGGCAGTAGAGGCCAGGGTCCCTGACGCTACCCCTCACCCTTTCCCCAACTACTTTCCCCTCTGTTTCTGCATGCATCTTCCTGTCTACTTCCCACCAGGAACAGGTACCTCCCTGAGGGCCTGGCAGCCAGGAAGCAGGGACCTCTTTGCTCCAGGAGGCAGTGTGGTGCAGTGGTAGGTACAGGGATACTGACACCAGGTGGACCTGGGTCCATACGACTGCTCTGTGACTCTGAACCAGTCACCTGCCTCTGTGAGCCCCAGTCTATAAAAGACACCATGCACCCCATAGGGCTGATGTGAGGCTCAAGTGAGATCATGCCTGTCAACCTGAAGTCTCTCCCCAGCCCTCCCCGCTGTGACTAGGGGCTCACTCTTCTCAGGCACAGCTGTGACTGCACAAAGTTTGTTAATTAACCACAGGGTTAATCGTTCCCCAGCATGATCTCATTGGTCAACAGATTTCTACTCTCCATGAGTTCTGTGCTCTGCTAGGTCCTGGGGGCAGTGTAGAAGAAGGTTAGGATTAAGAGCCTGCCCTTGGGGAGGCTGGATGGGCAGGGAGGGTGTGGAGTGGCAGAGTTGGGTGGGGCCGTGAAGGTGGGTAGGATTGGGGTAGGCAAGGAGGAAAGTGTCCAAGAAAAGGGGGGCATATATTCATCTCTTGAGGCAAAGGCAGCCAAAATCTGGACTGTTCCTAGGTTATGAAAGGTTATGTAAGAAAGGAAACTGGCATTCTCCCACAGTATCTGGGAGTTGTATGCACCGGCTCCAAGAAGCATGTCTGCTGCCCTCTGCAGCCCCTCCCTGGGCAGGACACTCAGCTCTGGGTATCATGCCACCTGCCCCAGTCCTGCTGTAATCCCAGGGAATAAACCAATACTTTTATCCCGGAGGCTCTGAGGAATCGTCCTGAGGCTTTGCAATGGAGTTCCTGCAGCCTGATGTGCGGTTTGCCCAGGGAGAGAAGACAGAGACAGCCTGCCCAGGGACTATGCCAGGGTGGGCACAGCAATGAGGGGACATTTATTTTCCTTTGCCATGAAGAGTAAAGAGTCACAACACGTGCCTGAAGCGGGGACAGGGCTGATGGCACAGATGAGGGATGCTTCCCTGCATCCTAGATTTGTAGACCGTAGAGCTAGAAAAGCCCTTGAATCCATCTGGTTCTACCCTTCTATTTTATGGATGAAGAAACTGAGGTCCAGGGTCATAGAAGCTTATCAGTGCAGAGTGTGGACCGGAATCAAGGTGTCCCAACTCTTAATACTATTTCTCTTTCTGTCTCCTGCCCCATCCAACCTATGGTTAGCAGGCCCAGGGCAGTCCCTGGGTAATTAACCAAGACTCCAGGTATACCGAGACACAGCAAGCATTGTTTAGGTCAGACTACAATAAAGAAGAAAGCGAAAGTTTACCCTGGGCTGCTCAGCTCTCACCCCTCTCTTTTAAAAGCAAAATTTGACCTTGTGATAGTTTGCTCAGAATGATGGTTTCCAGCTTCATCCATGTCCCTACAAAGGATATTAACTCATCCTTTTTTATGGCTGCATAATATTCCATGGTGTATATGTGCCACATTTTCTTAATCCAGTCTATCATTGATGGACATTTGGGTTGGTTCCAAGTCTTTGCTGTTGTGAATAGTGCCACAATAAACATACATGTGCATGTGTCTTTATAGCAGCATGATTTATAATCCTTTCAGTATATACCCAGTAATGGGATGGCTGGGTCAAATGGTATTTCTACTTCTAGATCCTTACACCGCGTGTTCTCACTCATAGGTGGGAATTGAACAATGAGAACACTTGGACACAGGGTGGGGAACGTCACACACCAGGGCCTGTCGTGGGATTGGGGGACGGGGGAGGGATAGCATTAGGAGATATACCTAATGTAAATGACGAGTTAATGGGTGCAGCACACCAACATGGCACATGTATACCTATGTAACAAACCTGCACGTTGTGCACATGTATCCTAGAACTTAAAGTATAATAAAATAAATACATAAATAAATAAAGCAAAATTTGGCATTTTGTGAGCCTTAACCTGGCCCCTGCCAATGACTGCAATTTTAGAAGTTTCAGAAAAGTTCTCCCAATCCACTCATCCCCAGCTCCCGAATTATCTTCCCCATTGGCTTTAGAGGTGCCTAAAATTCCTTAATAGCAGGAAAAGCATTATAACATAATTGAGAATAAGGCTGGAAAGGGCTAGTCACATGGGGAGAGTTCATGAACTGGTTTAAGCCCCAAACTCCAAGCAACAGTAAACAACACTGGACTTTTGGCTGGGCCACTCAAAGGAAAACAGAGCAGGAAGCTACCGCACAATGACAGAAAGTGAGAGATGTGGAAGGGAGGACGGCAGGAGGGGGAGGTCAAAGGAAAGGAGGAGAGGGATCTGCCCTTCACTGTGTCTCCCTGCAAAGTCCATGCAGATTCCTCTGCACCAGCTGCTCCAAAACAGGAGGCTGCTCCCTTTCCCAGTATTTTTATTGTATCCAGGTCTTAATTCATAGATATGGCCAGGCACGGTGGCTAACTCCTGTAATCCCAGGGCTTTGGGATGCTGAGATGGGCAGATCACTTGAGGTCAGGAGTTCGAGACCAGCCTGACCAACATTGTGAAACCCTGTCTATACTAAAAATAAACAAATTAGCCGGGCATGGTGTCGGGCAACTGTAATCTCAGCTACATGGAAGGCTGAGGCAGGAGAATCACTTGAACCTGGGAGGCAGAGGTTGCAGTGAGCTGAGATCACGCCACTGCACTCCAGCCTGGGTGACAGAGTTAAGACTCCACCTCAAAAAAAAAAAAAAAAAAAAAAAAAAGAAAAAAGAAAAGAAAAAAAAATTTATGGACATGACCGAGTGATGACACAGGGAGATCAATGCCATTGAAGAAAGTTTATTACTCACGGTTCCCGAGAGGAGGGATGCCAGGCCATGCCACAAAGGGCTCTGTGAGGAAACACCAGGGTCATCAGGAAGAGGAAAGCATGGCCCAGAGCCTTAATTGTGGGTTCTGCAGGAAGGAATGGGCATGCAGGTGAGCAAGTTTGAACAACTTAGGACTGGCTTGTTTGCATAATGTCAGCAGGCTCTGTGCCACAGGGGTGATCCCTAGCTGTCTGGTAGCTGGCCCTGGGGTGATTTAGCGCAGGGGGAATATTGGTTTGGTGTGTGAGAGTAGATAAAGGAGGTAGTTGGGGGAATGGGCTCTGGATTCGTTAGTTTGTGTATGGAAGGTGTGTTCACCGGCAAGTTGTTTACTATCTCTCTCTAGGAATTTGCTAGCCCTGGGAAGAGCATTCTCTCCAGAATTAGCAAGGCTCCAGGATGTGAAAGCATCATAAAACCCAGAAAATAAAAAGCATGATGAGTACACCTAGGACCCCCTCCTATCTGAGTGCTGTTCTTTTTTGAAAGTTCTGCTCAAAATCCCCCTCATTCGGGATGCCTTCCTGATGACTCCAAACCCTCTCTCCTTCTCTGGCCTCCCTCTTAGCACTCAGTCTGTGCCACACAATTTAGCACCTGATTCCACGCTGCCTTGTTTCCTAGTTGTCCCAGAGCACTTGCCCTAGTTTCCCAGCCCCTGGGGAAGACTCTCCTCGCCTCCCTCCTGCACCCGTGCACAGCCAGCCCTGTACCCAGAGCATTGCTATTGATGTTGGCACCAGCCCTTTCTGGCCATCATCCTGGTCAGGGCACTCACTCTGACCACCTGAGTTTTCATACGCTCATCTCAGGACACTGAGGACCAGGGAGATGAACAATTTGACTCAAAGTCAGTGAACAGTCGTGATACACTGCATCATTGCCCCTGCGATGGATAGCAGCAAGACTCTCTTCCCCCGGTTCCTTCAGATCACATGGACCCTACGGGGTCTACCAGCAGCCTCCTCCACCAACTGACCACCCACTGCTGCTCTGCTCACCATCAGCAACTTACTTACTCCTACCTTCAAACCTCTTCACTTACTATCCCCTTCCCCGAATATCCTTTCCCTTCTTCTCTCCCAAAACGAAGTTATTCCTAATTTCCCAACCCTGCTTAAAGGCCACCACATCACCTTTAGACCTGCCCTGATCTCTTCTGCCAATGAGTTCACTGACTTGGAGTCAAGCTGTTCATCTCCTTTGGGCCTCGGTGTCCTCCCAGGTAAAGTGAAGAGCTGGGCTGCATGATCACCTCGGCCCCTTTTCTTGGTGGTGGCTTTTGTTTGTTTTTTGGGTTTTTGCACTCAGATATTCCGATTTGGGTTTGTTTTTCTTTCTTTCTGTCTTTTTTTTTTTTTTTTTTTGAGACAGAGTTTCACTCTTGTTGCCCAGGCTGGAGTACAATGGCGCAATCTCAGCTCACCGCAACCTCCGCCTCCTGGGTCAAGCGATTCTTCTGCCTCAGCCTTCCAAGTAGCTGGGATTACAGGCATGTGCCACCATGCCCGGCTGATTTTCATTTTTAGTAGAGACCGGGTTTCTCCATGTTGGTCAGGCTGGTCTCAAACTCCCTACCTCAGGTGATCCACCTGCCTTGGCCTCCCAAAGTGCTGGGATTATAGGCATGAACCACCGTGCCCAGCCAATTTGTTTTTTTTTTTTTAATTTTTATTTTTATAGATTTAGGGGTACAAGTGCAGTTATGTTGCCTGGATCTATTGTGTAAGGGTGAAGTCTGTGCTTTCAGTGTACCCATCACCCAAATAGTGTACATTGTATCCAATAGGCAGTATTTCATCCCTCTTCTGCCTCCCTCCCTCCCACCTATTAGAGTCTACAGTGTCCATTATTCTTCTCTGTATGTCCATGCGGAGCCACTGTTTAGCTCTCACTTGTAAGTGAGAACATGTGGTTTTTTGCTTTCTGTTTGAGTCATTTCACTTAGGATAATCTAGGCCCCTTTTGGCTCTAACCATCTTAGGTGCTGACATTGTCTATATAGCTCTTCCTTGGTATGCAGCAAGTGCTTCTTCTTAGGCGGCATGCAGGCAGAGAATAGGGCTTTTGAGCCTGGCATATCTTTCCCTGAGAGCCAGCACAGAGGGCTGCCCGGAGGAAGGCTTCCCAGCTGCTGATTACTGATTGCACTGTTGACAATGATAGTAGTAAGAGACAATTCCGCTCAACTTAACGATGATTTACTGAGCACACCTTCTGAGTTCAGCACTCTGCTGGGCACTGTATGGGGCTCTAGAAGGGTAGGATTAAATTCCTGACCTCAAGGAACTCAAAACCCAGTGGGGAAATGAATTACACGTACACAGGCAAACACACACACACACACACACACACACACACACGCACACTTGAGAATTGCTGAGAAAACTGGGCAAATCTATAGGTTCAAGAGTCTGATATTTGTACCAGAGTGAGTCACTGCTTTTAATCCCTTATTTTGGATTTGCCAACATTAGACTCTAAGCGTCCGCCAACACAGCAATGTGAGGCCACCCATAAGTATCGAGTGTCCGCCATATTGGAGGACACTGTGCTGGCCACTTTGGGCTTGGAGAGCATACCTTTGGGATTTGTTCAGCACCATTCCAATTGTAAACATTCCCACCTTATCAACCTCTTAACCACAGAAATGCTCAGAAATTCTCACATTTCGGCATACAAACACACCTCCTAAAATGTCTTTGACACTTAGAAGCACACACAAAAAAATCTTATCCATGTGTGTTGATTTTTTGATTCAGAAAATAAGGTAAATTCGTTATTTTTATACTAACAAGTGGCATAAAATATCGTTAAAATATTACCCAATAAATGTGAAGCATTTAAATGGAAAAAAAAATCTTTCATGTAGAATGTAAAAGACTTGAATATTTGGAGAGATACATCATAAGTTCACAAATCAACATTCCCCAAATTAATTTTCACATGTGCTCCTTATTGACCAAAAAGGAATTTTTATTGTAACTTGACAAAATGATCTTTATTGGACCTTAAGGTGATTCTAAAGTGCACCCTGGATGGGGAAAACTCATAAAGAATATTTGAGAAAATGTTGTGAAACAAGACTAATAAGGGAAGGGTAGAATAGAACACTTGCACTTCTTGTTATAAAAATATAATAATTAGGCCGGGAGCAGTGGTTCATGCCTGTAATCCCAGCACTTTGGGAGGCCAAGGCAGGCGGATCACAAGGTCAGGAGATCGAGACCATCCTGGCTAACACGGTGAAACCCCGTCTCTACTAAAAATATAAAAAATTAGCCCGGAGTGGTGGCACATGCCTGTAATCCCAGCTACTTGGGAGGCTGAGGCAGGAGAATTGCTTGAACCCAGGAGGTGGAGGTTGCAGTGAGCCAAGATCACGCCACTGCACTCCAGACTGGATGACAGAGCGAGACTCCATCTCAAAAAAAAAAAAAAAAAAAAAAAAAAAAAATATATATATATATATATATACACACACACATATATATACACACATATATATAAAATAATTTAAAAGTAGGCACTGGTGAGAGAATACACAGACATATCACTGAATAGCAAGATCTGAAACAGATTAAGATATATACTGAGAGTATAATAAGGAAGCCATGAAAAACTGAAAAGAAAGGACTGATTATTCCATAAATGGTTTAGGGATGATTGACTATCCATTTGGGAAATAAATAAATAAATGTTGACACTCTTTATCAGACCATAATCAAAGTAAGTAAATGGATTAGCTATTTAAATGTTTAAAGTTAAACCATAATAGAATCAGAAGAGAACAGGCTTTAATATTTCTCTGATCTCAATATAGGAAAATACCTCTTCACATGTACCTGCAAAAGTAGAAGTGAAATAATTGACCAATCTGAGCTCATAAAACCTTCAAACTTCTGTAAATAAAAACTTCTGAGGGTAAAATTAAGAAGCAAGCAGCACATTGAAAAAAATGTGCAATATACGGTGAGGATTATTGTCTTTAACACGTAACGCACTTACAAATCAGTAAGATAATAATTGTATGGTCAGCTAGGTGTGGTGGCTCACGCTTGTCATCCCAGCACTTTGGGAGGCTGAGGCGGGCATATTACTTGAGGCCAGGAATTCGAGACCAGGGTAGCCAACATGGCAAAGCCTTGTCTCTACTAAAAATACAAAAATTAGCTGGCATAGGGGCCTCCGCCTATAGTCCCAGCTACTGGGGAAGCTGAGGCATTGCTTGAACCTGGGAGGCAGAGGTTGCAGTGAGCAGAGATTGAGCTACTGCATTCCAACTTGGGCAGCAGAGCAAGACACTGTCTCAAAAAAAAAAAAATTGTGCGTACCTCTCACAGGGTTGTTGAAAGAAGTAAGAAATAAGGCAGTCTATAAAGTGCATAGGACAATACCTAGTATACAGTAGGCACTCAATAAATGTTCGCTGTTATTTATTTTTGACCAATAGAAAAATACTAAGTAGAAAAATGAGCAAAGGACATGAATAGGAAATTTTTTCAAAAGAAATACAATATAAAGATATGAAAAATGAAAATCGACCCTGGCAGTTGGAAATGCAAACAAAAACAAGAAACCATCACCACCTCTCCCTACCCCTCCCCAACTGTGGCCATTAAATTGGCAATGTTTGACTTTTGTTTTGGTTTTTAAAAAAATAAATAAATAAAATGTCATCCAGTATCTTCTCATATAGTGCTGGTGAGAGTGTAAATTGTTAAAAACCCTTTTGCAGCATTATTTGGCTGTGTGTATTGAATGTCAAATGCCTTTAAAATGTATATAGCTTTCAGCACAACAATCTCCTTCTAGAAATGTACACTAAATTTATATAAAGAATGATACCTATCAAAATAAGGCAGGGCGTGTTATGTATTAGATAATTATTAAGGAAATTATTATGGATGTGAGCAAAAATTCATCCACAATGCTACTCATCCCTGTGTTACTTATAATAATGGAATATTAGAAATGACCAATTTGTCCAACAAGACACAGTTGGCAAATAAATTACACTACATAAACTATTATGCAACCAACCAGGTGTGATGGCTCACGTCTATAATCTCAGCACTTTGGGAGGCTGAGGTGGGCAGAACACTTGAGGTCAGGAGTTCGAGACCAGCCTGGCCAACATGGTGAAACCCCACCTCTACTAAAAATACAAAAAAAAAAAAAAAAAAATGAGCTGGGCGTGGTGGTGCATGCCTGTAATCCCAGCTACATGGGAGGCTGAGGCAGGAGAATCACTTGAACCCAGGAGGCAGAGGTTGCAGTGAGCCAAGATCATGCCACTGCACTCCAGCCTAGGTGACGGAGTGAAACTCTGTCTCAAAAGAAAAAAGAATATTATGCAACCATTAAAATGGTTGAAGGTGAATATATAAGGATATGAGTAAAATAATTGTGCCATTTTTTACATGAAAAGAAAAAGCAAATGAAAAGTAATTAGAGCACAACTCATTTTCATTGCATGGAGAAAAGAAACTGGAAAGTGTATGTACCAAAATGTTGATAATAGTTAAGTCTGGGTAGTACGATTATGAGTGATTTTTATATTCTTTGGGCTTAGCTGTTTTTCCAAATTTTCTATAATATATATAATTTTGTAATCCAATTTTAAAATTGTACTTAAAAATTGCTGGGCAAGATAATTTGATTATTACAATCATGGTGGGGAATATAAAAAGAATTAGGTAAGGGTCCCACTCCAAGGAGTCTGTGGTTTCTTTCGGGAGCATTTGAGCTTCACTTCTGCTGAGAGCCACCTGCTCCCTACCACCCACCGCAATGCCCCATGGCACCCTGTACACACCTCTGACATATACCTGGCTCTCTGCTTGCAATTACAGATTAGCTTGCTGGTCTCCCTACTGGGCCAACAGCTCCCATGGGCAGGGCCAGGGTCCTTCCTTTCCACATCAGTAGAAATTCCACGAGTGTTCTTTGAAAGAGCAACGTATACTTAGAACGAAATTTGCTACCTATCAAAATAAGGCAGCGTGTGTGAAGCACTGGGTGAATCACACAGAAGGTAGGATGAGCTCACAAGAGGGCATCTTTGGTTATGACTGGGATGAGCAGGAAAGGCTCTATGGAAGAGGAAGGCATTGAAAATCACCTGGAATCATAGAAAGGATATGACCAAGGACACGGACCGATACCACTGTAGGGTAAAGATCTAAGGCCACAAAGCAGGGGGCCCACCAACCCTTGTCTCCAGCTCTTTCATCTCCACCTTAGAAGCACCGGGAAGTGTTCTATGGGGTAAGGCCCTGCAGCCCTGAGATGTCACCTGCAGCAGGGAACCCTAATGCCACCTTTGTTTGGAATATTGCACCCAAATGGCTGTCTCTCCTGGATTAAGGGAGTGCTGATCTATTGACCTAGCCAGCTCCCTCTGTGACTGTCCACACAGATTCCCTCACATGTGTTTGGAAACCTTGTACTAAAAATCCAAGTTGGGTGCTGTGGCTTATCCCTGTAATCCCAGCACTTTGGGAGGCTGGGGCAGGTGGATCCCTTGAGCTCAGGAATTCCAGACCAGCCTGGGCAACATAGTGAGACCCTGTCTCTACAAAAAAAAAAAAGTTCTTAGCCAGGCGTGGTGGTGTGTGCCTGTAGTCCCAGCTACTCTAGAGGCTGAGGCAGGAGGATCACTTGAGTCTAGGAGTTCAAGGCTGCAGTGAGCCATGATCACACCACTGCAGTCCAGCCTGGGAGACAGATTGAGACCCTGTCTAAAAAAAAAAAAGAATCCAGTGCTTTTAAATGTTAGCCCCCTAGTGCACAGGCTTTGTCTGACTTGTTTATTGCTGTACACTCAGGGCCTAGGACAGTGTTTAATGAAGAGTAAGTGCTTATTAAATGTTTGTTGAATAAATTAAATATGATAACTTAAATATTGGCTTCTAGGAGTCTGCACTGAGTTACACATATATGTGATGAATATATCTACACTTCCGCGGCTGCCTTGTGAATATGCATTATGTGTTTGTACGTAAAATATGTAGAGGACCCTAAAATGAATGTGCATGCGTGTGCGCGCACACACAAGCACGCGCGAACGCACAGAGAGCTTGGGAAAATATCAAAAGGAGAAGCCCACAGCTTTCTCGGTAGTCGATCGCACCCTTGGAGAAGAGGATTCCAATAAAATAGAATTTGGATGGTGTCACAAATAAATTTGCCTTTCTAAAAGCTACCAAATTAAAATTTGAGAGAGGGTTGAGCATGAGGACAGGATGGCAATGAGCAGATATGAATTTGCTTTATTTGTACGGCTCAAAACTCCTCTCTCTACCATTTGCGGGTGAGGAAAGAAGACTGCAGGACCGGAGACAAGATGAGAAGCTCTGAGGCTGCTCCCTTCTCTGCTCCTCAGCCCGAGCTTCTCCAGGAGCCCACTAGATATGGCAGCCCCTTCCCCTTGCACCCCCAGAAGCCCGTGGAATCCAGTTCTTTCTGTGTGTGTCTGGGGTGGGGAGGTTGGTTGCCTGCGTGAAGAGGCAGCCCTTTAGGGCAATGGTGCAGCAACATTACCCAGCTTAGATCTCTATTCATCTGGTCTTCTGGCCTATCAAAGGGTAGTGGCTGACCACCCCCACCTCCCCTCAGAAATAAAGTAACTGCTGTCATATTGTTCCAGCATCTTAAGCCCTGGGGGGTCATCGTGTGTCCCAGTTACTCACAGAGCCCAGTGCCGCCTGCTAAAGACTGTATTTAAGGGTAATATAAACAGTTTGATCTTTAAAGTACCCTGGATGCATAATATCTATACATAGTTCTTGAATTTTTCTTCTAAAAACAATTAGCCAAAAAGCCCTTTTTATATGATATTTGCAACTACACTGACAGTAACAGCAATTAAACCCCGTCTGTTTGCTGAGAAAGGAGCCAACTCTTCATTTCTCCAGAAGCCTGTAAAATGTACAAATTCGGAACTAGAACACTGAGCCTTCAAAGGTAGCCACAAGACCCTTCAAGGTCAGGCCCCAGCCCAGCTTTTATTTCCCCCTCCACCCCACGTGATCCCATCATCCCAACCAGCCCCAGCAAGGCCGAGATATCCCTGGTGTTTTCTGCCCCTGCTAAGCTGTTGCCATGCTTAGGGGCCTTGTCTGGGATGTCTTCCTCTTCCGTGCCCCTCTTCCCCCACCGGTATGCCAAGGCACGGTTCAAATCCCACCGATGTAAGCAGGCTTCCTGGTCTACCTCAGCCATCAGGGCCCTCGTCATCCCTTGAATCCCTGTATCTACCCCCTCAGGAGGTGCTTCCACATGGCCTGAGGATAATTGGTTCTAAGGGTCTCTGCCCCCACTCTGGACTGTGACCTCCTTGAGGGCAAAACTGCACCTAGCTCTCTGCCTGCACATGTGATGAATAAATAAATGAGTGAATGAAGGAAGGAAGGAAGGAAAGAATCATCAAACAGCCCATGCAATGGTTGAAGGATGACAAAAGGAAGTTAACAGGCATATGAAATAAAGACCACAGCTCTGGTGCTGAGACTTAGAGAGGGTTGATGGGGAGGAGCAGGGAGATCTGCTAGCAGGCTATTCAGTGGCCCAGGAGAGGGATGACGGAGCGGCCATGGGGGTCAGCGGGCCATGGGGCCAGAGAAGAGGCATTGGACTCCCCATCCTGGAAGGCCAGGCCCAACACCCTCTCTCTTGCATCAGAAAGAGTGCTACAGAATTACCAAATCAACATGGACTACAGGGCATCTGCCCGTTGCACCTGTCCCCGAAGATGTTGAACTCGGTAAAAATGAAGTGCTGTCTTTGCATTGGAGGGTTAGCAGAGTGGGAGGCGGAGAGGAATTTTTTCTGGAGGAAGGAGAATCATGTCTGTCACAAAAGTGTTTGACAAGGTGAGCATCCATTTCTTAAGAAGACAGTGAAGCCTAGCTCTGGGCCACCCAGAGACTGATTTCCCTTTGGGGCACTGGATCAGCTCGCAAAGGACCCCCATGCTGCTGCAGACGTTGCCCCAGAGCTCTGCAGTGGGCCCAGGTACTTTCCTGTGGCCTAGAGCAGCTTTGAGCTGCATAGGTCTTCAGAGGCTGGGAGGAAGGGAGGAGCCCACAGCCCCACCTCAGGGGGCTTAGGAATAGAGTCACCTCTTAAGTATCAGCGGGGTCTCTCTGAGGGGTGGCAAACGTACCAGCATAAACTGAAGGTTGGACGACCCTAGTTTCAGGCTGGCACCCACCCCCATCTCTGACTAGTCACTGTCTAGACTTCCCTAGGAGCTTGAATTTCTTCGTCTCAAAAAAAGCGAGGTTGGGCCCGACGATCTCTAGGGGTGATTTCCGCTTCTAAAATTCTATAGTTTCAGAATTTCTCCGCTTCCTTGACTCACTGACAGCCTACTCTCCATCCTAATGACTTAAAAATTCCTGTGAACACACTTAGTGTATAACTGTCTTTCTGTTTCATTTTTTAGTTACAATATTCTAGATAATACTCTTCTTGCTTGCCAAGAAAAGAAAAAAAATGACATTAATTAAAGATTTGGTCTGTGTCCTAATCAAAAATTTTGAAAATGAATGTATCATACTGTACATTCTGCAATGTAGCCTGCTTTCTTACTTAGCAATATATCATTAACATTTTCCCATGTCAACACATAATCTTCTAAACCATGATTTTTAGTGCAGAAGTAGTTTACCATATGGATGTACTATAATTTACTCAGCCAATCCTCTACTATTGGACATTAGGTTGTATCTGCTTTTTTTTTATATTATCACCAACGCTACAATGAACAAAGTTGTGAATACACAACTCTTCATTCACCTCTGTGGTGACTTTCTGAGAATAAATTCTCAGAGGTCAAAGGTTTTGCATATTCAAAGGCTTTTTGGTACATGTTAACTAAAATGCCATCCAGAATTTAGAATTTCTATCAATGTAGAATCCTTGTATCAATTTAGAATTCATAGCATATGAATAACCATCAGGACAGTCATATTTTAGAGTTGAAAAGAGACCTAGCAAGGCTGTGGTCCAGCCTCTCCAGTTTACAGATGAGGAAACCGAGGCCCAGGATGGGACACGTGTAGGTATTTGTCCTGGGTACTCCTCGCAGTATGGGTGAGACTCTGAACACCGCCAGGACCCTGCTTGTGCCCCAGCCTGCCAACCTCGGTCCCCACTGCCATAACTCAGGGCTTCTAGGGCCTTCCCTCCCTGCGTCACCTCTCATGGGCCCTCATAGCCACACGGCTTCCGCCTAAGAGCAGGCTGCACTTGCCATTTCTCCCTCTTCTCTTCTCATTCGTCTTTCCCTGCTCCTTCTTTGTCCCCCTGGCAGCCACTTTCTGATGGAAACATGCAGTTCTTGTCCCAGGGGTTTCTCGGTGATAGTTAGAAGCCCTCTCCCATTTTGAAACCCCTTCATCTTTCAGCTACCTGGATCCCACTGCCACCTGCCCTTTTGGCCAGTCCTTCTCAACATCCTTCCCAGGTTCCCTCCCTCTACCTGGCTTCCTGCCTGCTGCTCCTGGTTCTCCCAGCATCCCCCTTCCCTTCATATGTTCCCAGGATGAGCCCGTGCATCCCTGAAGCCTCCAGCCACACCCACTTTTCCTCTGCCAGAGCTCCAAGCCTGTGGGCCCGTTGCACGCCTCCCCCTGCACGCTCTGTAGGCCCATCCACAACGCGTTATCAACGAAACGTAAACCCTTCCCTTCCCCAGCCCTCACCTCGACCCCTTCATCTGCCCAGATCTTCTTTTAAGGCTGAGCTGAAACATTTCACCCTTCACAGGGCCCTCCTGTGACCCAGCTTCTTTGGGGCAGAACTGAGCCCCCTCTCACCTAGGAAACTCCCACATTCCCCATCAGGGAACTTAGCACCGTCGCACAATTACTCATAGTCGTAGCCGTAGGAGTAGTAGTGGTGGTTTATTTCTCTGAATCCCCAACCAGACTCAAGTACTTGAGAGTAGAGGCCATGTTGAATTGGCCTTACCCCCAACAAGTGTTTGTTGACTGCGTAAGCAGTGGCAAAGAGGAGCAAGTATTAGCCTTAGAGGATAACTCCTCTTTTCTCTTTGCCATCACCAGCCAACTGAGAATCTGTACTAAGTCATTTCTGACTACAAGGAGAGGGTATGGGTGCCATGGGACAAAACTCGCCCATCAAAATGTTGGTATCCCCCTCCCCCGCCTCTGCCAATTTCCAGACCTTATGGAAGGAACGTTCTCAAGGCTAGCTCAGTTTGAGATTTTAAGACTCAGTGTAATTCTTGCCCTCTGACCTCTTCTCCAGAACAAACTCTTTATGCTAACCTGGCTGGTGTATCTAAAGGAAGACCCCAACTCTTCAACTCCACTCATTATATTTCATTCTTTTAGAAAAATACGACCCCTCTCCTCACCTGTGCAAATCCTACCACCCTCCAAGATAGTGTTCCTAGAGGAACCCACCCCTACAGACTCCTCTCCTGCCCAAACATCAGAATCCCCATTAGAAGGGACCAGCCCTTAGCTGGGCACAGTGGCTTACGCCTGTAATCCCAGCACTCTTGGGAAGCCGAGGCAGGAAGATTGCTTGAGCCCAGGAGTTCCAGACCAGCCTGGGCAACACAGAGAGACCCTGTCTCTACAAAAAAAATTTTTTAATAAGCCAGGAATGGTGATACACACCTGTGGTCCCACCTACTCAGGAGGCTGAAGTGGGAGGATCACTTGGGCCTTGGAGGTTGATGCTGCAGTGAGCCGTGATGATACCACTGCACTTCAGCCTGGGTGAAAGAGCAAGACCCTGTCTCAAAAAAAAAAAAAAGCGGTAGGGGGTGCAGCCCTGTTTCCTGCATAGGATTCCCTGGATATTGACAATCCCTCACTCCCTGGCATGGAGCTTTGTATGAAGTGTGCTCTGATGAACAACCTTTGATCACTCAGATGAAGATTTGATGACGTTAGGACTGAGGAGAAAGAGATGGCTTCCTTTTTGCTCCCCCAAGCTGCTGCCCTAGCAACTTTTTTTTAAAGCCACTAATAGACAGGGTTTCAAAATCCAGAGGGGCCAGGCATGGTGGCTCATGCCTGTAATCTCAGCACTTTGGGAGGCCGAGGTGGGAGCATTGCTTGAGGCTAGGAGCTCGAGACCAGCCTGGGCAACATGGCAAGGCCCCCGTCTCTTCAAAAACTAAAAAAAATTGCCGGACATGGTGGCGTGCAACTGTAGTCCCAGCTATTCAGGAGGCTGAGGCCAGAGAATTGCTTGAACCCAGGAGGTCAAGGCTGCAGTGAGCTATGGTCACACCACTGTACTCCAGCCTGGGAAGCAGAGCAAGACCCTGTCTCTTAAAAAACAAACAAACAAACAAACAAAAAAACAGAAATATACCTAGCCTATTACCAGAGGTCCCAACCAAGGAACACAAGCCCCAGAATACATAATGTATTAGAGTGTTCTTTCCTTAGTACCACTAATCCAGAGCCCCTCCAGAACAAACGGTTTAGTGTTTCTATTGCTGGGAGACAAAAAGCCGGATGAAGGGGATAGGAGGAAGGGAAAGACAGCCAGGATGTATTCAGTTTCTACTCCATGCTGGGCACTTTCTAAACATGCACTGTCTTATTTTATTCCCACTATAACACTGCGAAATAAGCACTGACCCTACTTGACGTTCGAGAAAGCTGTGGTTCAAAGAAGTGAATCCACCTATCCAGGGGTACAGAAGGTAGTAAGGAGCAGAGCTGAGATTTTAAACCTGCATTCTTTAGAGTAGCCCCGTTGTCTCCAGGAGGAAGAGCAGCAAAGCCCAGAAAATGCAGCTCCACGTTTGCCTGTCGGTCTGCTCTTTTCCTCCTCTATTCACAGTCATTGACAAGCTTCTCGATGCCAGACTGAGGTGGCCTCTCCGGGGACCTGGAGTGGTCGCTGTTGCTCCTGTTTTGAATGAGGACTCAGGCTCAGGGAGGATCTGTAACTTTCCCAGGCCATGTTGCTAGCAGGTGGCAGAGCCCATCTGACTCCTTCACACCCTGGATCACCCCTGCCTCCCTCTCTGGGCTTGTGTCTCAATCCTCCTCCCTCAGGGAGCAGGAGCAGGATCTGTGGCCAGGGAGCACATGGCGGATCTGTCCCAAGCCAGACCGCCGACCTCAATTTGCCTTTTAGAGCCTTACCCCATTCCAGAGATAGGGCGTCTCCGAGAGGACACATTGGAGGACATCTGGGGTCTCGAAATGGCCGTGGTTCTGTCCTGGGCACTCGGCAGGAAATGCAGAGGGGCACTTGGGCCAGATTCCCATAGGTGGCCCCAGGAGGACAGGAATTTAACTGAGGACACAGCAGCTCTCGATTCCGGTTCTAGTATCCTTGGTTGAAGACAGCTGAGGGCCAACGGCTTTTTTCCTCCAAAATAGAATTGTCAGGGCACCACATGCTGACCTTGCTCCTAGCTTCCCCTCATTTGCGGAAATGCAGAGAGAAGTTGCCGGGCCCCCGTGGGTCTGTGCTGAGCTGCCCTGTCGTCCCACTGCCACGGGAGCAGCATCTAGGCCTGGGAAAAGTGGGGACAGAGTGGGCGGCAAAGTGTTCTAGACACACTGGGATCTGAGGAGCAGGCCTGGACACAGCTCACATGCGCAAACCGTGCACACGTGGCCCGTTTCTGTTCCTTCACGCAAGCAGTGTCCCCAGCACCCGCAAAAGGTGACGCCCAGATGGATCCCAGAGCGTTCCTGACGGTCCCCCCTCCGGCTCGCTGCCTTTCTCCTGATGTCGCTGTTGACAGAGGGTTATGTAACCTCGAAGGAAGGGAGGCCTGGAGTTCTCCCCAAAGCGGCGAGTGAATCAGTTTTTGCTGCCGTCATTTTCTCAGCAGGAATCTGCTTTATGCAGATTGGATTTAGGGGTTTTTCCTGGATGCTTCTGTTTCATTTAACATGCAAGGGCTAATAACTTGTCACAATTCAATAAGGCGGTGGTTACAAACACCCGGGCGGCTGCTTATTTAAATGCAGGTTTGTTAATTAGCTTCTCCTAACAAGGCGTGCGCTAAATCAGGCTCCCGGCTCGCAGCACCCAAGCCTGGCACATCTCCCGGGACGGGAGGTCGGGAGGTTGGCTACAGGGTCACATCCAGTCACTGGCAGCAGGGCCAGAATTCAAGGCTAGGAGGCCTGTCTCAGCTACTCCATTGCCTCAGTTTCCTTCAAATCAAGGCATCAATGACAAATTGTAAAAGCAACTGCAAGATAACCACACTCTGTCCCTTCCCTTCCTTCCTTCTCTGGTTCTCGTTCTTGCCTTTGATTCCTGACCCCATCCCCCACTCCGAGTGTGCTGTGTGTTCTACGCAAGCCCCACCTCTTCCATGAAACCTTCATAGCTTCCTTCAACCCTGACACCCTCTCCACTTACATATCATCATCTACTCAGTTTGGTAGCAGGTTGCAGGGGTGCTGGTGACAGGGACAGAAGAAAACCAACAAAGATGGGGCACCTGCTGTGGGCCAGGGGCTGTCTCCATAATCCCCACAACAGCCTGCAGTCAGGTGTCCCCAGGCTCCTCCTACGTATGTGGACATTGAGGCCCAGAGAGGTTGCATGACCTTCCCAAGGTCAATGAGAGCCACTCTGGGGTTCAACCTCCTGCTATAACTCCAAAGCCAGTGATCTCTTCCCCTCCTGGTGGGCAGGAAGTGCTTGAAAACAGCATGTGTCGGCCAGACCAGCGTGGTGGCCCACTCCTGCAATTCCAGCACTTTGGGAAGCCAAGGCGGGGAGATCACTTGAGCTCAGGACCAGCCTGAGTAACGTGACAAAACTCCATCTCTACCAAAAATACAAAACATTAGCTGGGCATGGTGGCATATGTCTGCGGTCCCAGTTACTTGTGAGTCTGGGGCAGGAGGATGACTTGAGCATGGGAGGTTGGGTAACAGAGTAAGACTCCATCTCAAACAAAACAAAACAAAACAAAAACCAAAAACCACAGCATGTGTTAGGGAGGCATTATTCATTTCTGTCATCTTGAGGGTCGCTGCTGTGAGATCTCGCTGAAAACAATGACCCTAGTTGGATCCTAGCTGAATCCTGGAATCTGGTTCCACCCAGAGCCTCAGGCCTCTCACTGAGCACCTGGCCACCGCCATAAGAAAGCCACTGGGTACGCACAGGAGCAGCTGCGCCACTGCCTTTGGAGGGCGTCACCCCTACAGGGCAGTTCCAGGCACAAGCATCCAGTGAGGAAGTCGAGCCTTAAGCCAAAGGCAAGAGAAAGCTGGTCACACAGAAATCCCAGGAGGCGTTCATCCATAGACGTCTGCCATCCACATTAGACAGCCATGCCCATCCTTCCCCAGAGGGAACACAGAATGAAAACACAAAGAACATTGCTAAGCATCACTCCCTTATTCTCAAGAAAGGACTGAGAAAGGATCTAAATATAGAAACAAAATAAAAGGTTGGAATGGGGGAGACAGAGCCCTAAGAAGTCCTGGGTTGCCCCAACCCTCTCCCAGGGAAGTGCAAGACCTGGCCCATGTACCCCTACCCAAACCTCAGGAGCCCTACCCAGCCAGGTGTGCAGCTTCTGCATGGAGCAGGTGCCTGGCCAGTACCCTCTGGCTGAGATGGAACCTGCAGTTGCTGGCAGCTGGAACCTCCCGGGATTGCTGTTCCCTATTATGGGTCTGGGCAGGAAAGCTGAGGGAGCTAGTCGTCTTCCCTGTGACTCTGGCAGAAGCAAACGCCAGGAGTCCTGGGAGGTTGGTTACTCAGTTACCACTGAGGACACTAACCTCCAGGTGTGATGTGTATGTGGGCTGTCACTCTCAGGATACCCTAAAACGTGCTGCCTCCAAACCTGGGCCAGCTGCTGATAAAACGGTCCTTAACCTCCTGGAGGATCAGAGATGCCAATCAGATGAAAGTGGTCGGGCTCTCCCTAGGGAAATATACATGCAAACATATACAGAGGTATACAATTTTGCAATTTGTGGTCATTTGCAGACCCCTCGAAGACTATTCATGAGTCCTGGGTTAAGAACTCTTGCTTGAAGAAATCATTCTAAGCGATTTTTTTCTTAATTAGCACTCCCTGGTGCCCAGATGTGACTTTTTCTCTCTGTATGTGGTCCATTGACCTTCTAAAAATGTCAGTTCCCTGAAACTCTCTAATGGATGGGTCGGGTATTTTCATGCCCCCAAAGGCAGAGGTCTGGATCTGGTGGTTTCTCAAGGACTTGAACCATGCTTAGCACAGAGTAGGTGCTCGACAGTGTGTGTTGAATGAATGAGGGAGAGGTTCCCACGTGCTCTGTGAGTTTGCACTACTCTGTTTTTATAGCTCACATGATTGCTCTTAATTCATAGTTATCAAGCCCACTGGTAAGGCACCTTGTATCACTAAGATCAACATTGTGGCCTTTTAAAGGGGAGTGTATTAGGGCCCATCTGGTCTCTGTCCAGTGTTTCTGGCACCCAGCCCGAGAGACCTCTCCCCTACCCATGCTCATTCCCGTCTCAAGTCTCAGTTTCCCAAGCACTTGGACACCTCTGTCCAGTCAAGGCTGACACAAGCAATAGTGAGAAAGCCACAGAGTGACTGAAAGAACAAGACGGAATCCCAGATCCTCTCACCCACCATGGCTGCTGAGATTAAAGAGGGGGAACTGAGGTCAGCAGGTCCTGTTCCTGGGGAACGGTGGCAGAGTGGGTGGCTTCAGCCCCCCGGGTTACCTGGGCCTTGCTGAGAGAGGCCCAGCTCTGTCACCTGCAGAAGATGCCTGGTTGGCTCCCCCTCTTCCCCAGGGAGGAAGGGGGACAGGCTGCCATGTCCGAAGTCCAACATGGGCACCTCCAGCCGTGAGCTGGGGTCCCTGAGCCTGAGCCAAATTCAAAGACCAAACATGTGAGGGTCTGGGATTGGGGCAGAGGCCAGGCAAGGAGTCTGGTTTTCCCAGATGTCTTCGGGTGGCTGGGCCACATGACATAGCCAACTGAGGCAGGAGTGGCTGTGTGGGAGGCCTGGGTACAGGGGGAGGGAACTCCTACCCCCGCCCAGGCCTTGGATCATTTGAAAGGCAAATGTGCTGGGTTGCCTAGGGAACGGGAGAAAAGGGACTTCCCTAGCACCGGTGACTAGTAAGGGATGGAGACGGGAGCTGTGATGCTGAGAAAATTGTTTCCAAAAAAAAAGTAAAAAGCGGTGACTAAGCAGCCCTGGTTATGTAAAGCGATCCCTGAGGAAGTGTGGGGAAAAGCCTGGAGCCCACCCCCGTGTCCCTCCTCCCCACTCCCAGCCCCGGTGCCTGCTGCCTCGGGAGTTTCCACCAGCCCCTTCCCCCTCCGGCTCTCCCGGAACTCCCTACTCCTCCACAGGACTGCAAGGCGGGGCCGGCCCCAAGCAGGGCTTCCACTGCCAAGGGCATCCAAACGTGGTGGGCAGGACAGGGTACCAACAAGGAGATGCTGGGGCCTGTCCCCAAAGGTTCTGTCACCTCTGCTCTGAACAGGACACCTGAGGTCAGTCCAGCAGGGGGCAAAGGGTCATTTGCCATCCCACAATCAGGCGCCGTCCTCTTCAAAGACAAAGAGTTTCAGATCTGAACCCGGACGCTGCTGCTTGCTAACTGCGCTGTCTTCACAAGTTACGGAGTCTCTTTGAGCCAGTTTCCTCAGCTGGAGATGGGAGATAGTGTCTATCCCACAAGGCTGTTGGGGTGATTCACTAAGAAAGACAGGCTGTGTGCAGTTCAGGGCACAGGGCAACACGTGGGAGCACTCGGAGCACACTCGTTTCCTTTCCCCTTAGCCAGAAGCAACCCTAGAGACTTTCTCATCCTTTTACAGAAGGGAAGACCTAAGACTGAGCCTTAGACGCCCTCAGGATCGGAGGAGTCCAGCCATCACTTTAGTGCCCTCTGTCCACATCCTTCCAGCTGCTGAAGGTCCGCTGATCCGGACCCCTTTTCTTCCTGGTGGGTGTATGGCAGGGGAGTCAATGCCTTCAGGCCTTATAACTTCCATCGCAGGTTTTCTCCTAGCTTCCCAGGAGGCATCCTCTGGTGGGCAGCCCAGGGCACTGTGGAACCTCAAAGGATCCATACGAAGTCATAACCCACAAAACCTTCATCTGTAGTTCAGGCAGAAATGCAAATGTGCCTGGCTTCCCAGGGAGGTTCTCTCTACTGTGTGTGCTTAGGGAGGGGAGAGGACCTAGTAGGGTCCTGGACAAATGAACCTCAAGGTACGAGCTACTCCAAGCCTCAGAAAGCTATTGAAAAGGTCGAGAAACAACAGCCTTGGTCACCAGTGAAATTGACCCAGGCCTGGGTGAGAAAGGAATGTATAATTCCTCTCCTGCCTCAAGATTTTAAAAAGGGCCAGGCACGATGATGGTTCACACCTATCATTCCAGCACTTTGGGAGGCCAAGGTGGGCAGATTGCTTGAGCTTAGGAGTTTGAGACCAGCCTGAGCAACATGGTGAACACTATCTCTACAAAAAAATACAAAAATTAGCTGGATGTGATAGTGCGTGCCTGTGGTCCCAGCACCTGTGGTCCCAGCTACTTCAGGGGCTGAGGTGGGAGGATCACCTGAGCCAGAGAGGCAGAGGTTGCAGTGAGCCGTGATCGTGCCACTGCACTCCACCCTGGGCAACAGTGAGACCCTGTCTCAAAAAAAAAAAAAAGATTTTAAAAAAACAAGATGCCTGGGAATCCATGCTGCTTTTAACTTTCCCTGGCAAACTACTGAGCAGTTGTCCCCTCCAAAGCATTTGCATGTCCAAGCTAAGTCGCCCATGTGATGGTTTCTGCCCTGTTTCCTCCCATTTATTCTTGGAAAATAAAAATAGCCAATCACTTTCTATATGCATATATTCGAAGCCCTGCTGAGTGTCTCCTCTTCCAGACCTGACTTTCCTCACCCTTCCCAGTGCTAAACACAGTGCTAAGGGCACCATATCAGTGGTTCATAGATATTTGCCAAATGAATGAACATTCCCAGTGGAGACACCACCCAGCCTTCCAAAGGACTCTTCTTGTTGGTGGGACACAGAGTCGGGGGACCACGGCACCAGCCCAGCTCTCTCCCTGGGCTTTTCTGTCTCTCCATATAATGGGGGTGTGGGTGGGGACATTTGTGACCTGGGACCCAGATGCTCTGCTAAAGACCCTTAGAGCTCTTTGCCTGGCGACCTCCGTGACGCCATAAAAAACCCACTGGCCTTGGTGTGGGACCTCTCCCTTGACCACCTCCTAGCCTGGTGACCTTTGAGAAGTCACTTATTTCTCTGCAGCTCAGATTCTTTGTAAATTGAGGCCA
The DNA here is from genome assembly GCF_000001405.40 of Homo sapiens. NCBI lineage: Eukaryota > Metazoa > Chordata > Mammalia > Primates > Hominidae > Homo > Homo sapiens. The sequence continues at coordinate 22,779,319 of NC_000008.11, read as the reverse complement.
ATAACAGCCGTCTTAGGGTTGTGGGGAGCACCCGTGCCTGGTACATCAGAGGTTTTTGGAAAACAGGTGAATCCAAATATGGGTCACCTTGAACCCCACGAGGACTGGATCCTTCTATGGGGAGCCAGGGTCCCCATGGCCTTTCCTTCTCAGGATCCCAAACCCTCCTCTGGGCACCATCACACGCGCAGAGCTGGGAGCCAGCTGACTTGGTGAGGAAACCCCATCCCCCTCCTCCCCCACCTCCCCCGCCCACCTTCCCACCACCTACTCCCCAGGGCCTCTGATCAGTGCTGTGAGGATTAGTCACCGCCTCCCATGCAGCCCGTGCCCCCCACGCAGGCAGACAGGCTGAGTGCTTAATTGGAGTTCCTCACACCTCCGAGGACAGCCTCCGACAACATGACAGAGGAGCCCGCCCTGGTGGCAGCAGCCCCTGACTGTGCGGGGCACTAAAACTGGCTGAAGACTTTACTTACCCCGAAAAATCCCCCTTCAGATGGCCTCAGCAGAGCAAGGAGAGAAGGCCAGGGTAGGGCAAGAAGGAAGGCTGGGGAGCCATCCGGGAGCCCAGCAGCCACGAGACAGCATGCCCAGAACCTTCTCCCAGGAGGCTTTGCTGGGGAGCTCTCCACTCAGGCCTCTGCATCCCAGTCCACAGGGTGGCCCCAGGCCCGCTCCATCAGCAGAAGCCTCGTTCCCATCCCCGGATCACAGGCGAGGGAAACAGGGACAACAGGAAGGCAGGAAAAGCATCTTGGGTGGAGCAGTTGCTATCAGTGGGCGTACTTGGTGAGGGCCCAAGAAGGCCCAGGAGCCTGTCCAAGTTATCACTCGAACCCAAGAGGCGGAGGTTGCAGTGAGCTGAGACCATGCCACTGCACTCCAGCCGGGGCAACAAGAGCGAAACTCCATCTCAAAAAAAAAAAAAAAAGTTCAAGCTCTGTCTCCCCATAACTGCCTCTAAAGAGGACTAAGTGGGGCATCTTCCGGGCAACAGGATCCAGTCTCACATGGAAGCACATGGATCTGTCCACCGGGGGCAGTTGGGGACTTTGGGTCTGGGAGGAAGGAGGTCATTTGCTGCTTTACCTGTGCCGAGCCCAAGCAGAGAGGGGCGAGATGGACAATCACTGCAGAGCTCAGATAAGCTCAGGACAAGCAGTAGAGACAGGGGTAGATGGGCAACCAACTCCAGGGGTACAGGAGGCAGCCTCCCCCAAATTCCAGGGGCAACTAGAGACAGGAAGGGAACCGTGATGGCACTGCCCAGGAGGGCTTCTGCCTCGCGGGTCCCATCGTTGTGGGACTCTGTTTCCCCCTCTGTGCAGGGGCTGGTGGTGGGAAAAGCTGAGTGTGATGACGGCCCTGGGAAAGGAAAGAGGAGAGCGGAGGGGGGCTGTAACGAAGGAGCCAAGCTATAATTTCTCATTGAGGGCGCGGGGAAGCCAGAAAGTGAAAAGCAGCCTTCTCCCACACGCCCTCAGCCTCCCCAGCCTTGCATGTCTAATTGGATTCCCTCTGCCTCCTACAAGGTTATCCTTAGCGCCAGGAAAATACCTCATGGTCGGATTCTCTCCTCCTCCTCAAGAGGAAGGCTGGGGGCTTGGAGCAGTTCTGCCATTCATAACATTTCCCGGTGCCCCAGCCACCACCCCCGGCTCTGGGGCAACAGGAGTGCCGTGCAGGGCGAGTGAGAAGAGAACCCTGTATCCGATGGAGCTAGAGCAGGCTGGCAGCCAGGGGGTAAGTGTCCTGGCCACCTCAGGCTGTCACCAGGAGGTCCTGTCAATGTGGCCTCAGCTGAAGCCTGCTCATTTCCTTCAGGGCCTGCCTCTCCTCAGGTCTCAGGGCTGCGTTCCCCCCTCCCCACAGCCCCTCTTATGCTCTAGGCCAGGCCCACCCTGGGCTCCAGCCCAGGTCACTCTCACAGCTTAGAAGGGCCCCACCCAACAGCCTGTCCACTGTGGTCTTGTCCTCTCCATCCCAGAAAGTTCTCCTGGGGTAGCCACACCCTCCTCTTCCACACTGTAAATGTGAGAGATGATGCAGATGGAGGAAGTGAGGGGAGTGGAGGAGTAGAGGAGGGGGAACTCAGGGGGACCTGAGGGGAAGCAGAAGGAAAGAGGGAAATCGGGGAAAATGAGGAAGGGGCCAGCACCCTCCCTCCCTCATGAGCAGATCAGTGCTGAATGTCTTTCCCAGTTTCTCACTTGTATGCTCTGACCCACACCACCTGCTTCTCTGCACACTCACCTCCTTTGTAGCTCCCTCCCTCCGGACCTCAGCTGCTGTTTCTCTGCCCCAACCCACCATTCTGATCGGTGCCCTTCCCATGTCCCCACCCAAGCCTGCCCCCGTAGGACGCATCACATGCTGCCCTGGTTGTACCCCAATGCCATCCTTCAGGCCAGTCTGGCTAATGTTATGAGGCCATGTGCCAACCACCTCCCAGCTCCGCAGGCTTCACTTCAGCGCTGCTCTGAAGAGGAGGAGTCAGCTGGCATGGGATTCATTGACCAATATCTCGGATGCCCGATCAGAAAAAAATGGCTTACCAACCATTCTCCTTCTCCCATCCATATCAAGCCACTTAGCTCCTTAAGTCAACGAGTGATTATGTTTTAATCAGTTGGGGAATAGATGGTGAAAGTAGAGATGGGGAGGAATAAGTGTTTGCAGATAGGGAGAGAAACAGCATCAAGAAAAGATAAGCAAAAATGCAGAGAGGACTCGGCTGATGGAGAAACCCGTGGGAGGAGGATGTAAGAAGACAGAGTGGCAGCCGGAACGAAAGACCAGTGGTTTGAAGGCTGAGAGCAAGACCGATGGCGTAACCAGGAGGCCCACAGACCCTGCAACCATCAACACTGAGGTTCAAAGGTACTCACATGCCAGGCACCATGGAAAGCTCCCCCAAACCACATAATTTTACTGTTGAAAGACCAAATTTATCAGCGTCAACATACATTGGCCTCTGTGCCCTACAGAACTTTCATGTTTTCTGCCAAATCTCATCTATGAGTAAAAAGAGAAATGAAGAAAGGGGAAAGGGAAGGGTTTGCAATGGCTTCTGGAGACCCATGCACCCCCAAAAACCTTGGCATAATCTCTCTGCTAGGAAGGGTGTGAGCGCTGGCGTCAGCATTTCAGGATTCTGTTCTTCAAAGAAACCGCTGCCCCTCACGAGGCTTTCTAAGTATTACTTTGGTGCAGAGATGAAGAAGGGGAGGGTCCCAGTGGTCCCCAGGGCCCTGGAGAGGTAATGGTGCCTGCCCCAGGCAGCCCCTGCCACAGACCCACCTGCCTCTCTGGTGCACACAGACACCCCTCTGTGTGCATCTGCAACCCCCATTGTTCCAGGGGTGAGCCCAGACCACCCTGGCCATCCCTGGTAGGGACAGATGGCCCAGAGAAGCTCACTGCCGGCGCCTCCAGAACGGGAAACCCCCCCAAGAGCCAAGGAGTCGGGCAATCCTTCCTGCCCACTCAGAGATTCCGGAAGCCCTTCCAGCCTGGAGAACCCGCCTCCCCAACCTCTCTCTCGCTTCCTCTGTCTGTCTCCTCGAGCCTCCTGTGAGTGCACAGGAGGGCTGAGGGAAGCCCCGTGTGCCTGTGATGAACGGAGCTAATTTCTGGTTTGCTGGTATGCCGCAGAGACGCTGCCTCCGTCCCCCTCCTTCCCAGCAAACCCTCTCCCACACACAGACAAATAGGCTGCATATTTAATTGGAATTCCTCACACCTACAGGGTAAAGCCTTGTCAGTAGAAATAGAGCCCACAGCCAGCTGGCTTCCCCCATTCCACCCACCTTGTCTCTTAAAAAGAAATCCCCCCCCTCCATACGTGAACACCACCCACGGGCCCCTGCGCACCCCTCCCGGCATGGTTGTAAAGGAGGGATTGGTTGGCAAGGCCGCTCCTTGCCTGGGCCTCGACAGCTGGGCCCACCCAGCAGAGACCACCCGGAGGCTTCTCCCTGGCAGACGGGCCCTGACGGCCTTCCCATTGCCCACCTCAGGAACCCTCCTTGCCAGATGCTTGGGGCTTCCGGGTCCCTGAAAGATGCTGCTGAGAGAGGCAGCTTTCTCGGGTAGAAGGGGCCAGTTGATATGGAGAAGGAAGAGAGGGGAGCCCTAAAACCTAGAACATGACCTTAGAAGAGAACTTGGGGCCCGTCTCTTATGGTACAGGTGGGGAAACTGATGCCAGAGAGGCAACGGAAAATGTATCACATGGCTAACTTAATGCAGAGCTGCACTGAACCTGGGTCTCAGCTCCACAGATACCACTTTGCCCCTTGGCCTGTGGCATCTCTCCAGGATGGTGTCACCCAGGAGCTGGCAGGACCAAGGAAAGAGGGGCTCCTGGGGAAGAGCTGGGGAGAGACTGGAGGGCACGGGAGGACAGGGGACCTAAAAGGGATGAAACAGACCGAGAAGACCATGGGGGAAAGTCAGATTGGTTTCTTTCCATATGGCAACAGAAGGAAATCGGACAAGAGTCAGAGGCGCTGACAGACAAGAGGAGGCTGAACTCCTCAGGACAGCCTCGGGGATGGCCAGGACTCAGCAGCCTATCCTGGTGGGGACGGCTGGGCCAGAGCGGCTCCCTGTCTGCACCTCCAAAATGAGAGTCCCCGAAGCCTCATGTCATGACCTTGACATCTAGGGTCAGCAACTTCAGCTGGGTTTGCCAGGTGGAGGGGACTCGGCCCCTACCCCCCATCGGTGATTTTTCTCTTGCTGACTCCTCCCTGCGGGGCCTCCTTCCCTCTCTGGCTAAAATTGAGCCTGGCACAGGCTGGCGCCAAACCTGTGTGTCAGTGAGTAGACAGCTGCCTATGGGGCTCTGAAGAGTACTGTGACATCCTCCCTCTCCCCCACAAAATATCATCTCAGTTTGCCTGAAAGTTCACCATTAGTGACTCATTTCTTTGGGTTAAACATAGCCCTCCCTTCTTAAACGCAGCTGCTCTAGGAAAGGGTAACTCATTGAGTCCTTAACATCCTAGCGTGAATGGGGAGATGAGTGAGATGCAGAAGCCCAAAAGGAAGGGAGGAAGTGGAAGTAGAGAAAGAGACAAAGAAGAGGAAGGAAAGTGATTGAAAGGGAAGATGAGAGCAAAGAAAGGAGCAGCAAGAGGCAGATCCAGTTCAAGCCCTGGCCTCCTTCCTTCAGGAGCAGCATGCTGTGATCGACAGAGCACTTTCCTCCATCCTGGTTTGAACCTCACAGCTCTGTGAAACCAGCAGGAGGGAGGCTGTGGTGCCCGTTTTATAGTTGAAGAGACCTGAGTATCTCGGAGGTTGGAGGACTTGCCATCTAGCCTGTCAGTGGGACAGCCAGGGCTCTCTACCCTACCCCCTGTGTATAGCACCCGTTAAGGGGACTGCACGGAGTTCACCTTCTTCCCAACTCTCCCATCGTCCTCTGGTCAGAACAGGGAAGGTCCCTGGTAGAGGAACAAGATGGAAAAGGGTGGAGGAGGTAAAGCAAGGACCCCCACGGTTGGAACAGCAAGCAACCCTGCATCCTAAAGCCCCCGGCTGAGGCTCCCAAGGGAACAGAGGTGTGGCTAGAGGGCTCAGCCCCCACCCGCTCCCTAGTGACAAGCCTGATGCCAACATTGGGAACATCCCACAGGTCCTTCTGGCAGCAGCCTCCCTCCTGAGCACCCTCTCAGGGGCCAGGAAGGCCTGCGGATGACTTTGCTAGCTTCGGGTATGAGCAGGCAGCTGTTCTGTAGGGAGAGGGGTAGGCCAGCCCAGGAAAAGGCCCCCAGGAGACAGTGAGAGCCACAGGAAGAGACCCCAGGAGCCTGCTGAGAAATCCCACAGGCTTCCAGGCTCAGCTTCCCCATCCCCTCATCTCCCTGCCTCCCTCCCCGCCTTTCTTCCCTGGGGTCACGGGTCTCCTCCAGCTTTGTGCCCTGCAGGAAGTGGCCTGTCCACCATATTGAAACTGTCCCCTGTGTCTCCCTCTTAACGAGCCAGGTTAAATATGCTGTAATCAGAGTAATAATACACCTGGGCTGGTGCTTGAGCGAACTGCCTTTTGTGCTGCGATAGGACATTAATAGCAATTATTCTGCTTTGTAATTGGAGCTTTAAATACTAATTCAAACAGCCAGAGGAAAACCAATTAGTGCTAATTTATCTCTATGTGTTTTCCAGAGCTGGTGTCTGTCATACTGTGAAGAAATAGGTTGGTAATTAGTACAGTTGGGTGGTAGATAGAAGTAATTATCAGATTCTTTCATTTTTCTTTGGGGGTGGGGAAAGAGGGGTAGGGGGTGGGGAAGGCCAAGATGGGTTCTCTAAGTCTTTGTTCCTTTGAAGTTTAAAGAGAGGGCCCCTGTTAGCTATGAGAGCCCAGCTCACAGCAGCCAAGACTGTGCAGGTATTTCTGAGGCAGGTGGGTTCTGGTGGAGGCTGCCTTGAAGGCCTTCACAAGGACCTTCCAGCTAAGAGGCTCACAGAAGTAAGGCCAGCAATGTCATGGGAAGCAGAATCTTCCTATTTGTCTAAGAAAAGGTCTGTGGGCCTCAGATAGCTGACCTTCAGGTAGAGGAGACAGTAGGGCCTGGGTCCCAGACCAGCCTCTCAGTTCATAGCTCTGTGGCCTGCGCAGAGGCACTGAATCTCTCTGACTGCTGGTTTCCTCATTTGGAAAATGTACATAAGAATACCTACTTTGGGAGGCCAAGACAGGAGGATCAACTGAGGCCAGGAGTTGGATGCCGCAATGAGCTACAATCACAGCATTTTACTCCAGCCTGGATGACAGAGCAAGACCCTGTCTCAAAAAAAAAAAAAAAAAAAAGAGAGAGAGAGAGAGAATACCTGCCCTGCCCCACAAGGTTGTTGTGAGGATTTAATTAAATAAAATAAGGTATATAATGGGCATGGAACCCAGGAATAATTAGTATGAGTTACTGAGTGCTTACAGTTTGCCTGGGACTCTTCTAGATGCCTTTGCATATGCAGAATTATCTCAGCCCAAAGTCTTGACGCACCATGTCCAATTATTTCCCTGCTCCCTCTCCTGCCCAGACCTCTCACCAGCTAGACAACCCTGGAGAAGTTACTTAATTGCATTAAGCCTTGGTTTTCTCATCTATGTAATAGGGGTAACAACAGTACCTTCTTTGTAGATTTATTGTGAAGGGTTAAGTGAGACAATGATTACAAAGGGTCTTATCACAGTGATGCAGGGCAGATGAACCCTAAGGTGGGGCTTAGCCTGTGAGGGTTCTTGGCTTCACCCTGGAAAGACTTCAAGGGTGAACCAGTGGTAGAGCAGAAGAAAACAGCTTTATTGAAGCGGCAGTGTTAAAACTCTGACAGCATTATAGCTTCATGACTGCTCCTGCAGAGCAGGGCTACCCCATAGGCACTGTGCTGAGAGTAGCAGCTCAGGGCAATTTTGCAGTCATATTTATACCTATTTTAATTACACATAGATTAAGGGGCAGTTCGTACAGAAGTTTCTAGGGAAAGGGTGGTAACTTTTGGGTGGCCAGGCCATTGCCATGGAAAGGGGCAGTAACGCCCAGGTGTTGCCATGGCAATGGTAAACTGACATAGCATGCTGGTGGGCATGTCTTATGGAAAGCAGCTTCCACCCCATCCCTGTTTTAGCTAGTCCTCAATTTGGTCCAGTGTCTGCGCCCTGCCTCTGGAGTCAAGTCTCACCTTCTACCTGAATGGTGCCAAGCACGGAGTCAGAGTTCCATCCAATGATTGCTTAGTGTTGTCAATATTATTATTATTTCATCACATATGGTTTTGTTATAATCTATACAAATTTTCTTTTTTTTTCTTTTTTGAGATGGACTCTCACTCCGTCACCCAGGCTGGAGTGCAATGGCACGATCTCAGCTCGCTGCAACCTCCACCTCCTGGGTTCGAGTGATTCTCCTGCCTCTGCCTCCCAAGTAGCTGCGACTACAGGCATGCGCCACCATGTCGGACTAATTTTTGTATTTTTAGTAGAAACAGGGTTTCACCATGTTGGCTAGGCTGGTCTCGAACTCTTGACTTCAAGTGATCCACCCACCTCGGCCTCCCAAAGTGCTCAGTGGTGTGAGCCACTGTGCCCAGCCAACAAATTCTCTGTTGAAGAAGGTATATATGGTACTGTCAATGCATTGTGTTAACTAACCTGCAGGTATTTATCAAATGCCTGGTAGGTGTTCAGTCCTGTGGGGGTCAGCTTACACTATTCAGTGTGACTAGCACACCCTAAACAAAGGTGATGGGATGCTCATGGCATTTCACCAAGCATCACGGTTTACAAAATGCTTTCACATATCTGATTTCAATGCCTTCTCACGAGTGAGTGAGTTGAGAAGTAACTTCAATCCCATTTTATGGGTGGGCAAATGAGGCTTGGAAAATTTAGGTGACTTGCTCAAGAAAGTGGTAGCATCAGAAGCTAAGCCAAGATTTTTTTTTACTGCAAAACCTGTGAAGGTATTCAATAAATACATGTTGAGCGGATGCGTGGATACGTGTGCTTTCCGTTAAACCACACAGCCTGAACTGCTAATGTGAAGATGATGCTTCTCTGCCTGAGGAGCAGGGCTGATCAAGGAGAGGTGGGATGGAGGCACAGAAATATTCAGAGGACAAATGGAACAACTTCCCTCAGCCTGGGCAGGGTGTCTTCAAGAGCTGAATGAGCAGGCGACATTGAAAAATCACACAGTCACAATGAATAACCTGGAGGAAGATCTGGCCAGCGCAGGCCCTCTCCCATTCACCCCAGACCCCAACCCACCCAGAGATTCACTCAGGGGACCTGCCTGGACCCCTGGGCTGGGCCTCCAAGGATGCGCAGTGGGAGGGTAGGGAGAGAGAGGACAGGATGCAGCTTCGGCCAAGGCCAGAGGGGCATCGAACACACAGCATTTGAGAAGCAGGGACTAGGCTGGCCTGGCATTGAGGGAGGATAGGTGCTTTGGAAGGGGGACTGCGATTGATAAGGGAGGGTAAGGGAGGCTTTGGCAACCATATGGCAGAGAGCAGGTTTCACCAGGGCCACCTCCCACAGCTGTTGACTGCTCCTTGCTGTCTGCCCACCAAGCCACTGACCCAGTCCCAGAGCTTCCTCTGCCCCAAGGAAGAGGAGCCTTCTTTCTCATTCACACAAAGGTGCCCGCCATAGACCTGGTACCCTGTGGGCTTCCACCCAGAGGGGCGCCTGCTTCCTAGGGGCTGATGGCTGCCTAGGATTTGACGTGTAGGAAACTGAAGCATTTCGAAGGCAGAGTTTGAGAAGGTTAGCGTGGCATAGGCGGCGGGGTGGACAAGAGGAGAGAGTCAGGGGCCCTGAGGGCAGCAGAGTGGCAGGAATAGGGAGTCACAAAACAAAGAGGAGATGCAGGTTCCTGAGCACAGGCCGGGACTGACTTGTGTGTCTCAAAATAATGACTGCAGCAATGGCGGGAGGAAGGATGACGGCTTTCTTTTCTTTTTTCTCTTTGGTTATTGGTATTTTCTAAATTTTCTACACTGAGCATATTTCTCTTTCATACGAAGAAAAACAATGGAATTTATTTTTTTAAAAAAAGAAGGGACATATGCTGGCGACATTTTGAAGGAAGAGCTGACAGAATTTGAAAAGTGACTGGGGAAGGGTGATAAAGGAGAAAGAGGCTGGGTGATGGGGAGATGACAGAGAAGAGGCATTCGGGTGGGGAGGCGGGGCCTGGGGAAAGGCCCTGTTCTATTCCTCTCTAGGCTGCAGGCAAGACATGGGAGAGCATCCACGCAGCAGGAAAGGAAGGGTCTCAGAAAGGAAACTGAGGCACACAGCAGGGAAGGTCTTTGCTTATTCACCAGGTTGTGGGGCAGCTTAGGGTTAAGAACGGAACTCAGAATATCTTTACCGAAAGGCTGCATCCAGAGCCACTGAGACAGGACCAAGCATAATAATGGGGCCCTCCCTCTCTGGAGGAGCCTTCAAAACAGAGACTCTGAGATAAGCCCCAGAGGGCTGGAGTCTCAGGTAGCCTCCTGGCCTGTAAACTTGGGCTGCATGGTTGGCGCCAAGAGTATGGGCCTGAGGGAGGCAGGAACCCAGGAGCAACCTCAATGGCGTGCCCAGGGAGCGTGAGGCTGAGGGGGCACTGAGGGGCACTGAGGCCAAGCTGGCTGAGAGCTCCCAGGGGTCTCATGTCACTGATGGTGGCAACGTGAGGGTAGAGAGGGAAGGAGATCGTCCCTGGGGGACACAGGAGCTGCTTCTCACATCAAAAGGATCCACCTGGACCTTAGTTTCCAGCAGACCCCCACTTCCCAAATGTCCACAAATGCTCTCAGCTCCCAGAAACCCACTCTGCCCAGCTCCTAGTGTGACTGAGTTCTGCAGAGGCCTGACATGTGGCAGAGCCCCGGAGACGACTGTCCCAGGCCACACAAACACCAGGATAGGAACGGGCGGTTCCTTCGGCCTCTAGAACCTTCTGCCTCGTATCTGCCGGTGACACAGCCAAGGGTGGGTCTCCGGAGGCTGCAAATGGAATACTGCCTCCTGATAGCACCATCCGCGGGCCAACAAAAAGCCCGCCCCCACTCCTCTCCCCATCCTGCCCTGACCCACCCCCTACCTCCTTGCCACCCTCCCCAGCACCCAGCTGGCCTCCCTGAACCATTGCCTCAAAAGGCTCCGTATTGACTGGGCCGAGGCCCCACCCGAGGCTGCGTCACTGTTTCCTTGGCAACCGAAGGGCTGGGTGAAAACTAACATACAAAGCAAACAAAATGAGCTCCGCACCGGAGGCCCGGGAACTGTCACCTCAGCACCGTGGGGCCTTGGATTGGCAGGGGATGGGGGGTCTGCTTGGCTTTGTTCACTGAGGCTGTCGTGGGGGGCTCGCGTGAGCACCCCAAACCACCCCAGGCAATAAATGCTTCACAACACATACTGGTAGCACCCATGCTCTTACTGTGCTAGGGGCTGTGTGGCCAGGAAAAATAAGACATCCAAAGAGGGTCCTGTCTCTGCAAGCACTGGCACTAATAAGGCTGAGATGTCAGCCCCAAAGAGGCATCTACCAGGGGGCAGAGGGACACAAGAAGTGTTCGTGGGCAGTCACTTCAGGGGAAACAGCCTGCTAGGGACCCCAGTGCTCCCAGACTCCTGCATTAATGCCAACACCCCACTGTCTTTGCCCAAGACCCTAGGGCATTTAGGGAATTTCCAACAGGCACCATAGGAAAACCCTTTATAGGTGTTTGCCTGGAATTCCAAGGTACTTTTCAAAAAAACATTTATAGGCCGGGCACAGTGGCTCACGCCTGTAATCCCAGCACTTTGGGAGGCCGGGGTGGGCGGATCACCTGAGGTCAAGAGTTCGAGACCAGCCTGGCCTGGAGAAACCCCATCTCTATTAAAAATACAAAAATTAGCTGGGCATAGTGGCAGCGCCTGTAATCCCAGATACTCAGGAGGCTGAGGCGGGAGAATCACTTGAAACTGGGAGACGGAGGTTGCAGTGAGCCGAGCCCAGCGTGGGCAACAGAGCCAAACTCCATCTCAAAAAAGAAAAAACTATGTAGTTACAAGTACATACATCAAGTACATAGGTCTTAAGCATACAATTTAATGGTTATTTACCCAAGTAACCACCACCGAGATCAAGATAGCAAATATTTCCAACACCCCAAGAGTCTCCCACACACCTCCTCCCCATCCATATACCCCCGGCAAGGTGAGATTATTTGGACTCTTATCACTGTCAATCAGGCGTATTCTTGAGCGTCATGTAAATGCAATCATAGTATTCTATCGTAGGAATCACCTGTGTTGTTGCAGAAAGCAGTGGTTCCTGCTCACTCTTCTTTCCCGCTCGAGAAATCACGGAGGAATGACAGCGGACGTGACAACATTATAGGGATAACCCTGAATTCCCTCTGATTTACAAACAAAAAATTGGTGGGGGGGATTATTCAAAAACCACAGCACTTTATTTTTGGCAGCATTTGCTTGTGATACATCTCACAACTGCTGGTCCCACACCAGCGTGTCACAGCTTTGAGGCTGAGAACTGCTAGTCTAAGTGGTATGATTTGGGAAGTAAAGGAAGGTCATTTCCTGCCCCCAAAATATCTTTACCCCACTGCTTCCCACCGGAGCTTCGCTCTAGTCAATTTATTGTGCTGTATGAAGCAGCCCCAGGGTCATCTTTTAAAATGCAAGTACTCCTGAGAAGGGAGAATCTGTTAGATCCGGAACACCCCTTCGTATGGCTTAAAGAGGAACCGGAAGCAGGTCTCACCCAGGCACTTCTGCAGCACACTCTAGACCCCCACGGTGAAGTAAGGAGGATGGTATTGTCAGCCCCCACTTTGTCCATGAGGAAACTGAGGCATGGGGAGGTCCCATAACTCACCTAAGGCCACATGGCTGTTAGCTTGCAGAAGCAATCATTCAAACCCAGCTTAGTCGGCTTCCTCCAAGGCCTGTGCTGTGACCCACCTGGGTGGACAGGAAGTACTGAGCATTTGGAAGCAAGGAGTGCAGGGAGAAGCCATGCTGAGAAAAGTGACACCAGGGCATGCAGTAAAGTGTTAGAGAAAGAAAGAACCATCTTCATATTGGATTCCATTCCCCCAACCGCCGCCCCGGGTGCTGCTGCCCCTGATACGCCAGCATGCCCTCCACTGGCTCCCACAGCTCCATTTTTGGTTACCCCCACAGCAATGTGCAGGGATGTGTCACAGGCACCAGGTCGCATCATCGCAGAGATGTGGTGCACAGGTGTTCCTGTCCCTGAAGGGCCAGCTTCCTGATACACCTCTTGGGCTGTGGAAGAATGCCCCTTCAGAAATTTCATACCATGCAGCTTATGTGCATTATTTCAGTCTGAGGAAAGGATCTCCTTTTGCAAATGAGAAAGCCAGTGCACAGAGGGTTATGTTATCGCCAAGGGGCTGCCAGCTCCGTGAGGTCAGAGGCCATCTATGAACTGGTCATCACCCAAAGCCAGCTTCTTCCACTTTGTTTGGCATTTCCCAGATGCCTGTGACCTGTCGGTGGGCTTTCACCATCCACAGTCCCACAGGCATGAATGGCCGGGTCTACCCGACCCTGAAGCACACATCCTCCACACCACATCCTCTCACCTGATGGCCTCACCGTGACAAGACTGGCCAAGACTGTGGCGTGAGGGTGAGGAAGGGAGACACAGGCTTGGAAGGAAGAGGAAGTGTTTAGGGAGTCCATCAAGTTAGGCCAAGGAGCTGGCTGCCTGTGTCTACTGGTGTGAGGCAAGAGCTCTTCCTCGAAAATAGCATCCTCACTGCCCAGATTCCACTGTGACATGTTTCCTCGCTTGGTCTTAAACACTGTGGTGATCCACAGGTGGTGATCCATGAATGGTGGTGATCCACAGGTGGTGATCCATGAATGGTGGTGATCCACAGGTGGTGATCCATGAATGGTGGTGATCCACAGGTGGTGATCCATGAATGGTGGTGATCCACAGGTGGTGATCCATGAATGGTGGTGATCCACAGGTGGTGATCCATGAATGGTGGTGATCTCTCTCTGTGGAGAGAGCCCACCCGCAGCGTGGAGCGAATATCTGTTTAGGTGCTTAGAACCTATACACACACTCACATGCACGGACATACACAGTATGTTATCCTGGAGTAGAAGAGGACTCTTGTGGACAGGGTTTTATCAGGAGAATGAGAAAGTTGAATTTGTTTTCTATTATGCTAGCTTTGGCAGCATCACTGATGGGAAGGATGAGAGAACAGAGGCAGGGGGTCCCTCCCAGGTGGTTACAGTCATCCAGGCATGGGCTCATGAGGGACAATGTTTGTCCCTAAGAGAAGGTGTTTCTAAGAAACTGAGGACCTGGGCTGGGTGCAGCAGCTCACGCCTATAATCCCAGCACTTTGGGAGGCCAAGGCGGGCAGATCACTTGAGGTCAGGAGTTCGAGACCAGCCTGGCCAATATGGTGAAACCCCATCTCTACTAAAAATACAAAAATTAGCTGGGTGTGGTGGCACATACCTGTAGTCTCAGCTACTCATGAGGCTGAGGCAGGAGAATCGCTTGAACATGAGAAGGGGAGGTTGCAGTGAGCCGAGATTGCACCATTGCTCTCCTACCTGGACGTCGCATCAAGATGCTGTCTCAGAAGAAAGAAAGGAAGGAAGGAAGGAAGGAAGGAAGGAAGGAAGAAATAAAGGAAGGAAGAAGGAAAGAAACTGAGGACCCGGTGACGATGCGATGGGAAGAGGTATGAGAGAGGGAATGCTTGGCTCAGTATCTGGCAGAACCGCGATTTGCAGGACCCAGGGCAATTTGGAAATGTGGGGCCCTGCCTGGGACAGGGGAAGTCCATCCCCTCCTCTCTCTGACCCACTGGTCCTCATGGCCAGGGGCATCCCCAAGGATTGCAACCTCCATGCCCAGATGTGCTTGGAACCTGGATTGGGGGTGGGTGAGAGGCCTCTGTCAAATCATCCACTGAATGTTGCCATTTGGGGACAGGAGTGACCAATGTTTGTCCCACTCTAAGATGCCATGGGGTGTATGACCGATCCCCACTCTGCACCTGCACCCAGGCTCCCACAGAGAGCAGAAGGTGGCAGCAGCCTCAGAGTAGGACCACGGGTCAGCCAGTTGAGGCTCCAAATCCCCACCACACACTCCATAGTCCCATGATACTTCACTTACCAAACACACATTCCAAGATGAAATTACTAGGAACTCGGCTGCGAACACTATTATAATATATATATACATAAAGGCCTTCAAAGCACAGGGCATTGGGCAACTACACCGGTCACATGCCCACAAAGCCAGCCTTGGTCCCTGGGTTTTGGCTGGCATACGCGGTGCACAGTGAGGCTGCCAGCTAACTTAGTGCACCCTGAAGCGTTCACAGGTCAGCAGCTCACACCTTCACATATCAAATAACACCTCCACAGAGAGTAACCTGGACTTGAAGAGAGACCCTGGAGGAGGTGGAGATCAGCATTGGGAGAGAAGAGTTTATCCTTCTCCATTTTTTCAGGATAGAGGGTGTGTGTGTGTATTAGATTCAAGTGTGCAGAGCTTTTTTAAAAAACAACATACTTGGGACCACTCTAACCCAATAGAATCCCAATCTCCTGAGTAATGGGTGCTATAGAGTATGTGTGAGTAATGGAAGCCCAAATTTGCTGCCATTTTTTCTTCATCCTTGGTAAATTTCTTTGGATGATTTCACATAAGGAACATGGGCCAGGAAAGGCTTGACATCATGTTAAGTGAGGAATATGTGAAGAAACTGATGAGCGTTTCCCCTGGGGAAGAGAAGCTCCGAAGACAAATTACACGTCCTTCTGGAGTATGGGCTCTTGAAAGCAGGGACCAGGTCTTCTTCATGGCTCTCTCCACACCTGGCATTATGCACCTGGCATCCAGAGACCACCTAGCAAAACTGTGCAATGAATGAATGAAATAGTTGAAAGCAGTCATGTAGGAGAAAAATTAATCTTCTTCCATGGGGCCCCAGACAGAACTACAACCATGGTAGTTCTTGGAGGTGAGATAGTTCTTTCATGGTAGTTGTTTGGGGGAGAAAGAGCTCGGTTGAGAAGGCAAACTTTCTAACAATAATGATAGCTAACCTTAATTAGCCTAGTAGGCTGGGCACCTCTTACATATATATTACCTAGCCTCATCCTCACAACACCCTGTGAGGCAGACACTCGCATTGTTCCCATTTTGTAGATATGGGGGAAACAGAGGCAAAGAAATGCTAAGTCTCTTAGCCAAGGTCAGAGATCCGGGAAGTGGCAGTGCAAGATTCGAAGCTACACGCTCTAGGGCCAGCATTCACTGCTCGTAAACACGTACTTTAAACCATGAGAGCTACACAGTGATGATCTGACCGCTGTCGGGGATTGGAGGCAGTGTCCAGAGCCAAGAATGAACAAGTCTTTGGTTGGGGATATTGTGGAGTGGGATTCAAGAAGAAACCCAAGGGGTTTAAGACTTCTTCCGGCGGGCAACAGTGGCTCACACCTGTAATCCCAGCACTTTGGGAGGCAGAGGTGGGCAGATCACCGGAGGTCAGGAGTTCGAGACCAGCCTGGCCAACATGGCAAAACCCTGTCTCTACTAAAAATACAAAAATTAGCTGGGTGTGGTGGCATGCACCTGTAATCCCAGCTACTCGGTAGGCTGAGGTCGGAGAATCGCTTGAACACGGGAGGCAGAGGTTGCAGTGAGCCAAGATCATGCTACTGCGCTCCAGCCTGGGAGAGAGAGCAAGACCCGATCTCAAAAAAAAAAAAGACTTCTTTCAGCCCTCAGAAAAGATGCTGCTGTCATTTTATTCCTTGGCCCTTGGTCGTTCTTGTGTAGGAAGAGTTGCTTGGAACTTCTCTGTCTGAAGTGGACACTGGTCTAGGAGTCAGGAACCTGGAGTCCAGTCCTGACCGCAGGCAGCTCTGTGATGTTAGGGGACATGCATAGCCCCTTTCAGCCAGGAATCCTTGGCTGTAACACAACGAGCAAAGGAAATCTCTGATGCCTTCAACCCCAAGACTCCACAGTTCTTTGATTGGAGTGGGGAGGGAAAGAGAAAGTCACAGTTGGGGAGAACATGGCCCCACTTTGCCACTTACGGAGAAGTAATTCTACCTCTCGGAGACTTGCAGTCTCTTTTCTCTGCAACGGCATGGGAATTGGAGGCCTGACCGAGAAGAAACCAGATGGGTCAATATCATCCATCCCCAGGGAACTTGGCTTTTTCCTTTCTTCAGGATTGAGAATCTGAGAGCCTAGGACATCTCAAAATTGACCTTGCTTTTTCTCAACCATGGGCAAAAGCTAATGTCAGAAAGACCCAGAAAAACTGATGGAGCAGAATTCTGGCTACATCTGTGGATAGGCATTTTGAAGGAATGCTCTTTGGCACATGGTTTTCCACCCTGTGTTGCTTTTCTAGATATATATTTATATACATATAAATATCTCTTTCCCTGAGGGACAAGGAGTCTCAGCCAAGAGGGAATTCAGTGTGATCTGGTAGAATTTGTTGCAAAGGAAATTCACTGGGGTGGGAGGTAGAAATTGTGTATTCAGGACATCACCTGGTTAATAAAATTTGCACAGCTCCCCAGAACACATGCGATTTCTTTTCTTTAAATTAATGAAGGGTATATTGTTTCACCCATTTTTTTGCCGATTTAAATTGTGATTTTTTTTTCTGGCACAATAAGCAAACTAACATAGGGGTTAAATAATTTGTTAAAAGGTGGGGGTTAGAAAGTAGTTGGGGTTTGGAAAAGGGGGCTTGTGGGGGAGCTAAAATCTGCCAGTAGCAACAATAAATGCAGAGTTATGCCTTAGGCATAATATATCAAAGAAAATATAATGCATCCAGCTTAAAACTAATGATTGCCATATAATTAGATGAGAAGCATTGTGCTATAAATGTGTATTCTTTAGCGTGCTGTGATTTTACTGTAAAAAAAAAGAGAGAAAGAGAGAGAGCGAGAAAGAAGGAGACAGAAAAACACAGAGCCCAGCAACATACTATAAAAAGAACCCTCTGTTGACTTCTCTACTGTTTAGTATTCCTTGGCTGTTCTCTCTTGGGAGTGTGTAATTAGTACTTTATGAAGAGTACATTTAAAGCAGTTTAATATTCACCTCATTCAATCTGAAACAATGTGATCCATGCTTAGACAAATCAGTGCTCCTTGCTGACATAATCTGTCAGAACATTACCTCTGAAAAGACCTTTCAAGAGGTTTGGATGTTAATTAGTTGTCTATCATGTATAAACAGAGCAGTGAGCAGAAGGGGCTCCGACAGGCCAGAGGGATACGTTGGGAAATGCATTTTGTATGAACACGGCTTGCAGGGGGGTCTTCTCGCTCTCTCCGCCTTCCCCGCCTCCCCCCAGCCTCCCCTCGCCATGTCAGGAGCCACACATGCTTTGGACCTCTTCCGGGCAAGATAAGGGCTTTCCGGTTGGCATCAAGGGGCGCCCCTGGCCCCCAGAGGGGACTGTGAATAAGGCTAGAGGGGTTCACACACACACAAACACACACACACACACCCCACCCCACAGTTCCCCGGGGCAGGCCCACCTGCAAGATGTGATGGCTGTCTCCTTTCAGGTCTGAGAAGCATGACCTCACAGCCCACCTGTGCTTGCTGGGGAGGCTCCAGGCTTTGGGGCCTGGCAGGGTCCCACCTCCTGTGGGCCATGGGCAGAGGGGGCCAGGAGGAGATGGAGATCTGATGCCCGCCTCCCCGCTGGCCCTAGAGCTCGCTTCCTCTGGGAAGTCAGGCTACTATGACAGAGTCACAAGGTGCAAGAGAGGACTAATGCACAGGGCAACTGGTGTGCGCGAAACCTCCTTGAACACCCTAGACCCAAAGAATGCCAGCAAGGCTCAGAGACACGTTCAAGGTCACCTGGTCTAGACCTCGCCTTCAGGGGAACCTTTGCCAGAGTTCATCCTACGAGGACTGAGGTCTAGGCTCTTCCTATGTGAGTTAGTTGTCTGGGGGTTTGCACAAGCCTTCTCGTATTGTGGACTTAGAATGCCCATGTCTGAAGCACTTGCTAGCATATTGAAGACGCTTACTAAGTAGTAGCCTGGGGATTCCAAAATGGCATGGTACAGGCCCTGTAGGAACCACTTTCCTTCCCAGGCCTCTGGAGCCTTCTCCCTGCACCCACCACACACACACGTTGTCCACTCAACTGCCCCCCCTGCCATCCTCCCTTCCCTGGCCTCAGCCACCCCACCTTCCATCAGCAGCCTCAACCCCCATGGCCTCTTCATTCACTGTTCATCCCATAAGCATCCACCAAGCACCTACTATATGCATTGTACTATGTGCTATGTTCTAAGGCAGCAAAGATAAATAAGTCATGGTCTCTGCTTGTGAGGCGTTTACCAGACCCATAAACGTTTAATTACAGTCTGGGGCAATTTTAAGTCATGTAAGGGAGGCAATATAATTTAGTGGTTAGGAGGGAGGGCACCGGAGTCAAACTGCCTGTGTTCACTTCCCAGTCTCACCACTCAACAGCTAGGTGACCTTGGGCAGGTGATTTAACTGCTCTAAGCCTCAGGTTCCCTGTCTATAAAATGGGGGTAAGAATATCCACCCCATAGGTTTGTAAGTATTCAATGAGATAATGCAGTGAGGTGCCTAGCACAAAGCTTAGGGTGTAATAAGTGCCCAACCGATGTTTGTCCCTGAAAATAATGCAACGATAAGAGCACAATCAAAATGCCTGATAACTGTGCCTAGGTAGTCTTGGAAGGCTTCCCAGAGGAGGTGACATCTGAGCTGTGTTTTAAAGGACCAAATAGAAGTTTACCAGGAGAGAAGTGACAGAAGTGCTGTCTAGATAGAGGAAGGGCACACACAGATGCAAGCATGTGCAGAAATGAGCAAACCACTGAGACGCTGCCTTGAGCTCCGTGTCACACTGCTATGTTGCAGCCTGGGAGGCTGTTCCCAGTTGAGCCCTTCGGAACCAGCCATGAGACGGCACGGGTACGCGGAAGGGAGCAGTCTCCATGGCTGGGTGGTGATGGGGGCTTCTCGAGGAACTACATAACTTCTCTCTGCATTTCTCAAAAAGAAAGGAATCAAGATTGCAACCCCCTTGGCCTGGGTATCCTACTGCAACTTGAACCCATGGCAGAGCCAGGCTCCCGGGGAGGTGGTGGGGCACAGAGGAGGCAGGACCACTGACTCCAGCCAGTTCTCACCCCAGCTGCAGCCCCGCAGCCCTGAGACGGAGCGGGCACCTCTACCCCTCATGGTGGCAGAGGCTTGTTGAGAGGATGGGTGCCAAGGTGCACAAAGATCCGGCCCAGCGCCCGATATGCAGAAGGCACTTGGGACATGGTTGCTTTCATTATTATGGGGAGAGCTTACTCCAGTCCACCCTTTGTTGAGGAAAAAAAAAAAAAGGCTGTCCTTCTCTAATGTTTCACTTGACAAGAAGCCAGGACTCAAGAGGACTGGGTACTCCCCGGGTATCCTCTCTTGGCAAAGCCCTGGGCCTCCCTGGGCCTCCGTCTATGCGGGGTCTCTTCTAGCCTCAAAGACTCCCAGCCCCCACCCCTGACAGCAACAAAGTCAGTGTTGGGGCCCAGGTCTGCAGCGCCTCACGTCTACCCCCACCTTTCCCTGAGCCCACCAGACTGCTGTGGCCACTCTAGCCACCTGGGATCACTCCCCCAAGGCCAGCAGAGCCCATCACAGCTGCCCAAAACAGGTAAACAGCTGTTTCCCATGGCCCTCCTCCCACCCTCGCCCCCTCCCTGCAGATGGTCCTCCCCTCCCCTGGCTTCCACTTCTCCATGCTCTGCCAGTGTGCACTGACCAGCTCCTGACATAAGCCCCGGACTTCACTCCTCTTTCTGTCATGAAACCCCAGCCTGGGGGCCTCTCCCTTCCAAGGCAAGGCATTGGCTCCCTGATAAAATATCCCAAGCCCTAGGAAAGCGCTGTCCACCCCACCATACTGCGGACAGGGTGGGCCACCCCTGGACCCTGCATTCTCATGCTTGTTGGACAGAAGCAATGACATCAGCTCCCATCTGCTGAGAGCCTGCTATGGGGTACATGTTATTCTCATGATAGCCCCTGAAGTAGGCATCATTAGAATCATAGGGCAGACCATTAAACTAACTCCGGGGCAGGCCAAGTGAGTGGCCTAACAGCATACAGCCAGGCAAGTGCAAAACTGGGCTGCGGGCTTTTCTGTCCATTTCCAAACTCCCACCCACCCACTTTCTACCAGGTAAACCGGCCCCCTGCAAACGACAGCCCACAGGCCAAATCAACCTATTTTTGTAGGGCCTGTGAGCTGAGAAAGGTTTTTGCATTTTCAAAGGGTTATAAGAAAAGAAACAAACAAAGAACATGTGACCAAAACCATATGTGGCCCACCAGGCCTCAAATATTTACTACCTGGGCCTTTCCAGAAAGTTTGCCGAACCACGGGGCCACCCAGGAACATTCAGTACCAGGCACTGGGTACCACAGACACGAAGTGAAAGGGTCACCGGAGGGAAGATGGATGGATGCTCAGGCCATCCTTCTATGTGACCCACCAGCTTCAAAATCATTTTCAAAATAGCGTTTAGTAGAGATGAAATCAGGCTACAGAGAACACCAGGAGTTTCTTTGCAGGCTTCACAGCTTATGATGAAATATTTCACACACAATGTCTCTTTCATGGAGTTAGAGTCCCCATTTTTTGAATGAAAAATGGAAAAGCTGAGAGCTAAAATGACTAACTTAGGGGCCCCTGGTGAATATCCTCCCCAGGTCCCATGACCTCAAGGCCAGTGTTCTTTTCATCGCACCTGCGGCTGCTCTGGCCCCCAGGGCATCCGGCCAGGGAAGCTGGGCACAGAGAGACCAAGAGCAGCCCAGGCAGGGCTGCAGGTGGCCGGGTAGGAGGTGGAGCCACTGCGGTGACCACTCCTCCCAGGCCACCCTGCTCTTCTCATACGGATTGAATTTATATGCATCTCGGATTTCTGTTTTCAGCACAGGCCCAACTCTCTTGGAGCTGTTTCAGCCACTGAGTCCCAGTACCCCAAGAGGAGTACCCCAATTGCTGCATCTTAGGGGTGATTCTAGCTCACATCCAGGAGGCTAAATAACTGTCCCCGAGGGCAGGGAAGCCTGATTTCCAGTTGCAGCTCTCCCGCTAGCTGGCTGGATGACCCAGGGTGGGCCAGCATCCCTCTCTGGGCCTCCCTTTCCTCCCTAGGAAGCAGAGTTAACGATCCCCACCCTGTCCTTCACCCCTATGGGACTCTGGGAGAGGGAATGAGGTCATGTCTGTGAGCTGCCTGGAGGAAGGAAGCGGCAGGGGGAGTACAAGGTAGTATTATCTTCTGGGTCGAGCTGGGCAGTTGCCATGAAGTTGCTGAAATGTGTAAGCATTCCAACGACCTCGGGAACCTGTCGTGGGAATGTCATGGGAAGGCAGTGTGTCAGAACTGGCTTGGGCCTCCGAGTCACCGTGGTGTGAGTACAAACCCCAGCTCAGCTACTTCTCAGCTTTGGCAAACCACCCAATGGCTTTCAGCCTCAGTTTTCTCACCTATAAAAAGAGAATAATCCCAACCACAGTTTGGTTGTTTGGTTAAGGATTTTAAAAGATGAACCCTGGCATATGGTGAGCACTCATGATGACGACTGCTGTGGACCTGTTGTCTTGTCAGGACACCTCTTTGTGTTTCTCCATGAACTGTCTCCAGATAAATGCAAACGTCCTCCACCTGTGCCCTTTCAGGGAGAGCCTTCTGCAGTGGGGATAGCTGGGCGTTCTGAGAGCTTCCTTTTGAAAAAGAAAAATTAGAACTGAGGCAATGAACACAGGCCTTTTCCCCAGCATCATCCAGGGAACCTGCGACCCACAGGGCCAGGGGTCCTAGGTCCAGAGACTGAGGGAGGTCAGGTACTCCCTGGGTCCCTTTCCCCTGGTAAATGGTGGAGTTTGGCCACCACGATTTCCGAACTCAACAGTCCCAGCCTTGGCAAGCCGAAATTCCCAGCCTGCCAGCAACCACTTTCTTCTCCCTTACCCAGGAGCAAAAGAAGGGCCTCAATGAGCCCCCAGGCAAGTGGGTTTTTGTACAGACAGAAATGGACAATCTGCTCCTGGCATCTTTTTAAGGCAGGAAGGGATGCAAAGATTGGGGGCTGGACGCATCTAGAAAAGGCTTGCTTCCCCAAGCATCCCCAGTCCACGTGGGGAGGAGCATGGGACAGTGGTGGAGGTTGGTGGGGCTGGGGCCAGGGCCAGGGAGGAAGCGGAGAGATGCATCCAGCAGAGGGTGTGAGAATCAGCCACAACTGGCCGAGACTGTCGGAATTAGTCACCAGTGTTGACGAGGAGTTCAGTCGGTTACATAACAGCCTCCCTCGCTCACTGTTAGCTCTCCTGAGCTGGGGCTGTCCGGGGTTAAGGGTCTCTGGCAGGGAGGGTCACATCCTGGGAGCCCAGGGGCAGAGGTTCTCGCACAAGCCCGCCCTCCCCAGTCCTGCTCCAGCCCTGCGAGGCCAGAAGGAGGCGCCAGCTGTTCAGCTCCTGCCTGAGTCTTGCCACCTTGTCTCCAGACCATCCCACGCTAGCCTCGCAAGGCTGTCGCTCTGGCCTGAGCACAGAAGATGCTCAGACAAGGAGTTAAATATGGGTCTCAGCTCAGGGCAGCTCAGTAGCCAACTTCCCCGCTGAATCTATTATGATACATCATTATAATGATTATTATCAATAAGTATTTAGCGAGCACCTTTAGTTGTGTCCCCGTTGGAGGCATTGCAGGAGCTTCAAAGATGAATAAGATGCAGATGTACGGCAGCAGCAGGAGCTTGGGATTGCAATGCTTTTCCTCCAGAGGGGAGAGCGTGTTCAGAGAGAGGGACTCTAAGCAAGTGGCTCCGTTTTCTGAGTGAGGTCAGATTGAAACCCTGTGCAAAGGTTGGCACAGCCAGCCTCAACCCCAGATGCCCAGGATAGGGCGGGATTCTTGAGGCCAGTTTGCTTGCTGATGTACTTACCCACTGCACATGGCTGAAAAAAAAGAACAATAAATGTCTAACATTATCAGTAATGGATGGTGATGATGATGACAAAAATGATGTTAGAAAAGAGTATACAATTTTGCCCCAGCACGGTGGCTCACGCCTGTAATCCCACCACTTTGGGAGGCCAAGGTGGATGGATTACTTGAGGTCAGGAGCTTGAGACCAGACTGGCCAACATGGTAGAACCCCATCTCTACTAAAAATACAAAAATTAGCTGAGTGTGGTGGCGGGCACCTGTAATCCCAGCTACTCAGGAGGCTGAGGCAGGAGAAACGCTTGAACCCGGAAAGCAGAGGTTGCAATGAGCCGAGATCACGCCACTGCGCGGCAGCCTGGGTGACAGAGCATGACTCCGTCTCAAAAAAAAAAAAAAAAAAAAAAAAAAAGAGGGAGAGAAATGAGTATACGATTTTGGCCCAAAGCCCTGGGAACTTCAGCTCTTCCTTCCTGCCTATTGGCATTTCTGTTACACTCCGCTAGATAATAGAAAGCCAGGAGCAGAAGCTTGAGAAACATTTAAGAATCACTCAAGCAGATCTTTGGACTCCAGGCAAGACTCAACTAAATCATCCAAGAAGAGTCACCGTTATAGCAGCAGGTGAACTCAGGAGTGGTTTCGAAACCCGGGAGTGGAATAATGGCCTCTTGGGCCCTTCCCCACTTTCCCACACCTAAGTTAAGGGAAAGCCCCAGCCCAGGCTCTCAGGAGACAGTAATAACCACCAAGGGCCATATTCCCTCCTCATTAGCCTACCAGATTCACAGTAGTTAAGAGCCGGAAGGAGTCTCAGTCCAGCCCTCCCATTCTATAGATGAGAACACTGAGGCCCAAAGAGGAGAACTGACTCACCCAGGGCCACACAGCAGAGATGGGTCTCAAACTCCCACATCCTTTCATTGCACTGTGAAAACCAGAGAGAGGTGAGGGAGGGGAGAGATGTGGGGAAATTATCCACCTCCTGAGCCTGCAGAGGTCTGTGTGATCCATACTCCCTGCCTAGCTGGCTCAATATCAGGCAGATGACAGCTTCATGTGGAGGGAGACCAACCGCCCCAAGGAGGCCACACAAATGGCCATGAAGCCAAGTCAGGGTGTGCAGTTTCTAGAATGAGCCTTTCCTCTCTGCTTTGCTCCCTGAAAAGAGCAAAAGGCTCTCTCACTTCCAGGCCTGCTGGCAAATTTCTGATGAGAAATCTACTCCAGCTTCTAACTCCCAAAGATCTCCCAGGCATCTACTTGGGATAAGCTTTCCTAGCAATTTTTAAAGCCAATTAGAGAAAAATTAAGGAATTAAATAGAAAAATTTGTGTTGGTTAAGGTCATAAAATCATTCATTCACTCAACACACGTCTACAGAGTGAGGATTCAGTCACAGAGACAAGGTCTCTGATCTTAATACACCCGCAGTCCAGTAGGTAAGGTAGAAAAATGAGCAGTTATCCCAGGGACTTTCACAACTACGATGTAAGATACTGGAAGCACCAGGAGGGAGCACCCTGTGGGTGGGGCGGCCAGGGGTCTAGGGCAGCTTCCCAGAGGAACAGACATCAGACCCTGGGGCTTGGAGAGCCGCTGAAAGCCCAGAGCCCATCCTGAGAAAGATAAAATTTGATCTGTTTGCTTCCATTTTCCACTTTCTCTTCAACCCTCCTCTCCCTCCATCTGAACATACCCCATCAGCAACCCTCGTTCCTGCTCTATAGTCAGACTTTCCCATCTTCTTCCCCATTTGGGACCCTCAGCCCACACCCTCAGCCCACACCCTATCAAACATGTAGAATCAGCAGAGGTTGTGGGGAGGGGCCCCACTCACACCCAGACAGATGTGCTCTGTTCCCCGCACAGCTGTCCAGGCGGTAGCCCATCTGCGCTCACTTCCTGCCTCCCAGCTCCAGCCCCTCACACCTCCCACACAAGGGCGGGGAAGTCTGGTCCTGAGATTCATCCCAAAGCCAATGTTGAGGCGGCCACCAGCCCGGCAAAGCCCCAGACCCTGGCTCCCACCTTCCCCTCTCCTCCACAAGGAGTGGTGGACCAGGAAGGGCTTCAGCAAGGTGGAGACTTTGCCTAAGCCACTCTGGAGGACTCTGCCTTGAAGTTCAGCTTCAGTCTCTTGGCAGTTGTGGGAGCTGCCTAGCTCTGAAGTTCTCCCAGCATCATGTGTCCACATGAAACACGCCAATATCACTGATCTGATTTCATTATTTTGTCAAGATTAAAAGAAGGCTGCTTCACTCGAGCCAGCTATATCCAAGGGAAGAAAATTATATTTTCAAGAGAGTTTGAGGCACAAATCTGTCCCACCTTGATTGTTGTCTCCTTGTCAAAGTTCATGCGGCCCCCAGTTTCGATGCTGGAAGGTGGGTTCTGCATTACTGAGAGATAGTTTCTGGAAACCTGCTTGTCTCTGGGATGCTCACAGCTCCCTCCTGACTCCTGAGCAGGGAGCATCTATTCTCTAAGAATATAGGGATGGTGCAGGCAGCTGTGTGGTTCCCATGGAATGAACACTCCTTAAAGGCAGGAATTATTAACAGTGAGACTATTAATTTTTGTATCCCCTGTAGTACCCAGCCCTGTCTCTGCACCTGGTAGGCACTCGATCAATGTGCGCTGAACTAAGCTACCAGGATACTTCCCTGACCACACACCTGGGCCAAACAGGCAAGTGAGGAATCTGATTAACCTGCTCCATTTGCCCTTAGGAAACTCAACTTGGGCAATGGGGAAAAGAGGAGACATAGCAGGAATACGTCTCCAGCCTGGAGAAGGGATGGGGTGGTGAAGGAAGGAGAAATTGGACTGTAAAATTAACGGGCATCCCCAGCTAAGCCCACAGCCTTTTCTTGACTATCATGTCCTAATGCATGGGGAGTTAGGCAGAAAGATGACGACCTCTTCCCTTTTCCTAGAAACAGAAATGCCCTAGGAGTTTATGCAAATTCTGGAATCCTGCCTCTCCAGAATAATGGCATTGCCTTGGTGGGAACCAGCTGCTGCAGGCAGAAATGAGCCCCCAGAACAAGGGCTGGGGCCAATAACAGGAGCAGAGAGCTAGCCCAGACTTTCTGGTTGCAAGAGGAGATTCCCTTCCACGATGACTGATTGTAAATGAGGAGCATTTCTAGTTCACCCCACTCTCCCCACGGCATACACAGACACGCGCAGTCTTGGTATATGACTTTGGGTGAGAGGCAGTGCAGGTCCTTCTCCCAGGCTGGAAACCCGTTAACCAAGGGTGTGGATTTGGGCCTTTTGGATTGCTCCCTTAAAGTGAGCTTCCACAGGGTCTATGGCCAGGCAACCGTAGACTTAGTTTGCTTTATTTGGTAAAGTATCTAAGAAAGAGAAGTTCTTTCACAAAGGCATTCATGTCACCTTTTTTATCCATTTTACAAATCTGGCCACTATGGTTGTGACAGAGACCCTGAGATTCAGGTCCCAGCCTGAAAACACCCATCTCCTGATAAGCCTGAGCCTAATGTAACAGACAGGGAGGATGGGACCAGACAGGGTGGCTCACGCCTGTGATCCCAGCACTTTGGGAGGCCAAGGTGGGAGGACTGCTTGAGGCCAGGAGTGAGTTCGAGACCAACCTGGGAAACAGCAAGACTCCAACTCTATAAAATATAAAACTTTTTAAAAAAATTAGCCAGGCATGGTGGTGTGTGCCTGTAGTCCTAGCTACTCGGGAGGCTGAGGTAGGAGGATTGCCTGAGCCCAGCAGGCCAAGGCTGCAGTGCGCTATGATCAAACCACTGCATTCCAGCCTCAGTGCCAAAATGAGACCCTGCCTCAAAAAAGAAACAAAAAGAAAGAGAGGGTGGTTGAGTGGGTGGCTGGTGATGAGAAGAGTGGGTGACTGACAATGGGAAGGCAGGCTGATCTGCCAGCAACAGGCAGAGGCCAAGGGCCCCATCCACATCTGGGGCCTCTGAGGCAGGCTGCCTGGCAGAGGAGACTGCTTTGTTTTAGGAACAGTGATTTATGCTTCTTGTGGTTTCAGTCAAGAGCAACCCAAAATGTTCTGTAAATACAAATATATAGACGCACAACACACACACACACACACACACACACAGAGACACACACACACACACAGACACACACACACACACACACAGACACACTCCTCCTTATCCAAGTCAAAGCCTCCTGTTTCAGCAGCCCAGCAATGATTTGGGGCCTCTCTATCTACCACCGATTTAGGAGAAAGGGAAAATCCACATTGATACATTCACCTAGATTCCTCCCTTAGTTCATCAAGATAGGGAAGACCTAGGGTCTCACACGTGTTCCTGGACATCAGACCCAAGTTTCCCAAGGCAACCAGGATTTGCAGGGAAGAAGCAGAGGTTTGTTCCGACCACCCCCAAGAGTGGCAGGTTGTCTTGGGAGCCCTAGAGCTCACGGGTCTCTCCCAGGCATGGCAGCATCTCTAGGTGTCTGACTTGAGGGCCTCTTCCTCTGCTCTCCTACTCGTGGGATCTTAGTTCCGAGTGGTCACCCTTGCCAGCCCCAACCCTATCCAGAAGCACGGGGCTTGACCTTGGAGCTCCTGCAGCACGGATTCCCTGGGACAGATTTCACAACCCAGCACTGAGTCTTACCACAAGTTTCAGACAAAGAAGGTGTGTTGGAGCCGAGAGCATGCTTCTGCCCGCTGCGTGGGCGTCAAGTTCAATGCCTTCTTGTCAACACTTGAATGTGTTGAACATCACTCACAAGGGCATTCTTTAAGAAACCTATTAAGTTAATTACCCAGGCATTTTTTTCTCTCTCTCTCCCCCTATCCATGCATCTCATATAAAAAGAAATTTGGCTTTCTTCCTCTCTGAGATACTTTTGATGTAACTCTTCTCCCCTCGGCACAATAACATCTTGTTTATTTCTCTAACAGTCAGTCAGGGTGGCTGCACTGTACAGACTGACCCCTTTGCTCAGGTCTTAGTTCCGAGAGGGAGCTGAGAGAGAGTGAAGCTTGACCCTAGGGATGGGGAAGTGGCCCATCTGACCCCCTCCTTTCTAACTGCCCAGCCAGAATGCAATCACAAGGATGAGAATAGTCAAGGAAAAAAAACAAACTCCCACGGGATATTCCCTTCCTTCCCATAGAAGGTGAAACAGGAGTTACCCCAACGGGCAGATCAACAAGTACCTAAAAAGCACCAGCCATGTGCCCAGAACCATCCACCTTGATTTTGGAAGAAGAAAAAATTCTGCCCAGATAAATTTTTTCCAATTCCAGCCCCATGCACATCCAAGCCCCTAGGAAAATGAAAGCATTAATGTATCATAAAGAATCACAAACTGGCTGGGCGCGGTGGCTCACGCCTGTAATCCCAGCACTTTGGGAGGCCACAGCGGGTGGATCACAAGGTCAGGGGTTTGAGACCAGCCTGACCAAAGTGGTGAAACCCCGTCTCTACTAAAAATACAAAAATTAGCTGGGCGTGGTGGCAGGCACCTGTAATCCCAGCTACTCAGGAGGCTGAGGCAGGAGAATTGCTTGAACCCGCGAGGTGGAGGTTGCAGTGAGCCAAGATCACACCACTGCACTCCAGCCTGGGCAATGGAGCGAGACTCAGTCTCAAAAAAGAAAGAAAGGCTGGGTGCGGTGGCTCACGCCTGTAATCCCAGCACTTTGGGAGGCCGAGGCAGGCGGATCACATGAGGTCGGGAGTTCGAGACCAACCTGACCAACACGGAGAAACCCCGTCTTTACTAAAAATACAAAATTAGCCCCACATGGTGGCACATGCCTGTAATCCCAGCTACCTAGGAGGCTGAGGCAGGAGAATCGCTTGAACCTAGGAGGCAGAGGTTCCAGTGAGACAACATCGTGCCATTGCATTCCAGGCTGGGCAACAAGAGCGAAACTCCATCTCAAAAAAAAAAAAAAAAAAGAATGACAAACTGAGAATCAGGAGAGGTGGGTTGTAGATCCACACTGCTGCCCGTGACTGGTCCTATGGATGCCGTGGCCCTGAATTTGCTCCTCTGTAAAAGGCAGGGGGTGGACCTGGCTAAAGGGTGGCTGACCTCCCTTGCAGCTCATTGGTGCCTGCATAGCTGGCCGCAGCTACCCACCTGGATGGGGAATCTGCTCACAGGAAGGGAAGGAAAGGAAATGCTCTGTTCAGACAGTGAGCAAACGAGGGCCATCTCAGAGAGCTGATCCACAGGCTGTGTTTGGTGGCCGTGCCCTTGCTGGTGACACCCCTGACCAGGGAGGGAGGAGATGCAGGGCCTGGGGAGGGCATGGCTCTCCAGCTCTAGCTGGGTAGGTGGAGGCCGTGAGCCCGGGAAGACAGTTGTGCTCCTAGGCTGACATTACATCAATGGGATGTCTTGCCTACGGAGCTAAAACAAGAAGAGCTGCAGAGAGGTCTACAGAGACACGTGGAGGAAGCACCAAGTAACCAGGCCTCAGCCTCCCAATCATTGTATTATGGGAAGTCAGGGCTGCCAGCTATGATAAAGAAGGAACACACCCCACAGCTTCTTTGCCAAGACCATACATAAGCAAAAAGCAATTTTCAGAACTTTCCAGCCATCCCCACTCTCCTTCCTACTTCCAGGAAAACAAGAGCCCTGAAGCAGATGCAGAAGCTCCACTGGTGCTATGGGACACCCCTCCTGTTCCCACATCCCACACCCACCTCAGTCCCCTGACCCCAGATTGTCATCTCCCCAGTCCCAGCAGTGGAACCCCCCAAATTCTCCACAGACCCATCTGGGTACACAGAGCAAAAAGCATTGATGTGGTGAGGCCTCTCTGCAGAATCCCAGAGTTCAGAGGTACCCAAGGGGTCCTCTGGGCCAACACCCTTCCCCCAGGCAAGTCCGCACCTAAATCATCCAGGACTCGTGGAGGCCTCTCCTGTTCTCCTGGGGTGTGTAGTGGTGGCCGAGAAAAGGCCTACCCTGCATGTGGGAGCCTCGTAGCTTCTGGGGGGCTCTCTTCTATTTTTCTGGGATGCTCTTGCTTATAGGGAACCCCAAGACTACCAAAAGCTGTTCCACCCACCTCCCCACCCTCCCTCTGACTCAGGGCTGCTGACAGCCGGGTGAACTCTGAGTCACACCCCCTCCTTGTTCTCCCCTCAGACCACCCTCATCATGTGCAACCTAGTACAGAAGAATGCTGGGGAGGGGAGAAGAGCAAGTGGAGCCTAAGGACTTGACCCTGAGCAGCTGAAGGTTGGGAAATTAGGATCACAAGTCCTCAGTGCCCTCTCCCCTCAGGCATCTAGCATGCAGTTTCGCTCTGATGCAACTCTCTGCCAGGCGGGTTCTGTGACCCAGCATCCCGGAGGCTTGGGTACCTTCTGGGGCAGGAAGAGAAAGTATCTTCTTCTCTCCACACTGTAGCCACATTCCATCAATACGGACTGATGGGCTTCTGTCCCCTCACCCTGGAGGGCTCCTCTCAATGGTCCATCCAACCTCAGCCACAGGCTTGGAGCCATCATCATACCCTAGCAGCCTGAGCGCAGCCCCCTCTTGGAGAAGGGCTCCCCTTTTCTCTCCAGATCTGGGGAGATCTGTAAGCAGAGCTTGGCACAGGCTCATTGGTCTCCCTTCCTCACACCTCCCTGCCCGGGTGTGTGCCTGCACGTGTGTGCACATGCGTGTGGATGTGCCCCAGTTGCTGAAGTTGACTAAGAGTCTGAGCATTGCATAAGCCAGGGCCCAAGTCCAGGCAAGGGCCAGCCTTTCCTCCGCTCTCCACCCAGGCTGGGACGAACCTCTCCTCCAGCGCCAGGACCCACAGCTCTGTGGGAGAGCCTGCACGCGGCCCTGGGCTCCTGCTCCACAGTGCTTGTGTGAGCACACACTCACACATTCCCTGAGAAAGCCCCCGGGGCCTCTGTGGGAAGGCTTTCCGGGAGACTTTTATGGCCAAAGAGGAAGGAAGTCCATCGTTGGAACAGCCAGGGCCAGGCAGCGGGCAAACGCCGGCCAGGAGCAGAGTCAGGCTGCAGCCTTCCCACTGTGAATTCTTTAAGCCTTTTCCTAGTCTCAGGCTACTCAGCGAGGCAGCGCCAGGCTGAAAAGCAACATCCCGTAGGGTCCCCCTGCCACCCCTCAAGCCCCCCACCCCCCTGAGCGTGCACACCCATGCACACCCCACTCACCCTGCTGCTCACACTGGCTCCCCCAGCTCTGATCACAGTAGGCTCCTGCCCAAAGAAACACAAACCTTGAGGCTTGCAATAAATCATCTTCATTATTTTACTGAAGAGGCCACAGAGACCCACAGATCTGGTGACTTGCCCAAGGTCACCCAGGTTCAAGTCCAGAACCCAGTCGTCTGTGGCCTCTCTCGGGTGCTGTACAGGAGGCTGGGCACAGCAGAGACCCTGGATCTACACAGTGGCACTTGAGGAAGGGACAGAGCCTGAACAAGGGTGGGGGCACCCCCAGGGACTTCCCAGGAATCCAGCACTTATTATCACCCACAGCTCTGATGTCCACTATGGTAGTCACTAAGTGCATGTGGCTATTTCAATTTAAATTAATTCAAATTAAATAATTTCACTTGTGGTAGCCCATAATAAGTACAAAATTAATAAATAATTCCAGGTATGGTAGCTCATGCCTATAATCCCAGCACTTTGGGAGGCCAGGGCAGGAGGATCACCTAGGAGTTAAAGACCAGCCTGGGCAATGTGCTGAGACCCCCGTCTCTAAAAAAATTTTAAAATTATAAAAATTAGCTGGGTGTGGTGGTACATGCCCATAGTCCCAGCTGCTTGGGAGGCTGACATGGGAAGATCACTTGAGCCGTAATTACGCCACTGCACTCTAGCCTGGGTGACAGAACGAGAGTCAAATAATTCTTTTTACAACTCCATTCCTCCGAACTTTGATGACCACAGGCAGCTGGCAGCTACTCTATAGTACAACACAAAGAGAGGACAACTCCACCATCACAGAATGTCGCACTGGACAGCACCGATCTGGAGGGAGGCAGATTGGGGATCGAATGGTCAGAAGAAATCTGTTCTCTGATGGAAGGCTGAGGTCCTCTGTGAAGGAAAGAGGGAAGAGAGGAGGGAGGAGAGGAGGAGAGAGAGGAGGGAGAAGAGGAGGAGAGGGCGGAACAAAGGAGGGGAGGGGGAGAGGCGGGAGAGAGGAGAGAGGACAGGGAGGAAGAGGCTGGAATCGGAGAGAAGGGGAAGGCAGTGAAGGGAAGGAGAGAGGACACAGCTCTGGCTTTCTTCTCTGGCTGAGATCTGACCAAACGCGAGGAGACTAACACTCTCCCCACCGCACCCTCCATCCTAGTCCAGAAGGACCAGAGCCCAGAATCACAGACACCGCAACCAGCCAGGGGCCAAAGAGACAACACCTGGTGGCTTTCCAGACCCAAAGTGCCCAATCTGCTTCCAAATTGATCAGCCCTTGTACCCAGAGCTCTCTCTAACCCCAGAGGGGCCTCCACACCTCAGCACCTGGATTCACAGAGAGACATTCCTTGCTCTGTTCCACTGGGCCTGGGGCAGATCTAACAGGGAGGACCCTGTGGTCCTTTTCACATGTACTTCAGCAAAAATGTCTCTTGCAGGGGAAAAAAAAAGGAAGGAAGTTGAATATAGTAATATGAAAAGGCTTCTCCTGCCACGAGATGGGTGCATTTTTCAGACCAGGGGACAATGCTTTGGTTCAATTCCACAGACACATGAGCAGTCCATTTGTCACTTTCTCCCATATTTTTCTAAGCAAACATTGGAGCAGCATCATTGACCTTGGCAAAGAGCTTCGCCTATGAAGTCAGAAATACTTGAGTTAAATTCCAGTTCTGCCGCCTAATGACTTAGACAAGGCGCTGCCTCCCTGAGCCTCAGTTTCCTGCCTCGCGGGCTGTTGTGGCAGAGGGAGAGCTCATGGGTAAGGCAGGCTCTCGGGATGTGAGTTCCTCCCCTTGTTCCCCAAATACATCCTGTGTGTCTTCCTCCTGTGTTACGGGCAGGAGATGGAGAACAGGAACGGGATCCTCTCACCTTGCTCTCAGGCAGAGGAGAGGCAGAAGGACAAATGGCTGTAGTCCCAGGCAGAGTGGTGGCCACAACACAGTAGGGTGAGGGGAGGGAATGCTGGGAGAAGGAAGGCTTCACAGAGGAAAGAAGTGTGAACTGGATTGGAAAGATAAAGAGAATCAGAGTAGTACACTTGAGACTGAGATCATCCATGAGCCAAGCTCACAAGGAACTTCATCAACTCTTCTCAGTTGAGCTAGACAGGGGCTCTGGAGGTCTCAGCCTGGGATCCGTGAAACTTTTAGCCATGGGGCCCCAGCCTCTGCCCCTGCCCTGAATCACCAGGGCTACCCCACATCCCTGCAGGGCTCACTCCCCCAATCCTCTGCGGGACCCAAGG
Organism: Homo sapiens; assembly: GCF_000001405.40. Classification (NCBI taxonomy): domain Eukaryota; kingdom Metazoa; phylum Chordata; class Mammalia; order Primates; family Hominidae; genus Homo; species Homo sapiens. The sequence goes on along the minus strand of NC_000008.11, from coordinate 22,745,325 downwards.
CTGGGGACATGGTGACTCATCACACCACTCTCAGTGACACCTCCCCACCACAGTGCACAGGGTCCCCTAAGTCGAGAGGGCACTGGAGAATGTGGCCTGTCCCTGTCTCAAAAGCTTTCTGCCCCCAGGCCCGGGCATAACCCAGGAGAGAGCTGGGAAGATCTAGACGGGCTTTTCCATCCAACTTGAGCAAGTCCGAAGTCTCCAGAGAAATTCCAGCAAAGGGAAAAAAATATTCCCTTCCCTTCAGAATCAATTTTCTGAACACAGCCCCTCTTTGTTCTGAGGTGTAGACAAAAGAACATTAGACTATGAATCAGGAGACTTAGATCACGGGCCAGGACACCCGCATTCCATTTGCTGATCTGCTGCCGATTGGAACTCCCATCTCCGGCAAGTCATTAACCTCTCCAGAGCTTGTGTCCCCATCTGCAAACGCTACCCTCTCTGCCTCCTGGTGAAGGAGGATTAAGTGATACAGCAGTGCACAAGGGCCTGAAACCCCTAGAGTGGAGAGTGCTGGATACGGGTCCAGGACTGCTGTCACTGTCTAACAACCATGGCCCAACCCCCAAGTGACTCACCTGGCCTGTTTGCTCCCCACTCTCCCCATCCAAGGATGTAGGAGCTGTGCCTCTCTAAATGTTCCTCTTCTTCTGTCGTGCCCCCGTAGGAGGCTAAGCGTGACCTGAGACAGTGCATCGTCTGTTCTGCATTGTAAGAAGGCGATGTCTGCAAGAAGAGAGGACATGAAAAGGGGAGCTTGGTTAGGGGCACGAGGAACCTGCATGCGTGGGCTCCTCTGCCCTCCACTGACCCCAATTTTCGGCAGATGGCCTGGAGGCAGGGCTGGGCCCGCATCTGGCTGGGAACCGAGGCAGCAGGCTGACTCATACATGAGTCTTTTTCCACCGGCAGACCCTGTCATGGTGGCCTGTGGCTCCTGTCCAGGCTCTGACCGGAAGACCACAGTTAGGCAGTTCTAGAACTCAGGAGAAAACAGGTGAGTCTATCTCTGCATCCTCAAGGGAATTAGGGAGTCTGATTCTGCTCATCCCACCTCCCTCAGGTGCTACCAGTCACCAAGACTCCCTGGGCATCCCCCAGGGGCTTGTCTATGGCAAGAAGATTGCATGTTAATTTCCACTACACACTTTATCCCAAGTGATTTTATGTTCCCCTGACCAATGTCTACAATCAAATTGGGAGAGGGAGGCAGAATTCAAAGAACAACTTGAGTCTCTCAGGGAGCTGATCCTGGGAACACAGGGCAAGTATCTCTTTAAAAATACTCCCTGCACAGCAGGTCACACTGGCCTGCAGCCACAACCCCCAGGCTGTGATCTCACCAAGCTCCGAGAAGCCAAACAGGGTCAGGCTTGGCTGGTCCCCGAGTGAGCAGGGAGACCTCACAAGCAAAACACAGGTGTTACTGGTGATTCAGCGGGCCAGCCCCACCCTCCACGGAGTCTAGTTCTGCTCAGGTGTTGGAATTGCAACTGGGATGATTCAGGGAGCTCCTATCAGTACCTGGGCAGAGGAAAGGGGCGTGGTGCTGCCGGCAGGTGCTGAATGCTCTTTCTGGCCTCCATGTGTGACAAGTGTTGACACTCTTAAGAATCAGGGTGGATGCACTTCCTCCCTCCCTGTCCCCTGCCCATTTCCTAAGGCTGGTTGTTGTCAGCCATTGACCTAAATTCCTCACTTTGTCTCAACCAGATAAGGGATGGAGGAGGAAAAGGCAGCTCCGGAGGGGCTTCAGGCTCAGGAACCATTTAGCCCCCACTCCAAACAGCTGTGGTCTGGGGCTGCCATCAGGCTCCTGGCTCAGCCCCCAGGATGGTCCCTTCTGGTTTGGGAACAAGTAAGGATGAAACGGGTCCATAAAATGAGGGCCGAGGGCCGTCATTAGCCTGTTTTATGAGTACACAGATATTCATTACACCTCAACCCCGTCATTAGAGGCTCCAGCAAGAGCTCAGGCCCCTTCTTTATTACAGTAGAAACTGAGGGGGTTTCTCCCCCAAAGGGAGCTCTGCTTCTGCTTCTGGGAAGGAGGTCCTGCCCAGGAGGTCAGTAGCCTCCACTCTCAGGCAGGCCTCACTCTCACTGCCCTTGCTCACTCCCCAGCCCCAGCAGCTGGGCAGCCCAAGGGGAGGTCAGGTAGCCCAAGGAAGCACTGATAAGGGCCTGGGGCTTCTTGGGGACAGGAGGCTGGCATAAGAGGCCTGGGCACTGGAGTCTGGCATAAGAGAGCATTGGCTCCCCAGCACACAGCCCTTCACCGCCTGCCCCAACCAAGCACCAGTAGCTGGCAGAGAGTCTATGCAGCCTCCTCCAGAAAGCCCTCCCTGTTCCCCCAAGGCTCTCTGCGCTTCCTCTTCCTAGCGTTCATCACAGCTGTAATGATCTCTTGACTCTTGTGTCCTGCCAGACTGCAAGCCGCCCCATACAGGGACACCGCACTTGGCACCTAGCAGGAGCTCCATAGAGGTGGGCTGAGTTGACATCAGCCAGGATCTAGGGTAGGATGTATGAACCGGGGTGGAAAAAGGGGACTCTCTCGTAGCCTCAACTCCTCTCTCTCTCTGCCTTTTTCCACAAGGCGATGATCAGGTGGCCTGGCTGCTTTCTCAAGGCCACAGTTGGCGAGTGACTGAAAAATAAATCCTCTGCCACTGTCTAGGCAGCACCCCCTTACCTCCTAAATTTAATCCCTTCACATGAATCCCACTGAGCAGCTAGACAGCACTCCCCTTGTCATCATCCCCCTTCTGTCCCCAGAGGGGTGACCACATCACTATAGGAAACACCCAGTGACAAAGTCCAGCAGGGGCAAGCCCACACTTCCAGGGCCAGTCCCAAGAGCCTCTCATGCTTGACAGGACCACAGGCCGATGGGGGCAGAGGAGGGGAGGGGTCTCACCCTCTTTCCCATTAGGGCTGGCAGCGCCACTGGTAATAGGTTGGAGCCCACCCCGCTGGTGCAGGCCATCGAGGCTGAATGGAGCGTAGCCAGACCCCACAGCAAGGACCAGGGGCGCAAGAGCTGGCAGATTAATCAGCTGTCGTTTGCATTCATTAAAGGCCCCTTGCTTGTGTGCACAGCAGCCTCAGATGCCAGGGCAATTAACTGCTCACAGCAAAAAGTTCTAGGGAGAAGTTTCTCTTAGCTTCCCATGGCACAGCCTAGGGGTGGGCCTGGTGTCCTAGAATCCCAGACTCCTCAGAGGAAGGCCTCTGAAGGCCTAGCTTCGAGGGTGAGGCCCTGCCCTGGACCTAGAGCACGGTGGGCTTTGATTGGAAGGAGGCAGGGGAGCCCCAGATAGGGAGGCCTGGGGAGCCAGCAGCTGTCCCTTGATCCTCTTTGGGTCCCTCCCTCTGCTGTGACCCTGTCCCCTTTCCTCCCATCTCCTCGTGTCCCTGCGCACTGTCACCAGGAACAGCTGGGCCCTTGTCATGGTTGTGCAAAGACTCATTTCAACATACTCTGAAACAGGCGATGTTCCCCATGGGGACTGGAAGCCAAGCAGTATGGGCTGCCCCCAACCCCGCTCTCCTGCCTGCCGGGGGGACGGTGGCGCTGGCTTCCAAGACAGTCAGGGTTCCTCCTCTGCACACAAACCTTCCCACCACCTGTGGGGCTCAGCTGAGCGGCCCTTAACAGACAGCCACCCACTGATGGGGTGGCACAGTGACCCAGGTTCCGCTGGGTCACTTGCCTGAGAGAGCAGTGGGCCTCCCTTCCTCTCCCTGGGGCTCTGTCAGTACCCAAAGCATTCCCGGGACATGGGACCAACTGTGAGCTCCAGGTGGAGTTCACTGAGCACAGGCTCAGGGTTTTTTTGCTATGATTGTCAAACTTCCCGGATTGGCATTTGCCTGCTGAGCACTGTAAAAAGTGCCACAACAGAATGAGAACAAGCCCTGGGCCTGGCAGACAGTGGCAGGGCCTTGGACCCCAGCAGGCCCTGGTGGGCCACATTCACTCTTCCGTTGGCTCAGACAAATGAATCTGGGTTGACGAAGGCAGGCAGGGACACGAAGGCCCACCACACAGGCCTTGGCATGACCAAGGCACGTGAGAACGGCAGCTCAGCAGAGATGGCAGCTGGCTTGGGCACCTCGGAGGAGGGAGACCCGAGGAAGTTGCCTGACTGCTGGCCTCCTGCTTGGGACAGGGCCCTAGAGTTGATCCTGACCTGCACACCGGGGCTGCCCCGCACCCTCATCTGGTCTATAGGCAACACGGAAGAACCACTCTTCTCTCGCCTCTTCCATCCCATCTGTCTCTTCCCAGTCCCTGAGGTCCCTGCATGCCTGGAGGACAAGCAACCCTCCCTCCTCACGTAGGGTAGGTGGGGGGAGCATGATCTGGGGGAAAGGAGCTAACAAACACCCTTGTGTGCCCAGCCCTTTCCCTTCTCCCCAGGAACTTCAAGGCTCAGAATAGCACACCCAGAGTCACTAACTTGGGGCCACTTTCCATGGCTCTAAGCAGGGGTGAAGGGAAAGGGCTGTGCCTCCCTCCTTCTCAGGTCTGGCCCAGCCCCTCTGAACACCCAGGAACCCAACCTGTCTGAAGGGTCTGACTTGAGAGCTGGGGCCACAGGGGGAAGGGTGAGCCCCAGGGGAGGGGGTCTCCAGAAGGAACAGGAAAGGAGGTACCATCAGGAACCGGGGCTCAGATGGTTCCCACCACAGCTGCCACTACAGATCTGATGAGTGGTCCCCTTCCCTGGCCCAGAGACCCCAGGGGAATTGGGCAGGAAGGTTCGGAGAGCAGGAAGCTGCTGTGGTGGTGCTGAGGGGCTTCACAGACTTTAGTGTGCGTAGAAGTCGCCTCAGGTTCTTGTTAAGAGGAAGCTTCTGGTTCACTGGGTCTAGGGTTGAGCCTGAGAGAGATTCTGCATTTCTGATAAGCTCCCAGGGCACACTGCTGCTGCTCTGAGGGGCTGGGGGACTGGGTCCAAGTTCACCATCAGTCCCTCGGAAAAGAGCAAGCCGTGATTTGAATAGACTTAGAATGTTTCTGCTTCTTGTCACACTTTCTAATGAGCACAGGGTTTCTTAGAGCTTCCAAATCTCGCCAGCATCTTTTCTTGCTAGAAATTCCTGACCTTTCTTCCAGAGTCCCTCTGTCTCTTTTTCCTTCCATCCATCCTTCCTTCCTTTCTTCCTTTCTGTTCACAAAGCAGCCCCAGGCCTGGGCCCATTGGTGGGGAGGGAGAGAAGAGGCTCCAAAGGGTAGATTATGCTTTCTCTTCCCACCAGAGCCAAGTATGGAAACCTAAAATAGGGCAAAGGAGGGAGACAAAGCAGAGAACAGAACGAGGAATCTGACTCCCACCTGCTGCTACCAGCCTTCCCCAAAGAGCCACAGTCGAGGCTCTTGGCTGTTGGGCACCCCCTCCCCCTCCATCCCCCCAGCCCAGCCTTTGTGGCCTGGGTTCCCAAGGACACCTCATCTCATAGGTGGCACATGAGGAGAGCAGAGTAAGCCAAGACAGTACCCATCTTCTCGTTGGCAGTAGAGAACAGGATGGGTCAGGGTCAGGGGCTGAGGGGCCATTCTTACCCAGACAGAGGGGAGACGGGAGGACTGCTAGGGCCGGAGCTCGGGGAGACTGCTGAGCCACTCTCCAGAACTGTGGGGAGGGGGGCATCAGTCAGCAGTCACAGCCACTCGGGATTCCAGGACATGGGGTTCCAGCTCACTCATAAGCCCTGGGGCACCACTCCCCAAGCCAGATGGATGCTAGGGGGCTGCTGGGCTGCCTCTGTCCAGCCGGAGTTAGAGAGCAAAGGTCTGGTCAGGTCACTTCCTCCCAGTGTATTGGTCCCCTCGCTTCCTCCTCCTCTCCCTCTTGGAGGTGCAGCCACCCAGCCGGAAAGACTGGGTGCCGGATGAGAGATGGGGAGCGATAAGAGTCGGGCTGAGGAGTTAGCCCTACAGCTCTCTTCTCTCCAGTTGAGTTGCAGTTTCTCAAGCCCTGTTTGTCTTAGGGATTAACTGCATCCATTTCCTAATTGTTCTGCTGCGGCAGGGAGGGCAAGGTGACCTGCAGCCTCCTACATGCAGCACGGGAGGAGGGCAGCACCTGGGGTGCCCCCCACCCCATCCCACCCTGCCTCTTGGTCGACTGCCTCCTCTCCCACCTCTGCTCGGATACAGCCCAGCCCCATTGGCTCTCAGCCCCCTGGGTGGGTAACAGAGCAGCTTAGGTCTCACTCACAGACCTCAGTGCTAATCAGTTGTCTGTTTGTCCTGGCCCCCTGCCAGGGGCCTGGAGATTCCCACACCCTCTTTTCCTAATTGCATGGTCCCAGCTTCAGCCTGGCCACCAACCCCTTCCCAAATGCCCCCTTCTTCTGGTCCTCCCCACCATGCCCAGCCCCAGGCATACCCAGTGAAAGGCAGTCTAGGAGAGGAGTGCGTGAGTACATGTGAGTGTGTGTGAGCATGTGTGTGCATGTGAGTGTCTGTGCATGTGGATATATGAGCATGTATGTGAGCTTGTGCCTCTGTGCATGTGTGACAGCATGTGTGTGAGTGAGCATGTGTGAACATGCATGTGTGGGTGTGTGAGCATACTACAAGTATGTGAGTGTGTGAACGTATGTATATGTGAGAGTGTGGATGTGAGCATGTGCCTTGTGAGTATATCACGAGTGTGCAAGTGTGTGTGTGTGACTTGTGCTCTCCCATCCCTGGCCCTCTCGGACCCAGCCTGAGGTTGCCCCTAGGCCCCCTTGGCCTCATTCTGGTCCCAGCTCCAGCTTCTCCCATCTCACACCCTGCCACTCCCATTCCCACCAGTTCTGGAAAATTCTTCCCACTGCTGCGCTTCCCTTGCTCCCATCACCGAGCAGTTTCTGGCCAAGTTTCCACTTGATGGCAGAGCCAGAGGCATCCTACTTGCTCTCCAACCCAGGATCCTCTGTCTGACCCCCAAGGCCAGACCCCCGCTCCAGAGCCCCCACCTCCTGGACAACACCTCTGACTCGCTCTCCTGAGCCGAGCCCGCCTGTGTCTGTCTGTGGGATCATGTGTCTTCAAGGGATGGAGGGAAAGAGGAAGGAGTGAGCAGCGAGAGAAGGAAGGAGGCCAGGCTCAGATGGTGTCATTAGGAGCTATTAATGCCCCTCATCAAGGGTTATTAATAAACATGATGTGCCACTCGCTCTGCGCACCCTGGCTGAGTATAGGCCCAGCGGGGCAGGCCCAACATTCACAGCTGAGTAACCTCCAAGCCCACGGCGCAGCCATCAGCCTCAGGAGGCTGGCCCTGCCAGGAGACTTCGCAGGATGGGCTCCCGGGGCTCCAAGGGTGGACGGAGGCAGCATCCCCATCCTCAGCCCCTACGCCGTCTACTCCCCGGCAACCACCGAGCCTTTCCCTCCAGGGTCCCGCCGGGAGCTCAGCCTAGTAATGACCCTTACACTTGGACGGCGCTGCGGGACTTCAGAATATTCCATTTCCTAATTGCACCTTCACAACAGCTCTGTGAAGAAACCAGGGCAGGTATCGTTATCATCGCCACTTTATAGGTACGGAAACTCAGACGCTGTGAAATTAAGTGTCTTGCTCAAAGTCATGTAGCTGATTGGTAATGACATTGGACTGAAGCCCAGGCTGCCCTGCAGGAGAATGGCTGTGTTAGATGCTAAGTTGCTCATTGACTGAGGCTGCTTTAACTGGACGGCTCCATTTCCCTTGTTCTTGTGGCTGCCAGAAATCAGACCACAAAGCAGGGCAGCAAGCCTTTGCTCTCCAAGGCGGGGGGAGTGGGGGGATCCTGCACCTTAGCGGGGAATTTCCTGGAGGGCGGGGATCTGAGTGAACTAACTCACGTAAAGACCATGGCGAGATGCCTGCGCACCACGGGCACTCCGCAAGAGGTGGGTCCCCCTTCTTTGCCTGATGGCCACGACATAAACATTCAATTATTGGCCTCTAAGGAGGCTGGGGCAGGTGGAAGCCTGAATGGCTCATTCTTTTTATTTGCTTTTTTTTTTTTTTTTTTTTTGAGACGGAGTCTCAACTCTATTGCCCACGCTGGAGTGCAGTGGCTCAATCTGATCTCACTGCAACCTCTGGCTTCCGGGTTCAAGCGATTCTCCTGCCTCAGCCTCCCGAGTAACTGGGACTACAGGCGCCTGCCACCACGCCTTGCTAATTTTTGTATTTTTAATAGAGACCGGGTTTTGCCAAGTTGGCCAGGCTGGTCTCGAACTCCTGACCTCAAGTGATCCGCCCGCCTCGGCCTCCCAAAGTGCTGCAATTACAGGCGTGAGCCACCATGCCCGGCCTTTATTTGCTTTTCAGCTTTGCGGTCTCATGCTGTAGTTGGGTGCAAAACTGGCATCCACAATGACAACTACAATGGTATTTAAAATCACATAAGAAGACAAGAACTAGTATTCTAATAAGATGGCTATCCAAAATAGGTAAGAGAAAAGGAGTTGGGGAGCTAAAAATATAAGATTTGAGATATCAGGGAAATGTTTTTATAAGGAATACCCAATTCCCTATATGACTTCAGATAAATGAGGCGTCCCGGCAACCTGAGGTTGATATCAAAAGCTATTTTTGTTCTGAGTAGCTAGAAAGGGCAGTCTTTAGTTTAAAGTGATATCAGTGCATAGTAATCACATTTAGCAACAAACTCCTGATATTTGCTTTCAACTTAATATTTCTGCCTACTTTTTTTATTTTTGAGACCGAGTCACTCTGTCACCCAAGCTGGAATGCAGTGGTGCAACAATATAGCTCACTACAGCCTCGAATTCCCAGCTGAAGCAATCCTCCCACTTCAGCCTCCCTAGTAGCCAGGACTACAGGAACACACCACCTCGTCTGGTTAATTTTTTTAATATTTTGTAGAAATGGGGTCTCACTATGCTGGCCAGGCTGCTCTGCAACTCCTGGCCCTAAGCAATCCTCCTGCCTCAGCCTCCCAAACTGCTGGGATTACAGGCATGAGACAACGCACCCCCACTCTTGTCTACTTCTAAGAAGAACAGGTTTAATAAGACTATATATTGTGTTCTTTATTTCTTTCCTTCTTCTTAACCCCACCCCGGAACCCCATCCAGAGAATGAGTGACCCATGACAGGCAAGAGTCAAAAGGAGGTGGCTCCACAATTTCCTGTGGCTCAGCCAGCTCTCTGAGTGTCAGGGACTGAAAGTAACTTGGGCAAGTTTCGCCAAGCAGGAGTTCCCCGAGGGCAGACAGTTGGGAGTCCCAGCCAGTACAGGCCCCAGAGGCACCAGGGGCTCGAAGCTGCCATCTGTGTGACAAGAAACTTTGGAACCAAAATGCAAAGAAAAGAAGGATGTTCTCAGGGCAATTGTCTCTATGTGGTAGGATCCAGGGAATGCTTTTTCTTTCTAGTGCTTTTCTGTGTTTTACAATTTTTCTACAAGGAACATGTAGCCCTTTTATTACCTGAAACAAAAATTACTGTTTGTAAAAGGGAGGTGTTTGGGTTTGGGGGTCCAAGAGTTACCTGCTCTGAGTGAGGCCATCGATGACAAAATTCAGCAGCATCCTGCTCTGACCTGCCACGTGGGCAGTGTCCCCCAGCTGGGGCCCACCCTCCTCCTCTCTTGACAGGGAAGGCAGCTCAGCCAACCAACTCTGGTGGCCCTCCTGGGACACAGTTACTGATCATTTGGAGAAGAGAAGAAGCCTTGCCTGGGATCTGTGGACCCAGGGTTTAGGTTGCTGAGAGCTTTGAGTCTCAGAAATCAGAGGCACTGCCTACCATTCCAGTCTTATCCCCATCCTGCATTTCTAGCCTTCTCTTGAGATTCTTGAAGACTCACATGCTGGTTCTGGCTTCAACGGACACCCAAGTCATTTGAAATCTTCCCATGTCTCATGCACACATTTATACATTGCTTAGGCAGCTTTCTCAACCTAAGAGAAATCTCCTTTATCTTGTCTACTGGAGAACTGAAAAACTCCTATATATCCTTCAAGGCCCCATATCTAGCCTCCTTTCAATAACTTTCTCTGATCACTACCCCCAAGCAGTTATCTCTTCCTTCATCTCTGCTCCCCCCAGCATGGCCTCTAGGCCTCAATTATTTAAGCCTGTAATTATTATTTCTTTGTGATCTATCTGTTCTAGCAGATCAGAGGCTCCTTATACCATGACCTGTGTCTTAATTAAATTTCTATCTCCAACACAGGGCCTCTCATTCATTCATTCATCTACCCATCTCACCAGCTACCATTCCTCAGGGGCAGCTTTGTGCTAGATACTATCACACACACACAGCTGCAAGACGGTGTGACATTTTTGGCAATCGCACGACCTAGAACAAAGGGCCTGGACAGCCTGTACTTTTCAAGCCTCAGATGGCCTGGGCCTTGGGAAATCTCGTCTCTTAACCCAGTGTCATGGAGGGTGGTGACGCTCTGGGTGAAGCTCCTCCCATCCTGGGTAAACTCCTTACTCCTAGAAGCAAATCATTCTCCCACAACCGCACATTGATACGTGGCTTAGACAGCTTTCTCAGCTTAAGCTGCCCTTCCCCTCCCTTGTCTTATCCACTGGAGAACTGAAAAGCTCCTACACATCCCTCAAGGCCCCAAAATCTAGCCTCCTTTCAATAGTGCCCACCCAACTTTGGCAGCCGGAGATCCAGAGAAGTAACCAATTCCAGATTTGAAGCCAAACTAGGAATCAAAACCCAGGAGTCCCATTGCCAGACTGTGCCAAGATACCAGGATCTGCCATGCACCCATTGGCATCTCCTAAGATGATATTCACCAAGCTGTCCCCACTGCCCATGAAGGTGCCAGGAAAAGGCCTACCAAGTCTTTGATATGGACATTTCTGGAGGGAAACTGGTCCACAAAATAATTGGCCATCCTACACCCTGGAGTCTAGAAGTACTCAGCTCCCAGGAGGGCTCAGATCTGCGCCTCCTTCTTCCACTTCCCACGGGCTTCATTCCACCCACCTCAGTGGCCATCCCTCCTCTCCCCAACCCTAGGGCAAAAGAGAAGGCCATTGGGGTTAATTGACTGGAAGCCTCTCCCTGGCAGCAGGCAGTAGTCTCCAGAGCTGGGTCTTCTCTAGGCTGGCGTTAGGCGGCCCCTGGGGACCTCAGAGCCTGGGAGCTGTCAGTGCCTTCCGCTCACTTACCCTTTGTTAATTGCCGAATACACAGATTGCTGGGTAGCGCTTTCCAGTCCTGTGCCTTTTCCTGGATCCTTTGCCACTTGGCAGCCTGCAGGCAGCTGTGCAAAACAGCAAGGAGCTTTCTTGTTTGGTGCCAGTGTCAGAGAGCTTGGAACTCTGTTTTCATTTTCCCTTTTTTTCTCATTTCTTCCTTCCCACCCTCAAGTGCTCTGTTTTGCTCATTTCTCCCTCTACTCTCCCTTATCTCCATGACACCTTTCTGAGCCTCACCTTTCAAGTTAGGGACTCTTCTGATGCCTGTCCCCCCATCCCCACCCTCCCCAATTCCCCCATCCCCACCCTCCCCAATTCCCCCATCCCCACCCTCCCCAAACCCCCCATCCCCACCCCTACATTTCACCCAGAGATCAAAAAGCAAAACTTCCCACTCTGACCGGGGTTTGCACCCAGGCAGAAGATTGAATCCTCCTGTGCAAATGGGAAGAGGTGGGTAACGAGATTAAGTCCTCTCCCTCACTCAAGGATATGTGCGACTGACCCTTTGCTCTGAGGCACCACGAGCCTGAGTATCTGGGGCCTTCACAAACACCCAGGTGGGTGGGCCGCTGCCTACAGGTAATTGAAGGGGAATGAGGGAACTGGGCCAGCATCCCTGCTGGGACCAGCAGTGAGTCAGACCCCTTCCCCACACTCCAGACCTACCAAATCCAGCCAAAGAGCCTTTACCTAAGGGGTTCCCCAGGTGAGGGAGGAGTGTCGCTGGACCCTCAAGTCTATGAAAGACCTCAGAAAATGCAGCTCTCTGTCCCTACGGGGACACCCAAAGGATAGAGGTTGTTAAGTAGGGATGGCTCAAGTTGCAAGGGCTGGGCACTGGGCCAGGGCGCCCACGGACTTGGACTATACCCACTGTGTGCCGAGCGTCTCATAGGTCACAAAGATGGGTAGGGTGTAGTCCCCACCCTCGAGGAGCTGAAGCTTCTGTGGTTTCTCTCCTGTCCAATGGGGCTAAAGATCTCTGCCCTTCCTCTGAATGGGATGTTGTGAGATCAACCAGTTGGATGGTTGCCTGGAGAATAAAGCTGAAAGCCTGTTACAAATGCAAGGCAATAGCGGTGGGGATAGACCCCTGGCTTCCAGCACCGTGCTCTTTACCTGACCCAGACGGGACAAGTCTGGGAAGACAGTCTGCATCACCCTGGACTGAGAATGGGGTTGCTATGACTCTCAGTCAAGCCACAACTTTCCCTGAGTATCTCGCTTGCAAGTTCCAGGCTAGCTTGCCAGAGAAGCAGTGGGATCTGAGGTGGGAGAGAGCTGGAAAGGAAATCTCATGTTCTAGGAACCCAGAAGCACCTCCAAAGTGTCCACAGTGTTGAGCCCTCCTCTCTGCAATTAGAATAATTTGCACCTAGTCCTGTGCCAAGCAGTCATGCATAAACCCAGTACCCTACACTCACATACATGTGCACATGCATGCACATACACACATGTGCATACACACACACACACACACACACACACACACAAATGGGGCCAGCTTCTAGGAAAAAGGAGTGACTACTATTCTTTTTCTTTTCATTTCTTTAAATTTTATTTTATTTAAGTTCCGGGGTACATGTGCAGGATGTGCAGGTTTGTTACACAGGTAAAGTGTGCCATGGTGGTTTGCTGCACCTATAGACCCATAACCTAGGTATTAAGTTCCGTGTGCGTTAGCTATTTATCCTGATGTTCTCCCTCCCCACGCCCCCACCATGGGCCCTCCAGTTGTGTGTGTTGTTCCCCTCCCTGTGTCCATGTGTTCTCATTGTTCAGCTCCCACTTATAAGTGAGAACATGTGATGACTACTATTTTTCTTATACCCTGAGCATTTAAGGGTCCTTCTAAGAAATTCACCTCCTCCTCCCTTCCCTTGCTAGGAGAGTCATGGGTATTTTAGACTCCCCATCTCCACAGGATGTTGATGAGGAAGAATTGCCTTCCCCGGGCCCTCCAGTCCCAAACTTAGAAGGCCCAGAATGTCCTCCTAGGCACACTACCCAAATACCTCGGTGTTCCTGGTCTGCTCTCCTGAAAAACCCATCCTGGGCTTTTCAGCGTTCTCGAGGATGAGAAACTGAACTACATCTATGTTGTCTGTAATTTCTATAATTACTGTTCACCCTTAAACAATGAGGGGGTATGGGGCTGGGTGCGGTGGCTCACGCCTGTAATCCCAGCACTTTGGGAAGCCGAGGCGGGCGGATCACGAGATCAGGAGATCAAGACCATCCTGGCTAACACGGTGAAACCCCGTCTCTACTAAAAATAAAAAAATTAAAAAAAAAAAAAAAATTAGCCGGGCGCCATGGCAGGCACCTGTAGTCCCAGCTACTCGGGAGGCTGAGGCAGGAGAATGGCATGAACCCGGGAGGCAGAGGTTGCAGTGAGCCGAGATCGTGCCACTGCACTCCAGCCTGGGCGACAGAGCGAGACTCCGTCTCAAAAATAAATAAATAAATAAATAGATAGATAGATAAATAAATAAATAAATAAATAAATAAAACAATGAGGGCGTATGGGTGCCACCCCCAACAAAGTCAAAAATCCAACTACAACTTTGGACTCTCCCCAAATTTAACTACTAATAGCCTACTGTTGACGGGAAGCCAATAACATAAACAGTCAATTAACATGTTTTGTATGTTATATGTATTCTATACTGTACTCTTACAATGAAGTAAGCCAAAGAAAAGAAAATGGTATTAAGAAAATCCTAAGGAAGAGGAAATATACTTCCTATTTGTTAAGTGGAAGTGGATCATCATAAAGGTCTCCATCCTCATCATCTTCACATTGAATGGGCTGAGGAGGAGGAGGAAGAAGAGAAGGGGTTGGTCTTGCTGTCTTGGGGTGGCAGAGGCAGAAGAGGTGGAAGAGGTGGAGGAGGTGCAACAGGAGGCGGGAGAGGCAGGCACACTCAGTGTAACTTTTGTCGAAAAAACATCTGTTTATAGGTGGACACAAATCAAACCCATGTTGTTCAAAGATCAACTATATTTCTTCTTTTTAACCTTAGCATTTAAACGAGTTCCTTTTGAAAATGTCAGCCTGTCTTAGCTATAGGAAGGGAAAGGAGATTTGGTCTGTGCTCAGCCCATCTTAGAGAGGCAAGAGCACATCTGGAGTCTGGGCTGGGGGAGGCAGCAGGGTCAAAGTGAGGAGGCCGAAGGTGTGAGGGAGCTCTTACCAGACCCTGCAGGTTGGGCCATAAACCTTCCCTCATCGGTCAGTCCTGGAGGGGCTTAAATTTCTACCATAGAATCAATACCTGTTAGGGGCCTTCAGAGACTAAATTCTAAACGGTGAGAAAGCCCAACTTTCAGCCTCCTTCAGGGTCTCCTTCCAAAGCCGATCTCTTCTCAGACTCGACAGGAGTGGTGTCTGTGTTCCTCAAATGCTGGGCTGGTACCCCCTCCTCCCAGGGCACTTTCCTAGCCCAGCAACCCTGAGCAGTGCTCAAAACTACAGGTTTCTCCCTCTTACCTCCTGAAACTTCCTTGAATCTCATCCATCCCCGGGCAGTTTCAGCTTTCTAGGGTGATCGCAGGCTAGAAGTGACATTCTAATCCATATATTTGTTTTGAGACAGTGTCTCACTCTGTCATCCAGGCTGAAGTGCGGTGGCACCATCATGGCTCAGGATCACCTCCCTGGGCTCAGGTGATCCTCCCAGCTCAGTCCCCTGAATAGCTGAGACTACAGGCATGGGCCATCATGCCCAGATAATTTTTGCATTTTTTGTAGAGACGAGGTTTTGCTATGTTGCCTAAACTGTTCGGTCTCAAACTCCTTGGCTCAAGCAATCCACCCGCCTCAGCCTCCCAAAGTGCTGGGATTACAGGTGTGAGCTGTTGCACTTGGCCATCATGAAGATATTTTAGAAGAGCTAAAATCGGGTGGGAGGGCCCCCATTTTCACCGCAGCTCCAGCCCTCCAGATAATATCTCCGTATTTTAATCATGGTCTTTGGAAAATGATGCCTCCCATAGAACTGATGGGATTGTCATGATGTCACAGAAAGAGCACAGGATGGCACTGAGGTCGAAAGGCATGAGACCTTGAGTTAGCTGATCTCGAAGGGCCTGGGGTCTAAGGCCTCATCCTCCTTGAACATTCTGGATTTTCCCTCTCTGGAGCCCAACTCTCTCACCTTTTAGAATTTAGTTTCCTAAAGCCCCTACCAGGTGTTGATTCTATGGTAGAAATTGTAGCCCCTCCAGGACTGACCAATGAGGAAAGGTTTATGGCCAAAGAGAACTTAGGCAATTCTCAAGACAATCCGAGTAAATCACAGCTTCTGATTTACTCCTCCTCCACCCTCCTCCACCAGGTCCTCCCCCGTTCTTTCTGCCAGTGAGGACCAGCACCTGTCCGTGGGATCAGCTCCAGGGGGGACCTGAACAGTCCATTTGCCATCAGTGCCCCAGTCAAGCACAGGATCTGCTGGGTGGCTAGGAAGGGCCAGTGGCTTGCCTCAGCAAACCCAACGTAAGGATTTGCAGAATCTTTGCCTATGCTGGCCCCGGTTGATAAGAAAAGCTCCCCAGAGTGAAAGGATGAAGAAAGGGAGACTTCCCACCCCATCAAGGCTCCAGATCAGCCTTTCCACCCACTGCAGCTCTGCACAAACCAGCTCCCTGATCTGACTGGCCCTGGCCCCCACCCTTGCCTGCTCCCTTGCCTCACTCTGGGTGGGACCCAAGCCTGGGGGGAATTGAAAAGAAACAGCCAGCTTAGGTTGCTATTGTTTTGTTTAAACAACCGCTGGCTGGGCTGACTTGGAAAGGAATAAGGGGAGGCTGAGGAGCTCAGGGCAGACCAGGCTGGGCAGCCCTTCCCTGCGCTCAGCCCTAGAACTCTCCATCTTGCTCGGGTGGCAGAAGAGCTCTGTAGGGAGAGTGGCTGCTAGGCATCTGTCAAGGCCTTCCCTCCTCTCCTGGAAGAGATGGGCGGCAAGGAGACAGGCTTCCATTCTCCAATCCCTTATCCTTGTCAGGCCACAGCCCTTTGGCCACACCTGGGCCTGGATAATGCCAGCCCTGGATAAAGCCAGGCCCAAAATGCGGGGAGTTGGGGGACTGTGCTGAGAGGGGAGCGAGACAGAGCTGGAGTGTGCATCACCATATGGGTGGGACCTGATGTTGAAGGCTGCCCAGATCCTCCTGAGCAGAAAAGAACAGGATCAGGGAGAGTAGAAGGAAGTTAAAGGAAAGAGATCTCAGCTGGGCGCAGTGGCTCATGCCTGTAATCCCAGCACTTTGGGAGCCTGAGGCGGGTGGATCACCTGAGGTCAGGAGTTCGAAACCAGTCTGACCAACATAGTAAAACCCCATCTCTGCTAAAAATACAAAAATTAGCCAGGCGTGGTGGTGGGCACCTATAATTCCAGCTACTCGGGAAGTTGAGGCAGGAGAATCGCTTGAACCTGGGAGGCGGAGGTTGCAGTGAACTAAGATCGTACCACTGCACTCCAGCCTGGATGACAGAGCGAGACTCCAAAAAAAGGGAAGGAAGGAAGGAAGGAAGGAAGGAAGGAAGGAAGGAAGGAAGGAAGGAAGAAAGAAAGAAAGAAAGGAAGGAAGAAAGAAGCAAGCCAGCAAGGAATGAAGGAAGGAAGGAAAGATCTATCTCACCTGTATCAGGTGAAGAAGACAAAGTACAAGGGGCTCGTGGGGGAAGGGTCTATCCTTCCACAGTCTCCTGCTCCTTCTTCCAACCAAATGAGACCTAGCTCTATAGGAACCAGCCTTGGAAGAGGGATATCTGACCAAGAGGCCCAAAGTGAGGACAATAATAGACAAGCTGCAGTCTAAAAGGTAGGAGATCTGGTGGGTTCTGGACTGAGCGAGTAGGACTTTAGTTCTATAAAAGGTAAACCTCAAGCTAGGGGATTGGATCTCTCCTGCCCCTGCCCCCACCTCAAGCAGGGCCTCCCACCTCTCCCCCATCCTCCCAGCATCCCATGAGCCCCTCTTCTAGGCTTGGTGAAAAGGTAGCCAGGGCACAGTTAGGTGTCGGCAGACTCAATTAAGAGTCACGCTAATCACCTTCATTAAGGCTATAAAACCCCACACCTAGGGGCCTTGGGGCTCCCTGGCATGGCCTGGGGCCCCTGAGCCATGGCACAGACCCAGGGGCCCGGCTCCAGTCTCTTTCATCTGAGCATCTCCCAGTCCTGCACAAACAGTAATTAGCACCCACCCCCGGGGTCACCTCATTATCCCATAGACACTGAGTGGAGGGGAGGAGGGAGGGAAAGAGAGGAGGGAAACTGAGGCTGTCCCAGTGGCCAAAGAAACTGCCCCAGGGTTGTGGGCTGAGTTAACTGAGGGTGGGGAGAAGCTGCCACAGAATCAGGCAGTGTAGCCTCCTCCTGCTTTCCCTTCCCCCGCTGGTTGCTCTGAGCCCATTGCTTAATATTCTAAAGGCTCCAAAGGGAGCAGAGTCCTCCCTCCAGAGAAGATGGGCTCCTTAGTAAGATCCAGAGAACTGCAGACCTAAGCGCCTCCCTTAGATCCGACCAGACCCTGCAGGTGATGTGTAGCGCCCAGTCTCAGGCACCAATAGGGATCGTGGAACAGCTCTTTGGGAAGTGTCCTACAGGGCCTCTCTAGAGGGAAGGTGTCCATTTGCCCCCCTCAGCAATACGTGTGTCTGTCCTCTTTCCCTGGATCCCCTGAGGTACCCATTCCAAAACCCCACTCACTGCCCTGTCTCCCAAAAGCAGCCATACATCCTCCTGCTCTCCCATTTTCCTCCTCTCCCATCCTACTTCTTCTCCCATCCTCCTTCCTCTCCCATCCTCCTCCTGCAGAGAGAGAAGCAATCCCGCAGAGCCCACGTGGCCTGAAGTGTGCCCAAGACATAACCTACAGCCCTGCTTGTCTCTTCTTTCAGGGCGCCGACCTGAAGAAAGGGAAGATTCAGGGCCAGGAGTTATCAGGTGAGTAAGACCCTAGGGACCCCTTCCCCCAGCCAGGGCATCAGTGACGATCACAGGAATCAAAACCTCATGGTGCTGCTTTGTCGTGTGCTAGCACCAGCCTGAGAGTTTTCTTGGATGCCCTGATTTCATCTCCACAACTGCCTTTTATGGTCACTGCCATCAGTGTCCCCATTTTAAGAGGATAACACTGAGGCACAGACCATCCTGCGCCATGTGAATGGCTAGTAAAGAATGCAGCCAGCTTCACAGTGCAGGGGGCCATCTGACTGGAGGCTGCTTGTAACCCCTGTCCACCCCCATCCTTCCCCCAGCTCCCCTCTCTCAGATCCCTGCCCCAGGAGGATGCCCCCAACCTACCTTGAAAGGGATGCTCAGGTACTGGGCTGGCCTCTGGCACAGCACTGGGCACCAAACTTAGCCCTGCAGTTCCGTGAAGCAGCGTGGGCTTGGGCACCAAGCAGGCCTGGATTCAAATCCCAGCACCACCACTCACTGTTGGCCTGGCTTTACCTCTCAAGCCTCCAGGAAATGGGAAGATGGAGGAGATGTCATAAGTGAAGGCCTACAGCCCAGGGCCTGGCCCGGAGAAGTGGTCTAGCATGTGTGAACCCTTTCCCCTCCTCCTCACGCCTCAATTCTCTGCCTTTGGAGGTTTTGAAGAGGGGATTCTTGAGGAAAGCCCTAGTGAGAGGCATTAGTCTCTATCTCCCTTGAGGAGATAGAGGATAAATTCTCCATTGCACAAATCCAGTGAGTTCTCACTTCAGACTTGTCCGCACAGAACTGAGGTCACCAGTTTTGGGCAGCGTCAAGTGTGCCCACGGTGGAGTGTACTCCACAGCCCACATGCCCACACATCTTGCCCACACTGACTTGTCCCATCTGCCCTCCATACCTAAGCACACGAGGAGACTCCCTGGCACCCACCTGTGCTCAGAAGTCTTTCTCAGCCCTGGCGGTGTTTAGGAAGAAATGCTCCTTTACCTGCATTTACACACACACAGGCCCTCCAAAACAGCATCGGGGCGTTTGCACACTGGCTGTTCATGTACACACACCCACCCCGAGTGGGACCTCCAACCACACACATGGCTCTCAGCACACCCAGCTCTGCTCTCACTCTGAGTGCACATGCGCGTGCACACACACACACACACACACACACACACACATATATCTGATCTGCGATCCAAAAATGCAGGGAAAGATGAATCGTCAGGAATTCCCCGGTTGTTGGCATGCTGGAAGCCACCAGTGGCCGGAAGTGCAC
The DNA here is from genome assembly GCF_000001405.40 of Homo sapiens. Lineage (NCBI taxonomy): Eukaryota > Metazoa > Chordata > Mammalia > Primates > Hominidae > Homo > Homo sapiens. Next base: position 22,725,901 of record NC_000008.11, on the reverse strand, counting down.
AGTGAGGGACTCTTCCAGTGCTCCAAGCAGCAAGTCGTGCTTTTGTTTAATGATCAGGAGAGGAAAGAAGGGGAGATGGCCATAAAGGACCAATACTCCCTCCCACCAACATCCTCATTGCAAATGCTTCTTTCCCACCCACCCAGAAAGATTCTTGGCTCCAGCCTGGCTCTCCTCCTTGGAAAGGAAGATGGAGAGCGGGAAGGGGAGTGGGAAGGGGTGAAGCACTCTGGGAAAGAGGCCCACCTTGAAAGACCTAGGCCAGGCCAGCAGGACCTTGACTCTGCATGGACTTGGGGAAAGAATGAGGGATGTCCCCACCCCACTTCCCCCGCCCCAAAAAAAGAGCTCAGCCTCCTGGAGGGAGAGAGAAGGACTGGGAGAGGGAACTTCTCCCTGATGCCCCGAGCACCCAGCTCCTACAGCTCCCATGATCAAACCTTTGAACCCAGTCCCACCCACCCTCGTAACCACTTCCAGACCCTCCAGACGCAGCCAAGAAATTGGCTTCTTTGGGGATTGAGTTCATAAGCAAATGCCGAAAAAATAAATAAAAATCCTCTGCCAAACACACTCACAGAGGAAGATGGGCTTCTCTTGAGGCAGGAAATCCATCAGGATAGACTAAAGCAAAAACAGGACAATGCCAACACCCACTGGCCCATAAAGGCCTGGGAGCCACGCCAGCACCCAAGGCCTTCAAGCCAGCTCAGGGTGTTTCCTCTTGGACCACCTCCTCCCCCACTCTCACCCCCACCAAAATATGTACTTCTTAAATGAAAATACTGAAGCTGAGATCCCGCCAAATACAAATCCTAATGTTTTGCAGGGCCGAGTGCTGATCTGGGGCCCCAGGGAGGTCAGCAGGACCATGGGAAGGCAGAGAGCTCTGCCCTCGGTAGTATGGGATGTTGATGCTCACCTCTCTCCTGCTTCTACCTATAGCCTACCAGGCTCCCTCCCCACCGGCACACAGTGGCTTCCATCGCTACCAGTTCTTTGTCTATCTTCAGGAAGGAAAAGTCATCTCTCTCCTTCCCAAGGAAAACAAAACTCGAGGTAAGACCTCCCCATCCTTCCAGCCACCACCGGGGTGAATTCTGGGGTGGAACAAACGCTTCAGGCATTTACGGGGAAATTGGGGCCTTGACCCCCACTCATGAGCCTTGGAGACTGGGGTCGAAGGCTGGTGTTTCTTGGGAGTGAACTGGAAGGAGTGCCCTAAAGATGTTGGCATCAGGTGTGGTCTCCCTTGAGAAGTAAGTCCCACAGACCAGTGTAGAGGCTCCAGTTGGGTGGGTTGGTATGTAAGGCAGGGTCTCAAAGCAGGTGACTGCAGCCAGGGAGAAGAGTACCCCGAAACTTTGCATGGCATGTGCAGGCAGCTGCCCCTGAACTTTGGCAAGTCATTGTGCTCTGTAATTGAGTCTGATCTGGGCAAGAGGGCCCTGGAATGCCACCCTGCCAGTCTATCCTCATGGGTTGCTAATTACTGGGTCGGCTGTGCCATCTCAGTGATGAGGGGAAGATGTCCCCCACCATCCCCCCTCCACTAGCTTCTCTGAGCAGCCCTCCTTGGCTTCTGGAGCAGACCAACTCCCTATAGCCTCCTAATGGCGAACCCCGCCTGCTTGGCCTCGGTCCTCCTGCCACCAGGGCCAGGGAGCAGGAGCGGTGGCCACTTGGCCACTGCAGCATGCCACAAGTGTCTCACCTGACCCAGTGTGAGCCATGCCCCCGACTCCCCCACCCGCCATCTGAGCCTTAGATTTCTCTTGCAGAAAATGGGAAATAAAGCCACCCCTGCACTCTCAGCTCCCCAATTTTAGGGAAGGGAAGACAATAGAGACTGAACAATGCCATCTGGAAGTGCAAGAAGCACATCCCCCAGGCTGGCAGGAAGGCAAGTGGGAGGGTGGGTGTCGTCAGCCATTTCCTCTCACCCAGTGACCTCGACCAAACATCCACCCACTAGGAAGCTGGCACAGGTATTGCTACAACCGCGATGCCGGAGGCCCCACAGGAGAGGAACATGGAGCCCAGAAAGGCACAGGTTGAGCGACAGGGCCCTTCAGATGTGCCGAGCAGGGCCCACCTATCACAGAGGGCTCCAGGCCACCCTGGGAGTGGAGCTGGTGCAAACTTACCACCAGTGAACCTTCCCCAGGTGCCCTCAGCACCTTGCCAATCCGTGAATCTGTTTAAACGGCTTTGCCAAAGACATACTTTTAAGTTTAGATGCAGAGAGAAGGAAACAAAATTATGTATCTTGCCCAGACCAAGAAAAACTGTCTCCAGCACCCTGGCTACCGATCTCACCAAAGATGTCGGGACCTCAGCCTATGACATTCTCCCACCCATGGGGTTCTCATAAAATGAAGCAGTGCCTCTGAGCCCCACCATGAGACTCCGGGATCACCATGCCTATGCCCAGGGCGGGAGTCTCTCGGGGGTGAAGTGCTTTCTGAAGGCAGGATGGAGGGAAGGATAGAGCATCGGGAGATGCCATGAGGAGGGACAGACAAGGGAGAGGAAGGGAGCTGCATACACCAAAGACGCTTCCCTACTCTGCGTGCTGGGGCTCCTGAGGCTCGACCACAGCCTGTCCTCCAGAAACCACAGTGGCCTGAGGGACCAGCAGAGGCCTGACCCACCCCTCCCAAGATGTTGGTGACCAGGCAAGGAAGCCAAAACGCGCTGGGCCTGAAACGCGTTGTTTGGTCTTGTGTACTTCCCCACCCCACCCCTTGACCCACCTTTTGTCCATGGGGAACTTAGAAACTGGACTTGCATCTGTACAGGGTTTAAAATGGCCCTCCCAGGCTGGGCGCGGTGGCTCACACCTATAATCCCAGCACTTTGGGAGACTGAGGTGGGCGGATCACGAGGTCAGGAGATTGAGACCATCCTGGCTAACATGGTGAAACCCTGTCTCTACTAAAAATACAAAAAAAAAAAAAAATTAGCCCAGCGTGGCGGTGGGCGCCTATAGTCCCAGCTACTCCGGAGGCTGAGGCAGGAGAACAGCATGAACCTGGGAGGCGGAGCTTGTAGTGAGCTGAGATCGCGCCACTACACTCCAGCCTGGGGACAGAGAGAGACTCCGTCTCAAAAAAACAAAAAAAAAAAAATGGCCCTCCCAGATGAAAGCCCCAGCCAAGGTCCCAGTCTTGCCATGTGATGCCTTCCATGTGCCCAGCGCTGTGCTGGGAACTTCAGAGGAGACACAATCAAGGGCACCAGGAATTTTCCCTGTCCCCAAGTGGCTTACAGTCTACTTTGGAAACAATTAAACAACAATGCAAAGCAGGTTGTAATTAAACACTTAATTGTGTGATTCTAACTGTAAGGACAATTGGAAGTCTGTGGACTCAGGGATAGATCTCTTCCCTTCCTGTCATACCTTTCCCTCCAGAACACTGTGCTCTCTCCAGCCAGAGAGGATATAAAGGTGTTTTATTGTAGAGTGAGGCAATCTGGACTCCCCTCTCTCTAGTTAGTAGTTTCACTTTGAGGCCAATCAATGAACCTCGCTGGGCCTCAGTTTCCTAATCTAGAAAATAAGGGGTTGGCTCCAGATGATCTACAAATTTCTCTGGCCCTGAGGCCATGGGGAGGAGGTTGGAGCAGGGCTGGGCCCTAGAGAAGGAGGAGATCTGAATCCTTGAGTGAAGGAAGAGGGAGCTCTGGGTTGGAGAAACCATAGATTTTTTTTTTTTAAGTGAGAAAATGGAGGGGAAGGGGAAAAACAAGGTTCTCAGAAGTCCGGCAGAGGAGTGGCTTTTGCAGGTTGACTCTGGGAAGCCGTTAGAAATTATTTACCAGAGAAGCAACACTCAAAAGTCACTCTTTGGAGACGACGAACCTGGAGGGGCAGGCAGAACTGACCAGAATGAGAGGACAGGACACCACCAGAGGGGTCGAGACATGAGGCAGTGAGGTGTGGATGAACCCAGGGGCGATTGCAAAAGCAGAAACCCCAGGTCCTTGCACGATGTTGAAACACTCAGGGCCTGGTGCTCTCTGAAGCACCTGGACGGTGCCTGGGGACTTACGGAGCCCAGGGCTGGACCAGTGCTTGGGAGGCCAGAGCATGGGGTCCTGCCAATGAACACAGGTCCCAGGACTTGCCTTGATCTAGATTTCTCTCCAGGGGAGAGAATCCGTGGAGGAAGCAGGGTGTCAGGGGTTGGGAGGGGGGCAGTGTGGTATAACCAGCTGCTTGTGTCCCCTGGGTGAACAGGCAGGAAAAGCTTCTAGAGACTCGAGGGGAAAGGTCAGCCTACAGGAGCCAGGTAGAGGGGCGTCTATGGCAGACGGGCCACTGAACCCCATCCTGTTCAGGCCTCTTCCCTCCCTGGATCTTATGGGTAAATGACAGGCTTAGGGTGAAGAAGGAGGCTTGAGATGATTCTAGTAGAGCCTGTCATGACTATGTAGGGGGATGTGGGGATGGCATTGTTCAGACCCAAGGAGGTGAAACCCTCCCCAGGATTCCTCTTTTTACTGTGACCACAGGACAATGTACATGTGGTCAGCAAATGAGATCTTGATGTCCCGACTCTGATCGTTTGACCTTGGCCAGGTGACCTCCCCTCCCTGGGTCTCAATTTTGACCTCATCAAGATACAGGGTTAGACTAGTTGATCTGCAATTGAATGACCTGAAATTGATTTGCTCCCAGCTTCCCGGAATGTCCTGGCCTCCCTGTTCTGCCAAATAAATGCAGGGACCAACTGATGAGGCTCGACTTTCCCAGCCAGCCCTGATACTTCCTAGTAGAGGTCTTGCATCAGACCCCACGAGGCCAGGAGCACAGCAAGGGTCGTGGAGGGGCTTAGAGCTACCCCACTTCTAGCTGATGAAACCCTGCCGTGCCACCCCACTCCTCCTACCTTTGCACAGCTCCTTCCTCTCTGGCCACTTTCAAACCACGCCTGGCATAACTCAGTAATGCCTTCTGCATTCGCTCAGCTGATGCCAGATGCCTAGTGTATACTTGGCGCTGTTTTGGGTGCTGTAAGAAGTCACCATGTGATGGTGTCCCTGCTCTCATGCATGTGTGGAGTCACCCTGGTGTAGCTCTATGGATAGGGGGTGCTCACTGAGAGAGTCAGGGGAGATATTCAAACAGCACAAGCATAACTGGTCCCCAAGATAGGAGGAACAGAGAGACCCCTGAAATCTAAACAGCCTTAACTGGTGCCTCTGACAAGGGCTGGCCGGCCAGCGTCACAGGACAGCTATGTGACGCTTGTCCCAAAGGCCACACTTTGCCTTTCCAGATTTGCAGATGCCATTATCTCAGGCCTGTGACATGCTGGGCTGTCTCCCTCTGATTCTAAGTGAACACCCCTCTGAGGGGGACATCTTTCCTTCCAGGCAGATTTCATTTGCACCTTGTACCATTGCCCTTGTGTGCGGCACACTGCCAGACGTCCCTGAACTACTTCTTTGCTCACATCTGCCTGCCCACCACTGCCCATCTGGGCGTCTCATTCTCCCCTTCCCAGACCCGCAATGCCTTGCCCACTTTCCAAGCACCAGTCCCGGCTGCTGGCCCTCCATCACATCCTCTAGAACAACCCCACAAGGCTGATCCGCTGAGCCAGGCTTCCCCCAACCTGCTGTTGGCATCTCTAGTCTCTATCGTCTTCTCCACTCACACAGCATTTGTTGTGCCTCCCCAGACATCTGCTTTGATCTCTTTTGTATTTCTAAATCACTTGCCACTCGTGGCGGCCCCCCTTCCACCATGAGACTATCAGTTCCTTGAGAGAAGCGCTCACCTCTGCCTTCTTTCCCTTCTCCCACCTGTCCCTGTGCCCAGCCCACTGTTGGCTTTCAGTTAATGAGTGTGTCTGTGTGTGAGACACACCCACATATGCACATCCACAAGCCATTCACACACATGGATCTGCACGTTCTCACACCCCCACATTTGCAAACACACGTCAGCTTGCCTCAGCACCTGAGAAGGCAGCCACCTCTGTGAGTACCATGCCCACAAGTGACAGTCTCTGCATTGATCGACGTCCTCCCTGTCCCAATCCCAGGCAGGCAGGGCTGCCTCTCCACCAGCCTCTCCACCAGCCACCCTGCCCCTCCCTGGCCTTCCCCTTGCCACCCATGTCAAGGGGGCAGGACAGTGGCCATCACCCCTACCCCAGGGCAAACGAGGAAAGCAAAGCCTGAAACAGTGAGTGGCATGACTTACCAAGGGCGTCCACAGTTAACAGCCATTTGACTTTCTTCTGACTTCCAGGGAAGGGCTGTTTGCACCTGCCACCGCCTTGCCTACATCCCCGCTCTCCTGACCCAGACTTCTGGGCCCCAGTGGGGATACAGACAGAGCACAGTTGCATCCTGCTGTCCCAGGCCTCCTTGGCCAGCAGCAGCTGCCCAGAATGGTCCACGCACACACCCCCTCCCTGGCTGTGGCTGAGCCTCAGAATCCTGGGGAGCTGCGGTCTGTGCCACACCACACCTCGGTCACCTCACCCAGAGGTGTCACAAGCCAGCCTCACACTCCTCTTGCAAGCGAGCAGGGGAAATCCCCTCTCTGCCCCACGAGAGGACATGCCACAGCTTGCTCCAGAAGCCACTCCAAGGCCGAGCGCCCAGGATGGTGTCAACGTGCTGGAAACTAACGGGCAAGAGAGGCTTGGGTCACCACCTCCAGGGCAGCCTCAGGGCCCTCAGAGGGGAAACTTGCTCACTGCAAAATGGGAGTCCTGGGCCAGGCAGCCATAAGCCGCTCCCTAGCACCACAGGCACCCAAATTCGGCAGCTCAGAGGTGGAACCACCCACCCACAGGGGTCAGAGAGGAGAGACGGGCAGGGACTTGCCACATAGGGGGTTGAAGTCTTGCTTGTGGCATCTGAAGGCATGCAGGCCTCGGTGGGTGAGAAAGAAGGGGAATCATGGGGCCAAGGGCAGCAGAGCCCCACGCAGCTTCAAGAGTAGGAGATGTTGCTGCAGAGGGATGAGGCTGGGAGGAAATCCACCAGCCTAGTAGCAGAACACAGCAGCACATGGTGTCAGGAAGCATGGAGGGAAGAGGCCTGAGAGGAAAGGGGGCCCTGCCTGGAGACCAGCCCCCGCCCTCAGACTGCCCCCCACCAGCGCACACACAGACAGACACAAACACACTCAGCCCACCCTCGTGACCTCCCATGGTGGTTCACCTGGCCCAGCCCCAGCATCCCCCAGGGCCCAGCCCCTGATCACTGTGTGGGCTTGTGGCAGGAGGCGCTCTTCCTCCAAAGGGCCCCACCCACCTGGCCGAGCGGGTAGAACTGGGGGCCTGGCAGCCACCCAGCTGGGGCCATCCCGGGCAACACTCAGACAGGCACCCAGGCTGGGAACTGCCTGAAATCTCCATGAGCCCCAGGCGGACCTCCTCAAGAAGCAAGTCCCAGTCCAGCCGAACATCAGCCATCCCAAGCAATGTTGAACACATCGTGAAGAAACCACACAGATAAGCCCCCAGATTCTACCCCAAACTCCAGCCAATTGTTGCCACTACCAAATATTGGAATTTATCACTGGAAGCTAAACTGGCAGCTTGAAGTCTCCCATCCTCCTGATCCCTTTCCTGCCCCAACCCCAGCTGCAGAAGGGAGGAGGAGGCCTAGGGGATGCACTGGCTGGATAATTAGAACCAGCTTCCACTCTTCAGCCCTCCTGGGTCCTCTCTCCAGAGGAGACGCAGGTCACCCCTCACCACCCCGAAACTCTGCTGGCATCCCCTCCCTCTCACTCCTGCCAAAGTCAAAGTGCCCCCCACTACCCGAAAGCCTCTGGAGCCCGCAGTATCAGCCACTCAGCAAATCTCCTCCCGGAGTAATTGGATGTGATGGAACGAGGGCTTTTCAGGTCCTGAGTGGAAGTCTCTGGATGTCATTTAATGGCACAAAAAATAAAAGTCTCAGGCCTCCCGCCTACCACCGCCGGGACATCATTAATCTCGGCAGAAAGGTATCAGTGCTTCTATCAATGTGGCCGGTCCCGTGACGAGCCAGACAAATTACAGACCTGAGCCGGGCTCTCTGTGGGGCGGTTATTAGGCTGGAGTTGAGTTTTTGTTTTTTCTCTTCAGGGCCACCATCCCCCAACAAGAAGCAGTGGTGCCCTTACCTAAGAGGAGAGGCAGCGAGGCCAGGGAAGAGGGTGATCACCTTGGGTAGATACAGATCACCACCTGAAGGAACAGGGCTGTTCGGAGCCGGAGCCAGAACCAGTGGCCCCTGTCCTTACAGAGACCGCCCTGGGACAAGAGGCTGCCGCAGCTCCAACCTCAAGGTCTCAGCAACCCACTCCTTGTTCTCCAGCCCACCTGAACGGGGGCCCATGGGAGAATGGAGCTGGGGTGGGGGGAGCCTCCCTCCCTCAGCTTCCTACCCCACTTCCCAGGCTAAGAGGGAAGTACATCAGGATGGAAATACATCAGGACGGAAATACTGAGGACCAAGGACCAGTCAGGTGGGAAACGTCCCTTGGCTACAGCAGGGTCACCCAGGAACTGCTGTCCTCGGCTGTTGGGAAGTCTTAAGAGTGGGCCTGTCTAGGTGCAGTGACTCACACCCGTAATCCCAGCACTTTGGGAGGCCCAGGCAGGAGGATCACTTGGGCCAGGAGTTTGAGATCAGCCTGGACAACATAGGGAGACCCTGTCTCTACAGATAATTTTTTTTTAATTACCCAGGTGTGGTAGCACACAACTGTGGTTCCAGCTACTCAGGAGGCTGAGGCAAGAGGATCACCTGAGCCTGGGAGGTCAAGGCTGTAATGAGAGGTGATAGTGCCACTGCACCCCAGCCTGGAGAATGGTCCTGCCGAAGGGAATCCAGGGGTGTCACTAGGGGTGGGGACCTTGTCTGCTAGGGACCCAGACTACAAAGTTCTACTGCTGGCCAAGGCCACCCTTTGAAGGACCAGACTGTGATTAGGTTAGTATTACTTGTATTATATTAGAAACTCGCCAAGGGCAGGGGGTAAAATAAGGCAGCTCCGCTGACCCCATGCCTGGCAGAGGACCAGGGTGATGGCTGCCAGTGTTAAAGGGGCCCTGGGGTCTGACCTCATCTAAGAGCTTGCACTTCTGGCAGGGGAGCCGATCCCCCATTCTACCAAGTCCTGCAAGGGGGCCAGGGTAAGCTGGATGTGGCAGAGCACCTCTCAGTCTCTCAGATGCCTGCTTAGCCCTAACTGGCCCAATGGAGCCGTCCAGAGTTTGTCCAGCACGTGACAAACCACTCCCAAACAGTGGAAAGCCAACCCCACAGATTTGGGAAGCTTGGGGTGGAGAGAGTGACTGTCAAGACCTGCCCCAGGGCCTTTTCCAAACATTCCTGCCATCATCACAGTCCCTGGGACTAAAGCTCCGAGGAGGAGCCCCTTCCCCAGCTGCTGAAGACAGGGGACATCTTTCCCCCCTAGAGCCTAATAGGAGGCCAGGCACAGAGTGGTGGCCCAGAAATCCCCCAGTGGCTTTAGATAAGGTTATCAGGCTCTCCCCTTGGCCCCCATCTGGAACATCGCTGAAATCTAACATCTCTCATCACTAACATCTTTCCTATCAGCACTGACCAGTAAGTGAGAGTGCCAGGACTGCTGCATCTGGCTATGCAGGATGAGAACAGCACCCCCTACGGTTGTGCAGGGATCAACCTGTACATCATATGTGGCAGCCCTGTCCTGAGATGCCCAGGCCTCTGTGTCCCAGCCACAGGGCAGGTGGCTCATGAGACAGGCATCAGACAGCTTCCTCCTCCTTTCTCCCTTCAGCCAAGGCCTCCCACCACCAAGGCCTCTGAAGTGCCCACACTGCCCCTACCCTCGTCCCAGGAAGAGCCTGGCCTAGGTGCATCCAGGATACAGTGGAGTGGCCCAAGCACAGACAGCAGCGCTGCCCTTTTCCTGCCTGGCCGCGGACTCTCTGCCTCTCGGGGACAGCAGTGCCATACAGGAAGGGGCTTTCCTCTGAGCGGTGACCACAGAAGCCGCAGCCTCCTAGCTCTCCAGCTCTCCCCACACACCCCAAGGGCCTGACTCACCCCCTCTGCCTTCTAGAACTTGCCCTCTGTGGCAGGAAACAGGGGGTGTAAGGAGTTGCGGCCAAGCCAGGAAAGGAGGCAGCAAGAGGCTAGCCGGCACGGGGACTGGGTTTCAGGAGCTGGCCAGGGAGCCCGAGAACCACAGGGCTGTCGACTTGGGACTGGAAAGGAACCACGAGTGCCCCAGGGCACTGAAGGCTCAGAGGCTTCCGAACTATTGAGGGGAGCCAGCTCTCGCTCTGGACTCAGGGGATTTCTTCCCCGCAGCTTGCCCCAGCCTCGTGATGGGTTTCAATTCCCTTCCTGCCGTGCAGGTTCCTTCCTGCCCTACGGTGGGGAAGGCCCCCTCGTCCCTGTTCCTGCCACACACCAATTCACCCATAAGCCCGTATTACCCTGGCATGTGCGCGTGCGCACACACACGTGCACCCACACATACACATGTGTGTGCACACACTCGTTCCCAGGGTCATAATACCATAATTCCTTTCCTTCCAGCCAGCTGGGCTCCTAGGGTGCAGAGGCTCAGGCACAGCCCCTCTGAAAGGACACTCAGGTGACACTGAGCCTCCTAGGAGAACCCGGCTGCAGTCAGTACACCTCCACCGGGAGAGGCTTTCTCAGCACCTTGGCCACCCTTTCTGCAAAAGAACTCCTGGAACCCCTTGTTTTCCAGCCCCCCTGGGCCCCATCTGAGCATGCAGTCACTGAGTCGAATAGGATTTGAGGGAATCTGCAAAGGCCTTTCCCCATCCCTGCCACTACGAAGCTTCCTTGCCAGTACCCCAGCTTGTGCCTCAGTCATCCCTTCTGTGAACTGGGAATGGGAACAGTCCTCCCTTTTTGGGATTGGTGTGAGGATTAAGCGAATTATGTGTCAAGCTCTTACAGTAGTACCAACACATAGGTGGGGTGTTACTGCTATTATTGTTTGCATTATTGTTATTGTTATTTTGGGTTTCAGATTAAAAATTATCCTCTCCTTGAGAACATCTTTGAAATGTCAGCAGCCTCTGGGAGGCAGCAACGCTTCAATGGGCTTGCTATCTTAATTGCTATGAAAAGGGTGGTGGGTGCTGACCGAGGAGACAGGCAGGTGGGAGGGTGGGTGGCCCGTGAGTCTCAAGTGGGGTTCTGAGAGCTTCCAACCCCTTGCCCTCTTCTGTCTGGGTATCAGAGGTGACTGGTCTCCATTAATCCACTGTGTATCGACCACTGCCTAGCTCTGCTCCGGACAGGATCTTCCCCAGGCACTCTCTCTCCACCCTGGGAGGTTGCTGCATTTAGCAAAACAACAACAACAACAAAAAGTAGGATGCCCAGTAAAATTTGAATTCCAGATAAACAACGGAAAAAAAAATTCATGTAAGGATGCTCCATGCAGAATGTGGGACACGCTCACACCAACAAGCGATTTGCTATTTATCTGAGATTCAAATTAAACTACTTCCTGCCTTTTCCTGGCAAGCATCTGCCCAGGGTGCCTGACATCCAGGGTTTGGGAAACAAGAACGTGGGAATATGCCTCTGACCACTTCCCTCAGCCTCACTCCATGCCCCAGGCTGTGCCCTTCTTGCCCTGCCACAAGGCCTGTTCACACTTGCCCCAGAAGATGCGCCTCCCTGTACACACTTGTGTTTTCTCCCCCTGAGGAGGAACCCCTCCGACCTGGGCACCGTCTGGGTTTCTGCAGGCCCAGCTCCCCCGCCAGGGTCCAGGGGCTGCCCCTCCACCTCTGCCATGGGGAAGGCACACTGGTGCACCCCCTGTCCTGGGACAGAGACGAGGAGGTGTTTGGGGTTTAGGGGAGAAGATTGAAAGAAGAGCACAGATACTTCCACCAATCTCAGCCCCAGCAGCAGGGGTGAGCAGGTGTGAAGGAAAGTAGTGGGTGAAGCCTCCTGTCCTGGGGTCAGGGGAGCCTGCAGGGAGAGGGCATTAGTAGAGGAAGTGGGCAGCCCGCATGACTGGGCTTCCTTTCTGCCCGGGAGCGGGAGCGAGAAGGCAGTTTTGCTAAACAGAGGTGCTGGGGAAGGAGATTCAGACATTCTCAACTGGGGCTGGGCTCTCAGTCCCCATTGCCCTCTGGGGAGCAGGCAGCTCTGCTGCTGTTCAGAGGCTCTGCTAACATCTGGGGGCTACCTCTGCAACAGGAGCCGGAAGCTCCCCCAGCCACTACGCCCCATGGCCATCGCATCACCTGCTGCCTCGGCTCCCACGAGCCGGCCTCCCTCTCAGGCCCCTGCCAGCTTTCAAGTCCATGGCTCTTTCTCACTGCCTCCCTGTGGTCTGTTTGTCCTTCCAGGCTCTTGGAAAATGGACAGATTTCTGAACCGTTTCCACCTGGGCGAACCTGAAGCAAGCACCCAGTTCATGACCCAGAACTACCAGGACTCACCAACCCTCCAGGCTCCCAGAGAAAGGGCCAGCGAGCCCAAGCACAAAAACCAGGCGGAGATAGCTGCCTGCTAGATAGCCGGCTTTGCCATCCGGGCATGTGGCCACACTGCCCACCACCGACGATGTGGGTATGGAACCCCCTCTGGATACAGAACCCCTTCTTTTCCAAATAAAAAAAAAATCATCCAGGGCTTGGTGCTTTGTATCCTAGCTTGTATTCCTTTGAAAAGCAACAGGAGGAAATTGGCCAATATCCAGCACTGGGGACTGAGGCTTTCCTGTAAATGCAAGGGGTTGGGTGGGGAGTGGGGGGAATAGACGGACAGGCAGGATATAGTGATCCCTATGCCTGAACTGTCACTGAGTCGCTGTGAGACCTCACGGAAACCTCTTACCCTCCCCAAAGTTCTGCTCCCTTGGTTGTGACACGGAGGTAGGAAGAAGTGGGAGAGGGTGGTTGGTTTATCACCACGGGCCTTTCCAGCTCTGACATTCGACAACGTTCATTCAGCGACTATTGTTGCATGTGGGGTGCACCTGGCCTTCCTCCAGGCACTGGAGATGCATGCCTGCTTCATCCCCATGCATGGGTAGATAGGGCAGACACAGCATGGTGCTCACCTCATGGAGCTTCCAGTCCAGCAGGGGAAGCAAATATCCCCAACAAATGATAAACTGTGATAAGTATGATGAGGGTGCAAAGGGGGCCTGATTTCTGACGGAGAGAAAGGGTTGAAGACTCAGGCAGAGCCCTGATGTTTAACTTCAGGGCTGAAAAGTGGGCTAGGGGTTACCAGGTGAGTGGAGACAGGAATAGAGAACATTCCAAAGCTCCTCCGAGCCCCTGTGGCTGGCAGGGGCATGCATGGCATCTTCCAGGAAATGAAAGGCCCATGCTGTGGCTGCCGCAAAGTATGAAAGGGCAAGAACAGTATGACGGGTGGGCAAAGGCCAGACCATGCCAGGCCTTTGTTGCCATGTTAAAGCTCTGGATTGTATCCAGAAAGCAGTGGGAAATCATTAAATGATAAGTAGATTGGGCCAGGCATGGTGGCTCGTGCCTATAATCCCAGTGCTTTGGGAGGCCAAGGCCAGAGGATCGCTTGAAGCCAAGAGTTCAAGACCAGCCTGGGCAGCATAGGGAGACCCCCATCCCTACAAAAATAAGAATAAAAAATTAGCCAGGTATGGTGGTGGATGCCTGTAGTCCCACCTACTCAGGAGGCTGGCATAGGAGAATCACCTGGGCCCAGGAGTTTGAGACTGCAGTGATCTATGAATCTGTGATTGCACCACTGCCCTCCAGCCTGGGCAACCCAGCAAGACCTCATCTCTAAAAAATTCATAAAATAAAATAAAATAAAAATAGATTGGAGAGGCAGATGGCATAATCAGATGTATGCTTTTAGAAAGCTGTGAATAACGCCAGGTGCGGTGGCTCACACCTATAATCCCAGCACTTTGGGAAGCCAAGGTGGGCAAATCACCTGAGGTCAGGAGTTCGAGATCAGCCTGACTAACGTGAAACCCTGTCTGTACTAAAAATACAAAAATTAGCCCGGCGTAATGGTGGGCGCCTGTAATCCCAGCTACTTGGGAGGCTGAAGCAGGAGAATCGCTTGAACCCGGGAGGCAGAGGTTGCAGTGAGCCGAGATTGCACCACTGCACTCCAGCCTGGGCGACAAAGTGAGACTCTGTCTCAAAAAAAAAAAAAAGAAAGAAAGAAAAAAAGAAAAGAAAGCGGTGAATAAATTCTTAGGTATCTGCAAGGAAAGGACTTTTGCCATCTAACTTCCCTGGGCTTTCTCTGCAGGCCTCTTGACTTCCCCACCCAAGGACCCCTGGGAGACACCTCCCTGCTACAGTCTCATTCCCAGCCTAAAGTTACAGAGGCCCCATGCCTCCCCACCACCATTCCAGTCCTTTCAGCACCCCTAACACCCCCTTCAGTTTGGTTTCCCTTCATGAGTTAATAACCCCGTCTCCTTGGCTAGCATGTAGCGATGTTGGTGACTCATGTGTGCAAAGTGCTTTGAGATCCCCAGATGAAAAGAACAAGCTATACCTGGGAACAGGGTTCTTATCATCTCAGAGTCCTGCCCCTCGTTAGCTGGAAGGCAGAGGGCCCTAGATGACCCCTCGGCCCAGCTAAGCACGCTTTTAACTAGTGGAACAATTTTAGTGGTGGGGATCTGAAGAAACAGCGGGGCTGGAGGTTGAGTTTGTGAATGGGAGAGAACTGAATGATGCCCACTTCATTGATAGATTCAGCTCCCTGCCCAGGTAATGGGCACCAAATTCTGATGCTCCAGAAGGGCATTTTATGCCAGCCCAAGGTAAAAGAAAGCCCAGGCAGGAGAAATTGTGGAGCCTCCCCACTTCTTTCTACCCCACCAGGCAAGCCTGCAAGCCTGCAAGCCGACCTAAAATAAGAAGCAAAACGAAGTGTCCATTTGCAGTGCCATGGAAGGCAGCCTCGCAAGGGACTTTCTGGGTCCCCTATTCCCTGGGACCTTCTCCCCCACAGCCCCCACCCCACCAGACTCAGAATGTAATTGGCAGCTCCGGTTGGTGCCCAGGGCCAGGATAAATAGAAGGTCAGCTTCCTAGAGCAGCCCCAAATTGAGACACATCCTCCCCTCTTCTGCTTTTAATTCATTGTGGCTAGCATGTTTATTTTGGGTAAAGAAAAAAAAAATCGGATGTTTATCCTTCGAGGAAATTATCGGCTTGCTTTCTTTCCTTCCCCCAACCCCCTCCTTCCTTTTGACTTGACATTTTGGGCTTTGAGTTTAGCTGCTGGAGAGACCCCCACCCTCCTGGTCCCAAAACGTGAAAAAAGAACAAAGCTGGCCCAGGCTCTAGGCTGAAGCCAGCCCTGGCCAGGCGATCCCTGGAAACCACAGGGAAGGAGGTCCCAGTTGTGGAGAGGGGAAACCTGGAGGCCATGGGGACCTTGGGGAAAACCCAGCCTTGACGGCGCTTTCCGCCTGCAGAACCCTTTGGGCCTCTCATCCCTTTTCTTTGCACCACCTCCTCCAGGAAGAAACAAGATGAACAGCTAAATTGCTTTGAGATCTCCAATGAAGCAGCTAAGAAAAATATAAGGGAGCATTAGCGACCCCTTTACCAGGTAAAGAGAACTGACATTATTATTATCATCATTGTAATCAGATGCATTTATCGAGCACTTTCTGCATATCAGGTTCTACACAAAATGCCTAATGTGTGGTATCTCACTGAATGCATCCCCACGCTACTTCATGGCCTTCTGGGGGCCTTCATACATGTTCTCTCATTTGATTGTCACAACACCCTAATAAAGTGGATGTTATTCTTATTTTAGAGATGAGAAAACTGACATTCCTGTAAGTTAAGGAACCTACTCCCTATTCCATAACTAGTCATGGTGGAATCTGGTGTTAACTCAAGCCTCCTCAGGTGTAGTATTTAGAGGAAAACTGGACTCTAATTTTACTCTCTTGGCTATATAAAATAAAAGCCAGATCAGGATCTAGAGTGGGACAAAGAGAGACGGCCGGAATTTCCAGAATAAATTAAGGGGACTCTTCTCCAAGTGACTTTCCTTACTCCAGGTTGAGCCATCCTGGGCCATGTGTGATTTGTGGGGATGGCCAGAGTTCCTGGATACTCAAGTCAATAGCCTGGTCCAGCCCAAGGCCATTACCGTCCCTCCCCACCTGCCCACAGCCACTATCCCAACAGTTTGCCATCCTTAGTCCATTGAATGACCCCTCTCCCTCCCCATCATTCCTGTATAATAACTGCTTTTAGGTAAGGAAGAAAGGTAGAAAAGAAGGGAAAGCCACCTAGGAAGGCTCCAGGGTGATGATATTGATGATGGTGATGATGATGGTAATGGGTGATGATGCGGATGATGGTGATGGTGATAATGAGACGATGGTGATGATGATAATCATGGTGATGGTGATAATGAAGTGATGGTGATGGTGATGATGATGGTGATGGTGATAATGAAGTGATGGTGATGGTGATGATGATGGTGATGGTGATGATGATGGTGATGGCGATGATGATCATGGTGATGTGATGGTGATGATAAGGTGATGGTGATGGTGATGGTGATGGTAATGATGATCATGGTGATGGTGGTGGTGATGATCATCATCATAGTGATGGGTGATGGTAATGGTGATGATGAAGTGATGGTGATCATGATCATTGTGATGGTAATGGTGATGATGAGGTGATGGTGATGGTGATGATCATGGTGATGGTAATGGTGATGATGAAGTGATGGTGATCATGATCATTGTGATGGTAATGGTGATGATGAAGTGATGGTGATCATGATCATTGTGATGGTAATGGTGATGATGAGGTGATGGTGATGGTGATGGTGATGATGATGGTGATGGTGATGATCATGGTGATGGTAATGGTGATGATGAGGTGATGGTGATGGTGATGATGATGGTGATGGTGATGATGATCATGGTGATGGTAATGGTGATGATGAGGTGATGGTGATGATGATCATGGTGATGGTAATGGTGATGATGAGGTGATGGTGATGGTGATGATGATCATGGTGATGGTGATGGTGATGATAATGGTGACAGCAATGGGTCCAGGTGTCAGCACTCAGCAGCCAAGGGATAGGAAGAAAGCCTAGTACATGCATTCAGTGATGCCATTTAAAAACACAAGTTTTCTTACTGAGCAGATCTGAATTCACATAGAATTTTTACCATTGATACCTCCGTGACCTTGGCAACTGCTCCAGACCTGTGTTTCAACTGCAAAAAAAAAAAAAAAAAAAAAAAAACCAGTATAATGAAAAATAAATGGAAATAAGTGCCTTCCTCCAAAGATGTGTTGCAATGGTTAAATGAGATAGCAGGGAAGGCATCTGAGCACAATGCCTGGCGTGCAGGCTGTTCGGTAAATGTGCATGTTCCTCTCTTTCCCTGCCTCCACCTCACCTGTTCTCAGCTTGGCTGGAGCAAGCAGTGAGGCTTAGGGTATTGGGAAAGAAGCATCTCTCCCAGAAGAGAGTCCTTCCCCAGAGACCTATCAGAGGCTCGGCAGCCCCAGGGAAAGGACCGACTGCCAAGGGAGCCTCAAGCCTCAGCCCAGCATCCCCCTCCCAAGCTAAGCAAAACATTGGGAGGCTTGGATCAGGAAAGACAACCCAGTTCCTTAGCAACTAACAAGAATTTCCCTGTAAAGACAAAGACCCTTCACTCAGAATGCTCCCTCCCCCTAGCCTCCCCAGGTGTCTGATCTGCTTTGCAGGAGTGGGGCTGGGGGCCTATCCAAGTCCCCAGGACATCTAGAGGCCTCTTGCCTCACCCTCCTGGCTGTCCTGATATTACCTGCAATTATCCCAGAACACCTTTCATCCTGGTTCTAATTAATTTTTCCACTTACCCCCAGGAGCTTCTGGGAGACACATGAGATACACACACATACACACACACACACACACACACACACACACACACACACACACACACACGAATGCCCATATTTTCCTTCTGAGACTCTCCATTTGAAAGACCTGAAAAGTATGGTTAGTGAAAGGAGCCCATTTTTTGAGGGGTTCTGTCTGCTGCCTCCCTGGTATTTGGAAGGAGAAATGAGAGTTGAAAATGGTGGTTCAGGGAGAAGGGAGGACAGGGTCCCAAGGTATCTTAGGGGATGAAGGACAACAAAGGGCTTTTAAAAGGACCAAGGAAACCCATGCTGGGACAGCGGTCTCAGCACCACGTGCCACCTCAGAGCCTCCAAGCACAGGTCGTCCTGCTTAACACAGAACATTTTAAATAAAAAAAAAGGAAATGTTTTAATAGTAAAGGAAAGGTTGAGAAAGAGTGGGAAACAGAAGGAAATAGAAAAGAAAAACATGGCTGTCTAGCCTGAAAAGAACCACTGACCAGGAGTCAAGATCTGATTCCAGTACCAGCTTCGCCATTCACTGCTGTGTGAGCCCAGGTTAGTCAGCCACTCTCTCTGGGTCTCAGTTTCCTCATTGATAAAATAATTTGGGACAGGTATTCTCTGACACCTCCTCTAGCTGAATGTTCTGCGATTCTATATGGGGAGTGGCAGAGAAAGCTATGACCACTCGCTGGGGCAGAGAGTGAGTGGAAGCCACTAGAATGGATAAAATAAGCATTTCCAGAATCCAGAATGAAAGAGAGCCAAGTGTATTTGGCTGCAGGAGCCAGAAAGCCCTCCCTAGTGGGAGGCCTAGGTTAAAAGGAGTTTACATATGTGGGAGCTGAAGACCCTGGGAGTTCCCAGAAGCAGCAGACAGGCCAGTTTCCCCCAAACCCAGGCCAGAGAAAACCCATTCAGGGGCCCTTAGCACCTCATGGAGGGAGGATGGAGGAGCGCATAGGCATGGGTCTGCACGCAGAGATGGAGAGCAGGATGCAGGAGCACACCCTGTATTCCTCATGAGCTGGGCTCCACACCATTGGCGTAAGTCAGCTGGGCAGAGAGGGGTGGGTAAAAGAGAAGAGGCTGACCGTGTCGTGAAGGAGCAGCAAGGCCACTGAGTCCTAACCTTGCTTTCCAGTCCCATGATGGAAGCAGGAGAGCAGCTGAGTGTGTTTCCCTTAGGGACTGGGCCATAGGGGCGGGCCTGGGAAGCACCCTGGAAGTTCAAACACCCTCCCCCTACCCCCACGACCCCCCACACCCACCAGCATGCCAGAAGAGCTGGACCTGCACCTTCAAATCACTGTAAAGAAACAAATACTTTGTACACATGCTGCGGCTGTGAAGCCAGCGCACAGTCAGCGCTTCTGCAGGACTTAGGGAGGCTCAGCTATGAGCCAATAATTGAATGCACCACAGAAAAAAAAAAAAAAACTTAGATCTCCACCTTCTTGGCCAAGCGCAGTGACTCACACCTGCAATCCCAGCACTTTGGGAGGCCAAGGTGGGTGGATCACTTGAGGTCAGGAGTTTGAGACTGGCCTGGCCAACATAGTGAAACCCCGTCTCCACTAAAAATATAAAAATTAGCCTGGCGTGGTGGCAGGCACCTGTAATCCCAGCTACTTGGGAGGCTAAGGCAGGAGAATTGCTTGAACCCGGGAGGTGGAGTTTGCAGAGATCACACCACTGTACTCTAGCCTGGGTGGTACAGCGAGACTCCGTCTCAAAAAAAAAAAAAAAGAAAAGAAAAGAAAAAGAAACCTAGGTCTCTGCCTTCTGGAAGCTCTTCTGCTCTTCCAGTGTGGTGGGAGAGAAGATGGACAGACCCAGAGGTGGCCAAGAGTTGTGTTGATGGTGACACCTGTGCAAGAGGTAAGAAGAGAGGGATAGGAAGGCTGGCTAACAAGGGAGGAGGGACCATTCCAAGCTGGGAGGGGACGGGAGTGGATGTAGCAGCCTATTGAGGGAGAAGGGAGCTTGAGGAGAGAGGCCTAAAATAAAGGACAAAACAGTTGCTGGCCCCAGGCTCATACCTGCAGTTCACTAACCTGCCCTCAAGCCCTGATCTGCTGATGGCACCTACAGCCCAGTATTTGCCCACATGGGCCCTAGTCACCATTGTCCAGAGCCCAGCTGTCTTCCTTCGCCACCCCCTGAGAGGCAAGCCCCGCCTGTCCACACGTAGACAAGTGTGTGTACACACATTGACACACACCTCTAGTCTATGCAACTTGCACATGCTTACTGTAAATACAACAGCCCACACAAAATCACATGGTGGATGTACCCGCTAGACACTCCAGGATATCGACTCTGCCAAGCTCTTTCTAGACATCCATGCAAGCTGTGTACACGTGCATTGCTCAGCATCCACAAATGCGGACATGGAATTTGCATGCACATGGGATCTCCATATATGCACTCCCGCCTTGTTCACAACCTGTACACACCCCAGCCCACCACTGATACAGAGACACACCTCCGTGTGGATTAGACTGAGGACCAGGCAAGGCCTAACCACAACTCTCACTTTACATCTTCTGATGCAGCGAGTGGATTTTTGACAGCGGCAGTGGAGGTTTCATGGAGGAGGGGGGACTGGGAGGAGTTTTGGGGGGTAAAGGGGAGGTTCTGGCAGAAGAAGGGAACTAGGCCTTCCCTGAAGTCCACCAGGAAGGCACCCAGACACATGCCCTTCCCCCCAGCAGCCCTACCTCTGGCCCCTTGCCTGCTGCCAGGCCAGGGAAAGGAGAAGCTAAAAGTGGCCAGTCTGAGTTGCTAAATTGGACCTTGGCAGAGAAGGGGAAACGCGTCAGTTCCCTGGGGAAGTGGCCGAGCCCAGAGCGGCCACAGGCCCCTGGGCTTCTACTCCAATGGAACAAAAGTTGCTCAAATAGATCTGACGCTTTGTTTTCAAACCCAAAATACCCTGTGGTGGCCGCCGGAAGTGTGACCGCGGGAGGGAAGTGGGGCAAGAGGGGAAGATTAGTTCGAGTTTCCATTGCGGCATACTTTTTCTTTCGTTTGGGGTCTAGAAGCACCTTTCCTACCGCTTGGAGAGAGTGTTTGTGTGAGAGGGGAGTGCGGCTCTGAGATTTGGGGCTGGGGGACCCACAGCGCGACGGCAGTCACCCTTCTTCCGCTGCCATCTCTCCCCACGGCTGGCTTCTGAAAACAACCCTGTCCTCACTCACTGTCAGAATTTCATCTCAGGCCACCTGGTGGCAGGGCGGCAAAGCCCACCCAGGGGAAGAGGGGCTGATGCCGGGGGTAAGGGACATGTCGCAGGTGACTTTGCCTTCAGAGACCAGACTTTCCCTTGTGAACTTTGACGCTTTTTTTTTTTTTAACAAAAATTCTGTTTACATAGAATTTTTCAAAGGGCACCCAGTACGTGAGGCCATAGCTGGACCAAAACACAGACCTACTTATTCAGACTCGGTCCTTTAATGACTACCAATGCTAGCTCCAAAATGCAAGGATTGCGGAAGAATTACAGGATCTCAACTTGTACTCCCCATCACCTTCTCTGCCCTTATCCCAATTTATTTATCTTCACACGACTTACCGGCACCTCACATATGTGTGTTTGTCTGTGTCCACCCTGAACACTCATTAGACCTGGACGTCCCCCCCCGGAAAGACTTGGACTTGGCTTTCATAAGTGCCATATCCCCAATGGCTTACCACACAGTAGGTGCACAATAAACAATTCTCAAATGTTGGGGGAAAATGGGAGAAAGAGAGGTCATCAGACAGTTCTCTTGTCTCACGTCACTTGTAAATTCAAACTGCTTCGGCGGCTCTACCCCAGCCTCTGGTGTCATGTCGGGGTGCAGTGGGCCTCCAGAAGGGAGAGTTGGGGGGTATGATAGGAACACAATACAAAATCAGAGCTCTGGCCCTTGCGGAAAAAACTTTTGGGGGAGAAGGGTGAGACAGACATTTATCAAAGGATACACAACTAAATGTCGAAAGGTAACTGGGGACGATTTCCGGCAACCTAGGAGAGGTATTTACGGTAACACCTGGAAGAGGGTACACCGGGAAGACTTTTCCGTGTGCGGAGACTGGCGGATGCTTGGGGTTTGACTCTGTGAAGGCCCCAAACCCTACCTGGCACCGCGTGGTGCCAGGTGAGGCGGGGGGTGCCTCCCCCTGGCACCCGGACACCAGGGATTCGAACCAGTCTCTGAGGAGGCCGAGCGGCGCCGCCCGCGGCCCGGGCGGCGGGGGGCGCCTGTGAACCCGGGCTGCGGTTCAGACGCGGCCGCGCGGCCTCGTCCCTGGGTGCTATTTACCGGCTTTTAATGACGGCAGGGTAATCACCCTAATGAAAAACGCCCTCGGGGCTCAGAGCAGCCAGACTGCGATGAGAAAACCGGGAGGCATCTCGGAGCAGCCGGTGAGTCACAGTGAGTATGCAGCGCTGGGCGCGAAGGACGCCCGGGTGCCCTCCCAGCCGCGCGCCACTCCCGCGCCGCCCCTGGAACGCGGAGAGCGTGGCTGCGTGCTGCAGGGCCGCAGGGTCTACGCCCCGGGCACCCCGACCCACCCTGGGAAACCCGGCGCACACCAGCCAAGCCTCCTGCAGACCCGACTTCTCCACTGCAACTTTTAGTCAGGCCTGCAAGGGGTTCCAGCACTACCTTCCTCCCTACTCATGGCCTGGGCTCCCCAGGGGCCTGGATTTTGAAGGGGCCACTCTCTGGTGTGTTCAAGACACCCCTGAAGATTCCAAGCTCTGCTGGGCTTCACATTCGCTCTCCTAAGGACCATTTTTCTGCCAGTGCCTCAGTTTCCCCAACTGAGTACCAGTAGCATAAGATTCTCCCCACCACCCTCCGCACCCTGCCCCCGGGTGGCAAGAGTATTCATTACAGTTTGTTCCTGGCTTTGAAGATGAGAAGTACCAAGGATCATTACCACTCAATTAACGGAGCTGTTACCACTGGAGTTTAGGTCTGATTAATCTGCCCCCTGCCCCCTGCCTTGGAGCCATGTTGCCCCCTGACACCCCTTCCTTGGACTCCCGCAGGCTCCTCCTTTCTCCTGGATTTCATACCTGGAGTTAGCCCCTTTCCTGTTCCTGCCAGTACTCTCGGGTCCTGAAAGAGTGTCTGCCACATTCAGTCTTCAACAAGTATTGTTGAGCTCCCCCAGAGCCAGGGGCTAGATGCTGAGGCAGGGCAGTGAAGGTCACAGACCCAAGCCTTCCTGGAGCTCACCTTCTGGTAGGTGCCCAAATGTCTATGTGGGATCCAGTGTATGTCCAGGGCTTCCTTCTGCCTTCCACCTCTCCCTCCAGGGTTCCTTGTTCAGACAACAAGCGATGGGCAGGCCTAGGCCTAGGCCAGGCACCACAGTCCCGGGTGGACAGTGCTAACGGGTTCTAGTTTCAGAGATGAAAACAACAAAGTTAACATAAAGAGGAGGGGAAATGATCACAGCACCTTACATGGAACACCCCCCACCCTTCCTCTCCTCTCCCCTTCTAATGGCCTCAGCCCCTCCTCAAGGTCTTGGTCACACGCCCCCTCTTCTATAGGGCCTTCCCCTCGCCCTGAACATCTCTCTCTTCCAAGCCTGCGGTGGTCCTTACCAACTGGAACTTCCTGCTTGTACCTCCTCTGGACGTGCATCATGTCTTATATGTGATATTTCCACTGAGCCTCATTCCACACTTCTCATTAAACTGTCTGCTGCCTGACAGCAGAATCCAAGTCTCAAGTTTGTTTCCTTCCACCAAGAATGCACGGGAGTTCTCCGTAGATGTTGCCCTCATTGAAATGAGAGAGCTAAGGCCTAGACCGGGAACGCTGCGCCCGCCGCAAAATGGAATTCTGGTGGTCAAGAGGCCCCCCATCCTGTGCTGTGAGGGTTAGGAGAGTCGGGGGTCATGGGGATAGAAGTAAAAGGACCAGGTGGGAAGGACAAAGTGGATTAGACTCCTACTCCAATCAATCATCCATCAGAATCACCAACTAGGACACTTGAATTGGGTCCACAAGTTCTTACTGAGTACTGCTTGGGGCCGGGCACAGTGCTAGGCACTGCGGAGACAAAGATGAGTGAGATTCAGTCCCTGCCGCTAGGGATCTTGGATACCATCTCTTGTCTTCAGTAACTTTCTGGGTGACCCTAGGCCAAGTAATTATGAGCAACCCAAATAATTCTCAGCGTCTGAGAGAGATCACGCCCCTCTTCCTTCGCCTATGCACCATGAGCCCTGGCAGGGAAGCCCATGCCATCAGTCAGAGCTTCCTAGCCAACGTGCAGCCCTCTAGTGGATTCCAGTTGGGCCAATATTGGCCTCAGGGGCCAGAGGCAGCCTTGGTTCTTTACTGCAGTGGCTGTAAAAAGTTTCATTTTCTATGAGAACTACAGCATGACAAAGGTCAGGAAGCGCTGCCTAAGTCATCTGGTGAAAGAGGATGCAAATGCCACCAAGGAGCTCCAATTCTGGGCCCCAAAGAGTCATTAACTGCTGTTCCCTGGATCCCAGAGTTTTGACTGCACAGAACAGCAAAGAAGAAACCAGAAGTCGGGCTCCATCCAGTTCCTCACCTGGGTGGATGAGGCCAGCACCTGATTGTTTTAGGCTGAGTAGGCTCCTGAAGCTGAGAGCTGATAAGAGACATTGATCTAGGGTTTGCAACTCTCTCTGGTTTCCCGAAGCTGTTTCTCACAGGGCAGGGAGAAGAGGAATCTGCCAGCCTTTGGATCAGCGTCTGTCCCATGGGCAAAGCCTTTATCCAGCAAGAAGCCAGCTGTGTGGCAAGCAATGGAGGTAAGAACGTGCTCTCATCTCTTTCGTCTCTAATACTCGGTCTTCTCTCTCACTCCCTCTTTGCTTCCCCTGACTGCGTCCTGCACCGTCCCCCCACACTCACACCTTTTCTGGTTCATTTCAAATCACGAAGTTCCTCTTTCCAAAAAGCCCCATCCCCAGAGAGTCCTTTCTGCAAAGACGCCCGTCCCTGCTGACTGAGAAGGGGCTCTCCTTGGGGCCCCCAGGGGGAATGACAGGACCTTCGGAGCACATGACCCCACTTACCCTCCCTGAACCCCTGAGCTAAGACAGCGAAGTTCCCACTACAAGCTCTCATCCCTCCTCCTTCTCCCTGAAGACCCCAGCCCAAGCCCTACAGAGCCCCTAAATTTCATTAGGAACTCTAACAGACGTCTCCTCTCAACCCTTCTGCAATAGAACCAGAAACTCATGAACAGAGCTGGGAGGAACTTAGAGGTAGTTTATCCCAGTCCAACCCCTTCCTAAAGGCCAGGAATAAGAAGGCCTTGGCCTAAAATCATAGATAATTCATAGCAGAACCCAGAACTCCTGATTCCCAGGCCAGGGCTAACACCTAACATTTACCCACACACCACACTTTGCACAAGTCTCACCTTCTAAGATCTTCCTTCTCTCCCTGCCCCAGCCCAGCCAGCCCCAAACTCTCATCCTCAGGACTACCCATGGCAGTGACTCGCTGTCTTGGACTTGTATCTTAGAAGAAGTCTCCAGGACAATCCACTTTGTAAATGTGGATTTTTCAGAAAAGTAAATGGTACTTTTTCTGGCCAGGCACGGTGGCTCATGCCTGTAATCCCAACACTTTGGGAACCCAAGGGAGGCGGATCACCTGAAGTCAGGAGTTTGAGACCAGCCTGGCCAACATGGTGAAACCTCATCTCTACTAAAAGTACAAAAAAAAAATGGCAAGGCGCGGTGGCTCACACCTGTAATCCCAGCACTTTGGGAAGCCAAGGTTGGCGGATCATGAGATGAGGAGCTCAAGACCAGCCTGGCCAATATGGTGACACCCTGTCTCTACTAAAAATACAAAAATTAGTCGGGCATGTTGGCGCACACCTGTAGTCCCAGCTACTCAGGAGGCTGAGGCAGGAGAATTGCTTGAACCCGGGAGGCAGAGAATTGCTTGAACCCGGGAGGCGGAGTTTGCAGTGAGCCAAGGTCACACCACTGCACTCCAGCCTGGGTGACAGAGCGAGACTCTGTCTCAAAAAAAAAAAAAAAAAAAGCCCTGGGTGTGGTGGTGGGCACCTGTAATCCCAGGTACTTGGGAGGCTGAGACAGGAGAATCACTTGAACCCAGAAGGTGAAAGGTTGCAGTGAGCTGAGATTGCACCATCACACTCCAGCCTGGAGGACAAGAGCGAGACTTCATCTAAAAAAAAAAAAAAAACAGGAAAAAAAAATGTTACTTTTTCTTTCTTTCTTTCCTTCTTTCTTTCTTTCTTTCCTTCCTTCCTTCCTTTCTTCTTTCTTTCTTTCTTTCTTTCCTTTCTTCCTTCCTTCCTTCCTTCCTTCCTTCCTTCTTTCTTTCTTTCTTTCTTTCTTTCTTTCTTTCTTTCTTTCTTTCTTTCTTTCTTCCTTCCTTTCTTTCTTTCTTTCTTTTCCTAGACAAGGTCTCGCTTTGTTGCCCAGGGTGTAGTACAATGGCACAATCTTGACTCATTGCAGCCTCTGCCTCCCAGATTTAAGTGATTCTCCTGCCTCAGCCTCCCAAGTAGCTGTAACTACAGTAGTGTGCCACCATGCCCAGCTAATTTTTGTATTTTTAGTAGAGATGGGGTTTCACCACTTTGGCCAGGCTGGTCGCAAACTCCTGACCTCAAGTGATCCTCCCACCTTGGCCTCCCAAAGTGCTGGGATTACAGGCATGAGCCACCTCATCCCTCCAGTAAATGTTACTATATAATAGGACTTTTTCTCTTTGGTCACCGGACTCTACCTGAAATTACTTAAAGTGTAATCAAAAATACTCTTATTTCAACATCATTATAATGCATTAGTTTGAATTTAGGCACAAACAGGTGTTTAGAAGAGACGTATGTAATTGGCTTGGAGAGGATCCGGTGGCCTCCGAGACAGCCTAGGAAAGGGATAGCCAGGTGCAGAGTGGCACAGTGGCCATTGCACCTACTGAGAGGCCCTGGCAGAAACAGTTCCTCCCTGATTCCCGTGGGAATGGTGAGTACCCTTATTCTCCTCTGGGCGATGGCTTCTCCCATGCCTCCATGCTGGGTCCAAGGGCGTGCTGGGGTGCCCCTCTCAAGCTTGCCTTTCTCCCACACGTTGATTTCTCCACAGACTTCATCCTGGTTCCTCCTCTTACCCACATCCACCACCCCTTTTCTTTCCCTTGACAGCCACAATGGGGACAAAGGATGGAGTTAAGAGCATTCGTTTTAAAGTCACACAGGACGAATTCAACTGTCAGACCAGCCAGGTAGCCTCCAGTAAGCTACTTGGACTCTTAAGACTTGAAAGGGCAGCCCTAAAGCCTTCCTCTCACAGGATTGTTGTAAAGAATGAAGAAAATTATGGCCTGAAACAGTGGCTCATGCCTATAATCCCAGCACTTTGGGAAGCTGAGTCAGGAGTATCACTTGAGGCGAGGAGTTGGAGACCAGCCTGGGCAACATATCAAGACCCCATCTCTACTGAAAAAAAAAAAAAAGTTTTTAATTAGCTGGGCATAGTGACACCCACCTGTAGTCCCAGCTACTGAGGAGGCTAAGGCAGGAGGATTGTTTGAGCCAAGGAGATTAAGGCTGTAGTGAGCCATGATCATGCCATTGCACTCCAGCGTGGACAACAGAACAAGACACTATTTAAAAAAAAAAAAAAAGAAAGAAAGAAAGAAAACTGAAGAAAATGAAATGTGTCCACAAGGCCTGGCCAAGGCAGGCATCAGATATCAGTTGCCCCCATCTTCCATGGCTAGAGCCCGGAAGCTCCTGCAGCTCCCGGGACTGGGCTCAGCTCCGACTCCACCAGGAGCACCAGCTTCAAGGTCTTCATGAAGCATGTGGGAATCTGTGGGGCTGCCAACAGCATTCCCTTCCTAAAACTTCTAGGCAAAACCAGCCTAGCCTCTGAGCTGGCTGTCATTATCCAAGAAATGACAATGACCTCTAGAACGCTAGGCAGGACTGGCCAGGAGGATTCCACTGTGACTTGTCCATCGCCTATGAAGCCCTGTGGCACACCCCAAAATGGAAAGCAACTGAGGACCCTCAAGAGAACTGCCATTCAGGAGCAGTCCCACCAGGGTGGGTTCCGTACACAGGTGCTTGGTGTGATTGGAGGAACCGAGATACTCTCTGCACCCCAAGTCTCCCACTCCTTGACTCTGATATGCCACAACCAGATGTCATCTCACCAGCATTCATGAGCACCTACCACTTTCCAGGCACCACGCTGAGTATTGGGCTTGATTCCTCTGGGTTATATATTACCACCCCTAAGCGTTTTCTTTTAAAATGCAAACACCCTCTGAGAAGGGCAATGCATTAGTTAGATTGCTCACACCGCAGACTGAATTAATTCAGGGTATGGGGAGTTCTTTATTATAAGATATCAGAGAAGGACTAGATATCTTTAGCAAACGGGGCAGCTAAAGTTCAGAGGGCAGAGGTGACTACAGAAAAAAGGACCAAGACAGCTGTAACTTTGCATTTTTCTACAGTGGATTTCAGTGGCCACATCTCCTTCCTCCTTTGTCCTTAATCAAGACAAACATGCCCATGCCCATAACAAGCAGCAGCAGTCCCCATAAGTGCAGCTGATGAGTTGGACTCCATAGGAGAGAGCGGCCAGGGGCTGGCAGCCCTGGCTCTGCTGCAGAGGAGCCGGCCTGCCTTTCACCATCTCCAGGATGAGGACGCCCTGAATCAGTGCCTACTCGCTCCCCAGCAAGTTCAGGGCTTAGAGTTCAGGTAATTAGGCCCTTGGCAATCTCACCTGAGCCCGCCAATAAAACAGACAAACACCTTCAGCTCCTGTTCAGGAGGGAGAGAGGAAACCAGGAGGGAGGAAACCAGGAGGGAGGAAGGGAAGGAGGAAAACTTTTTTCTATTCTAAGGCTTGGCAACCGGAAGGGAGAATTCATTTACAAAGCAGCCACTCCAACACCCCACTCCTGCTCCACACCCAGGGTTGTCCCCTCCTGCCACAGAACCCTGGACTCCATCTGCCACCATCATCGAGGATGACAGGGGACATCTTTGCAGGCTGCAACCTGAACAGGCACTGGGCACTGAGGGCCTAACCTTGTAGGGCAGGCATTCGCCAGCATGGTTCCTTCCAGCAGAGGAAAGAAGGCTCCCTCCCATTCCAGGAGCCACACCACCCCCAAAAGATGTCTGAAAGGCTGCTCCAGAGTGTTAGAGAGCAACTGAGTGACTTCTTTGAACCCTGCCTTGTGTCACCACCAGCTGTTGAGGGCTCAGCTCAGTTCATGTCTGGGCTCCTTCAGACCGGGGACCATTCCTTAACCATCCCTGGATTGGGACAGTGCCCAGGAGATACTAGGCACACAGATTTCGTTTCCCCCCCTAAATAATCAACATTATTAATACTTCTTGCATATGATCACGCTGGTCTGTGATGGAGTTCCATACCTGGCCTTTTTTACTACCTATATCATCTAAATTTACTCCTGCCACACACGAGAGGGAAGGGCATATCTGTCACAAGGCTGGGTGGGGAAGAATAGTTTAACAACAATTGCAGTTTATCGGGTGCTTGCTTAAGGGACTGGCAAGTACTCTATGAGGATTATCTAATTTAATTATTCCTAAGGGGTAGATACTATTATCCCAATTTACAGACAAGGAAACTGAGGCTAAGAAAAAAAAAACAGACGTTTGCCCAAGGTCACAGTGAAGCTTTAATGAAGACTTTAATTGAATTGAAGGCTCCCGTTTTATGCAAAGAACTAGTAGAAAGGAGAGGGAAGGAATCGTGTCCCCAGACTCCTATCCAATCTTGCTGACGGGTAAGCAAGCCCTGGTGCAGGTCAGCAAACCTTGCCCCATGCTCTTCTACTTGGAAGCAACAAGTCCAGCGTGCCGAAAAGTGTTGGGAGAGAGGCCGTCTCCTCCAGTTGGGAGTGGCTGCACTCCACAGCCTCTGGGGCCCTGGAAGCTTAAGGATCCCAAATGCTTCCACTGCCTCTGCCTTTCCCAACTCAGGCCCCAGTCGAACAGGATAAGGGCTTCTAGCTCCTCACTCTGCAGCCCCTCCTGGGGAGAGATCCTGACAGGTGGAAAGTGGGTGCATCACGGTGGGGTCCTCCGGAGTTGAGCTGGGCGGCCCGGAGGCCTCTCACTTCCTTCCCACCACCCCCGCAGGCTGAGCTCTGCCTCGCGCGGGGAGACATGGGCACTGCAGCCTTCGGGCCTGCAGCTCGCCCAGGACCGCGGACCCCACAGCGTCTCCCGGCCCCAGGCAGGAACCCGTGGAGACCCTCCGCAGCCTCCGGGTGCACGCGCAGCAGGAAGCACTCTGGAGGGGCCAGGTCTGGGACTGGCGCGCCCGAAGCTCGCTGGTTGCCGCCCCTCCCTGGCCCTCCCTGCTGCCGGGCTCTACGGCCAGAGGCCAGAGCCGCTGGCTAATTTTTCAGGCCCCCACCCCCACCCCCACCGCCTCCCTGGGTGACGCTACAGCCTGTGCGGTTCCTTTAAAGGCTGCGGGTTCCGTTCTTCTTTCCTTTTCCACTGGATGCCAAAATATGCAAATCTTGGGACCGGAATCTGCAGCCAAATCGAGAAGGAGAAGGGGCGCGGCCGGCGCGTCACCGGATCCGCTCCTTGTATGGCTCTTCCCGGCTTGGCCCGCCGCCCTGCGACCCTCCCCGCAGCCGCCCGGGCCCCTCCCGCACCTAGCCCGGCTCACACCGCCGCCCACGCCCCCCGACCGGCCGCGCGCCCCCCCTAAGGGAGGGAGCCGGGGGCGGGAGGCGCAGCCTGCCCTGATTCTGACCGGAGCGCGGGACCGCTGCAGCGCTCTCCCTCCCTGAGCCGCGCTGGCGGAGGACAGCCCGGGGGGCGCTGTGGCTCCCTAGTATAGGAGTGGGGAGCCTGGCGGGAGAGGCGGCGGGGGTGGAGAGAGGGGGCTCGCGGGAGGCGGGAATCCCTCCTTTCCTAAGAACTGGAGAAGATGGGGGGAGGCCGGGCCCTCCGGTCCCCAGCCCTCCACTGAGTGGAGGGGAGGGGAGGGGAGCGAGGTTGTCATCCACCTCCACCACAACGTGCAGCTCGGGAGTTCCTCCCACACGTCCCCGGCCCGCGTGGCCCTCCCACGGCGTGAGGCCCGGGGATCCTCTCTTCTTCCTTGTCAACACTCCCACTCCCCCCGAGAAATGCACGTTCCCCCAACCCCGACTCCCCAGGAGGGGACGAGGGATTCACCGCGCCCACGCGGCCACCGAGGAGGGAATCCTCCCCCGCCAAGCCGATGTGATTTGGGGTCGCACCCCCATGCTCCCGCCCTCTCCTCCCCCTCGCCCGCGGGCCGGCTGCGCGCGCCTCGGGAGCAGGCCCCAGGGAGCACAGCAGCCGCCCCCGGGATCTGCTGCCGCTCCGGGAGGTGAAAGCGCTCCGGGTCGGCACACAGGCCGCCCTTGACTGCGGAGCGCCGGCAGGCAGCAATGGGGACAGCCCTGTGGAAGGCGAGGGGGAGGGCAGAGACTAGGGGAGGCCCCCAGTGGCTCAGAGACTGTGGGTTCGGCGTCCTCCTTCTGGAACTCTGGCGGGCCCTTCGCAGGCAGCAGTAGACAGCGACTGCGCCCGGGCCTGCTGGGCCCTCCTGCCATCCTGTGGCCACAGAGGCTGCTTGGAACCGTTAGGGAATTTACTGGGGATTCAGTGCACGTGTTTATCTATCCCTTCAACTTCATTCTTTCCTCTTCACCACGAAAACCGCACATCCTCGACCCCATATGGATGGGGCTCTTGTCTTTGGCGCAACTGCTGGGGTGCTCCGAATCTCCTCGCCACTGCGCTCAGCCTAGAGTCAGCGCCGGGTCAGGGGCCCAGGGAGGGGCAGGGGCGGCGAATCAGAGTGAAGTTGGCACAAAAGTTCTTGGGATATTGGACCAAGGAATTCTGACAAGTTGAAACACCCCCCCAACCCTGCGCGCACCCCTCCTTCCCCCCACAAAGGGAAGCACTCCCTTTCTCTTAATCTCGGATAGGATCCCGAACGCTGGAGCCGCTGAGGTAGCAGGGGCGCAACGCACGCCTTCCGGGTTCCCCAGCAGTTCCCGGGCTGCAAAGGGATTTCGCCAGATGTTTTCAACTCTCTTTCTAACTGCTGGGGTGTTGGAGACCACTTGCAAACAACCCCACCCCACCGCCCACCTCTCCCCAATGCGCTCTCCTAACGCAAACCTCAAATAAACACACACAATGAGTTACTGGTGTTTCGACTCCACGCTACGCGCTTTGCGCTTTGCATGCAGCTGTATCCTTCTTTCCTCTCTCTTCTCGCATTCTTCTTGTTTCTTCTCCCCTTCTCTTTTTTTCAAGAGCCGCGAGCGGTGCGGGCGCCGCACGTTGGCTGCGGCCCGCTTCCTGCTTTCTAATGTTCCATTGTGAGGAGCTTCCATTGTGACGTCGCGCCCCTTCGGCTGGGCTTTGTCTGTCCATATATGGGCAGCTACGTCACGGAGCTTTCCCGGGGCTCAGATAAATAGGCTGGTGGAGTTCCCTGGCTGGGAGCTTTTGGGCAGCAGTGAGCTTGCTAGGAAGCGGCGGGGCTGGTGGTGGTGGTAGCAGCGGCGGCAGCGGCGGCAGAGGCGGCGGCGGCGGCGGCGGCGGCGGCGGCGGTGGCGGTGGCGGTGGCGGTGGCAGATCGGGGGGCGGGGGGGCGGCGGGCGCGTGTCTGTTTGTGAGATCAATACTGAGGCCGCGTCCGACCCCCTTGAGCCGAGATCCCCCCCCAGCCCAGCCCCCACCCCACCCCCCGCACACGCCCCACCCCCCCCACGACCCAGCCTCATACCGCACCAGCTGAGGCACCCAAGAGGATTACCCCCTGGGGCCCTCTCCCGCCCCCCAAAAAAGAGAAGATCCCCTCTCCTGGCCCATCCCTTCCCTTCTTCCCTCCCCCCTCCCCCCGAACTTTCCCTCTCGCATGCTTTTCCCCTGCACCACGGATCGCCTCTCGGATGCCGCTTGCCTGGAAGCTGCGTTAGGAGCGAGCGGCGGCGGTGGCGGCGGTGGCGGCGGCGGCGGCAGCTCGGGAGTGCTATGACCGGCAAACTCGCCGAGAAGCTGCCGGTGACCATGAGCAGTTTGCTAAACCAACTGCCTGACAATCTGTACCCCGAGGAGATCCCCAGCGCGCTCAACCTCTTCTCCGGCAGCAGCGACTCGGTAGTCCATTACAATCAGATGGCTACAGGTAAGGGCGGCGGGGAGGCGGCGAGGCAGCGAGGAAGGAAGGGGAGAGGAAGAGGAGGAGGGGACGACCTGGTGATGGATGGATGGATGGATGGATGGATGGATGGATGGATGGGTGGATGGGTGGATAGATAAATGGATGGAGAGATGGGGGCGCGCTGGGAATTTTGCGGGGGGCGAGTTGCTTTTCCCACCCACTCCTCCCGCCCTCCTCGATCGAGAAGGCTAGGTTGGCGACGCCACGGTAGAGGCTTCGGTTCTCCCGGGTGGGGGCAGCCGCCGACCGGAGGGAGGTAGGTGCGAGCGGCTCTGGGGTTCTCCCTCACCACGCAGG
Source organism: Homo sapiens (assembly GCF_000001405.40). NCBI lineage: Eukaryota > Metazoa > Chordata > Mammalia > Primates > Hominidae > Homo > Homo sapiens. The sequence continues at coordinate 22,692,457 of NC_000008.11, read as the reverse complement.
GGGCCCGATCGCCGGGCTACGCGCAAGGCGTGGTGCTGTCGCCCTCTTCCCGGGAGGAGCCCGGCGTCTTTTTCACCCGCGCTCTCCCCCCTTACTCCCTCAGCCTCCCACCCGGGATGGAGCCATGTGCGGCGTGGAGTCCCCGCGGTGGGAGAGGTACTGCGACGCTGCCTTTCCGGGGCGTTCAGCAAAGCCGTGGGGGTGTGGGGACGGCGGGGAGAAGGAGGGGGTTCACCCGCGGGGCGAGGGCCTGCCACGGGGAACGATCCCGGGGCCGGGGAGCTGGGGAAGGGCGGCCTCTCCCGCCATGGAGACACCGGCCGGTTTTCCGCCGCTCTCCACCCTCCCTAGCTGGGGCTAGGATTTTCCCCTCCAGCAAGAGCCTAAAGCTCCTTCATGCCCGAGGAGGCTGGGGCCGGGGTAGGTGAAGGGAGAGCTCCCTTTGAGGGCGACACCCTTCTACGCTCCGAGGACAAAGCGTCGGAGCGCTCTGGGTCGGCGACCCGGGAGCAGCGCGCGTGGGGGGCATCGCCGGGGAGGGAAAGGCGCGGCGTCCTGGAGCGGACAGGGCCAAGGGAAGAGGCCGAGTTGTGTGCGGTGGAGAGCGAGAGCCCAGCGCGCTCCGGGTCTGAAACTACCTGTAGCTGCAGCTACCTGCCCGCCCCACCTCGGGAAGAACAACAATGCTTCTCGCGCGCGCGCGCGTGTGTGTGTGGTACGTGAGTGTGTGCGCGGCTTGTGCGCTGTGTGTGCAGCAGCCACTCCACACCCCGATCCGTAGTATTTTGCTATATCCAGGTTGCGCCCGGGAGCGCGGCACCGCCCGCTTTGCGCGGGGCTCAGCGTTCCTCTTACCCCATGCGCTACGCACTCCACCCGGCCGCACCCTCCGCACCTGGGCAAGGACCTGGGCGCCGCGGCCCGGAGCCGGATCGGCTTCACTCACCCCTCCCCTCTCTCCCCCGCTCTCCGCAGAGAATGTAATGGACATCGGTCTGACCAACGAGAAGCCCAACCCGGAACTCTCTTACTCCGGCTCCTTCCAGCCAGCCCCCGGCAACAAGACCGTGACCTACTTGGGAAAGTTCGCCTTCGACTCCCCTTCCAACTGGTGCCAGGACAACATCATTAGCCTCATGAGCGCCGGCATCTTGGGGGTGCCCCCGGCTTCAGGGGCGCTCAGCACGCAGACGTCCACGGCCAGCATGGTGCAGCCACCGCAGGGTGACGTGGAGGCCATGTATCCCGCGCTACCCCCCTACTCCAACTGCGGCGACCTCTACTCAGAGCCCGTGTCTTTCCACGACCCCCAGGGCAATCCCGGGCTCGCCTATTCCCCCCAGGATTACCAATCGGCCAAGCCGGCGTTGGACAGCAATCTCTTCCCCATGATTCCTGACTACAACCTCTACCACCACCCCAACGACATGGGCTCCATTCCGGAGCACAAGCCCTTCCAGGGCATGGACCCCATCCGGGTCAACCCGCCCCCTATTACCCCTCTGGAGACCATCAAGGCATTCAAAGACAAGCAGATCCACCCGGGCTTTGGCAGCCTGCCCCAGCCGCCGCTCACCCTCAAGCCCATCCGGCCCCGCAAGTACCCCAACCGGCCTAGCAAGACACCGCTCCACGAACGGCCCCACGCGTGCCCGGCCGAGGGCTGCGACCGCCGTTTCAGCCGTTCGGACGAGCTGACCCGGCACCTGCGCATCCACACGGGCCACAAGCCCTTCCAGTGCCGGATCTGCATGCGGAGCTTCAGCCGCAGCGACCACCTCACCACTCACATCCGCACTCATACGGGCGAGAAGCCCTTTGCCTGCGAGTTCTGCGGGCGCAAGTTTGCGCGCAGCGACGAGCGCAAGCGCCACGCCAAGATCCACCTCAAGCAAAAGGAGAAGAAGGCGGAGAAGGGCGGTGCACCCTCTGCATCCTCGGCGCCCCCCGTGTCGCTGGCCCCCGTGGTCACCACCTGCGCCTGAGGATCGGGCCCCCAGATCCCCACTTTTCCCCTCCAGTGCCTCCCGGCTGCTAGCCTGAAAGCAGCGGGAAAGCCAGCCACGGAGGCGTAGGGGCCGCGCCCTGGCCTCTCCATGGACGTGCGGCCCCTTGCTTCCCCTTCGATGCCCCCGGTTCCCAACCTTTCACGCCGGCCAGCGGTCAGGGGCCAGGGCTGGAGGCGCCTTCCCCTCGCGGTCCCCCACTTAGCCAAGGCGTGGGGGCGGAAAGGTGGCGTCTAGCCCGCTTTGTTCAGTTCGGATCGCCTTGATCCAGGGGCCGCCGGGCCGCGCCAAGGACCTGCAAGGGACTGAAGGCGGAGCCCATCCAACCCTCGCCCGACCCAAACACCTCATTGTTTCCCCCACGTCTCCCTCTATACCCCCTCGAAGACTCGAGAGGGGGAGGGGGTAAGGAGCGCACCAAAGCGCAGAGCTTGCTGCCCGCCGCACGCACGCGCGCCTGCGTGCGGGGATGCGCGCGAGTGTGTGCGTGCTCGCGTGTGTGTGTATGTGTGTGTGTGAGTGTGTGTGTGTGCGCGCGCGCAAGCGTGTGTGTTTAAGACTCTTGAGCTGAACTGGGCTGTGTTTACCCCAAACTCTTCCCCACCTCGGGTCCCCAAGCCGCTGGGAGATGTCCCATGCTGGGGGTCCGCACGTGGCTGGAGGAGGTGGTCTTCCATCCGCTCTGAAATCATGTTTCTTAGAGAAATGCCTCGGATGCCGCCGACGCGGTGCTGCTGCCGCCGCTTCGGGTTTGGCCCCTCAGAACCCCTCCTTTTCTGAGCGCTTCCCTCTTAGGCCTCAGGGCAGTTTGATCTGTGGGGAGAAAGAGCAGCCATCGCTGAGCCTGCCTTTTAAAATATATGTGTATTTCCTTAGCCCCACTCTAAGAAATCTATGTTCCTGAGTTTGCCCCCTGCCCTCCCACTCCTTCCCCTTCTCCCCTCTAAACCTTCTCCCATCTCTTTCAAAATCTTTTCCCAGAAAGGCAGGCTTCAACCAGCCACTCCAGCTTTGTGTCTTCTCTCAATTACATAGCAATTTCTCCTTCCCACCATCATGGGGAAGCTGGCTCTGCTTTTGCCCTTTGTCATCACCAACACAACAGATAGAATTTAAATATAAGTATATGGTGTGCGTGTGTATGTATGTGTATGTATATGCATGCATGTGTATAAAGATGCACATGCGTACATATACATAACATACACACAATATGTATTCCTAGCAAAATAAAATCTCTAAGGTACTTGGTTATCCAGTGCAGTGCACCGGAATAAAGAGAATTTGTAGGCGTATACAGCTTTAAATGATTTATTTTTTATGAAAATGTTAACTGATGAGATTATATCTACATACGTGTGTTATGTGTGTGGATATAGATGCACACATATCTGTACATATACATGTGAGTGTACATATATACACATATACACATCTATGTATGGATATGTGTGTATACACATATACACATCTCTGTCCAAAATTTCCTCAAAGATATGGGGATTTTTTCATGAATCCATGTGGATGAATGAGGTGTCTCCTTTCCATACCCAGTCTCACCTTCTCCCCACCCTACCTCACCTCTTCTCAGGCACCCCTCTTCCCCAGCTGTCCTGCCAGCCCTTCTCGTACAGGGTGGCTCCTTTGAAGTGGAGTAATAGGGAAGGTTGCTCTCTGCCACAGCTTGCAGCATGGTCTTGACTGAATGTACTGTTCCTGTTAGCGTTACTTCTCCTGTGGTCAGTAAGTTGCCCAGAGAGAAGGAACAAAGGTCTGGAGTTTACAGAATGTCTGTTTTTAAAGTCACTTTATGCGTTTTCCACTTTTTTCTTTTTTAAGAAAAAGAAGTACCATTTTTGTTTTGTTTTGTTTTGATTTTTGGTGGTGGATAAATAATACTAAAAGGACTCTAGTGGAAAGGGGGGATATCGAAGAGCAGGGGGTTGTGAATTTCCAGGTACTTGGACTTTTTGTAGAAGGAGAGAGAAGAAGATGAAGTTTGCCAGGAGGGCCCATATTTTTTCAGCTGAAGGGTAAAATCTTTCTTTGCAGAGACAGTATTTTGCTGAATACTTTTTATAATGTGATGATTATTAAAAAAGCAAAAATTTTGGTCACTTCCAAGCTAGAAGGAGGAATCAGATACCCTTTAATATTTTTTCCTCGCTCCTTCTGGTATATGCATGTCACTGCATGATAATTGAGTTTTCCTTTGTTTTAATAAAACTGTTCTCAGACATTAAGCTAAACTAAGAGAAAAATAACTTTGTTGCCAAAAGGTTGTGCTATCCAGATTTTTTATATGTCTGCATGTTTAAAAAAAAAAAGCAACAAAAGAAAATGCACTCTAACTTATGTGAACTGAGAGAAAAAAATCAGGTTTTAAACAGGAAAACCTATGGGGAATGATATTTTTTGAAAGACTTTTGTATAAAGTTGAGTACTTAGAAAAAAGACAAACCAGATGTAATATATTTTGTGGATGTTTTTATTTCTTGGATTTATAGTACCTTATACTAAGGTTAAAAAAATATGCTTGATATTGTGAAAAGGTGAAATTCTTCACCAACATTTCATTTGCTCCTTTGTCATATTGTAATGCCAATATAATATAGTTAATGAAAACAGCATTTTTAAAAACCGAAATATTGAAATGGTGTAATGTTGTACCATTTGCACTGTGAGCAAATGCTAATACAGTAAATATATTGTGTTTGCTGACAATCAGCCGGCCTATAAATCTCCTTATTTTATTTCTTGTTTTTATAGCATAAAGCTTTAGTTTGGCCTGTTTTTTGTCTTGGTTTGTTTTTGGCTGGTGGTTTGTTTGATAGGTTGTTATGCCTAATTTTGCTGTTCTTCCTCTGAAAACTCTCAAAGTGGAAATGTGGAACTTGGTGTTATTCGAAGTAGGTCAGAATTTTGTGCAAGGTTCTGGTGTTTCAAATAGTTTTGAGTGTTTACTGTGGTACCAGGAGAATAGAATTCCCCTCCACCCTTCTGTAAGCCTCACACTGCCAGAGGGATTAGGCGAACAGGTTAGGTAAATTCATGGGAGTCAGGGCTGGTGACTGGGAATCTTCTAGAACCTTCTTTCCAGCTTCCAATGGGTATTTGGGGGTAGAAGGGAGGAGATCTCCCGGTTTATGAACAATTTCTCTAGAGACAGTCTTAGGGAATGCCAGAACAGGACCCTGGAGGGCCTGTCAGCCACACTGAGTAGTTCTCTTGCCAAAGCTTTTGAAGCCTGAAAAACAGGTGGAGACTTGACCGAGGTTCTTCAGGGTTGGCAAGATGACCAGAGAGATTGGCAGCTCTTCTGTGGTCAGATAACTGGAAAAAAATCAGGTTTTAAACTTCTATAATTTTAATCCCGCTTGGATGGGATTCCTCTAGGCCTCACTATTTGGAGCTGCCTGGTAAAGGTGAACCTCGCTGAAAACCAGCTCCTATGAATGACCCAGGGATCCAATGCCTTGAAAGGAAGAAAGGACATTTGGGATTTGGAGAACACACAGGGAATATTTGCATAGCCTCAAACTGCCATACCTTATGATTTCTACCTCCCATAAAAGCAATGCTTCTCCTATCCTCCAAGCTGTCTTCCCTAGAACATTCCTCCTCCTTAACTTAATTTGCCAGCCCTAGAGCTGTCTCCATTTCTCTTGAGGAAAATGTAACCTCCACTTCTTTCCTGTGTCTGCATCTGCATTTTGCACCCCTCACCTTGTTCCCCATAGTCCTTGGAAGGCTTTATCCCTTGAGGCTTGTTGTAGAGCTGTCTTTGCACAAGTCAGTCTTTGCTCTCTCCCCTTCTTCCCGCCTGCCCTCTAAAAAAAACTCACCTGGGTTCCTCTGCAGTGCATTTCACATATGATCTGCTTCACCCAGGTTTAGGGGCTTGGTGTATAATGCTGCGCTATACCCCACCAGATTGTATAAATGGCCCACCAGCTTGTGACTGGAATCTGTATCTCAGACCCTGAGGTGCCGACCAGGTCAGCCACAAAGCAACAGAAATGTCGTGTCCCTGCTCAGAAACTGCTCTTCGGCATCCCCAAGGCAGCCCCATCACAGAGAAAAATATGGGTGGTATTTCTGGTTGGCTATAGTTACCAAGAAGTTGAGGCCAGACCTGGGCGTAGGAGGTAGGCTGTGGCCCTAGAAAAGAATGTTTTTGAAGTGAGAGATGAAGAAGGAGAATGCAGTATGGAATCTTAAATTTTCCCACCCACACAATTTTAGGTCACCGGCTGCCATCTTGAATTCCCTTCTCTTACCTCATGAAACTTCTAAAATTTCAGACTGTGGCTTCAATAGCCTCATAGAAGTGTCCTTCCTTTTTAACAAAGGGAATCCAAGATGGCGGAAAGGTCCTAACATTGAGCATATAATCCATCTCTTTGCTAAACTAGATGTTTCCTTCCAGATTTCTATGTATTTCTCAAGTGAGTAGTATGGGAGGAAGATACTGTCCCTGACTGTCTTCATAGTCAGCATCCAGCCCCACCTGCACCTTCTCCAATCAAACCAGGCCTTCGGTGTTACACTTTCATCAACAGTGTACTATGCTGCATGATTAACAAACTCACTATCCATTGGTGGATATTACTCAACCCAACCTGGTTCAACCACTGGGTTACTTGGCAATATGGCAGTCCGCCAGGCTGGCACCAACCCTGTGTGATGTAATCACTGATTCACACTTTGTAGCTAGATAAGACTGTCCCAGATAGCATCACACCAGCTACCCAACCCACCTGGGTTTTGTAAATATGGGGAGAGGAGACTCAACCCTGAAACTCAGGGATGAAGTAGGGAGAAGGTGGAGGGAAGGCCTAGATGGGGCTATCATGGGAGGGAATCAGTAGAGGCTTTGCAATGAACAGGCCCTGTGCCCTAGGGCAAAATCAGGCATCAAAGTAGGGAAGGGGTAGAGGCATAGCTCCTTCCAAGAACCCCTGGGGTGTTTGGGGATGAATGAAAGGATGCCCCCCTCCCCTCCCCGCGCGCGCGCGCGCGCGCGCACACACACACACACACACACACACCACTTGGGAGTAGTGTACTGAAAGTGATGACTCTTTGCAAAATTGTACTTGGTGAACTGGAGTTGAGTATAAATGAGCTACTTAGAGAGAACATGGGGCAAGGCATGGCATACGTTTTTGTGTGGTGTGTGGTGGAACTGGTAGTGGCGAGTGTGTAAGTGTGTCTTTATTCACAAGCATGTCAAAAAGAATAGCAAGGTGGATTCTGGTGAATGAAGGTAATAGCTCGTGGCCAGTTGTCATTGATCTCCTTTTGCTAATCCATAATTTGCTTGTCATAAATGAGGGGGTTGTGAGCTGCCTTCTCCTGGCCCTGATTGGCTTCCCTGGTGTTCTGGAACAATAAGCCTGGGGAAAGCAGGAGGCCTCTGTGTGTCCCAAGAGCTAGAAATCATACTGGCAAAATCTTAAGGACAAAGGGAAATAACTGACTGTCTAAAAGGTGCCATGGGGTTTTAAAAATAGGTCATAGTCCAAGATCTATCCCAAGGGGTTCTTTTCGGAATAACCATTCTTTGTGAGGAGAAGAGAGGGTTCTCCAGAGGAAGGGGAAGAAGGCCCTTGATCAGAGCAGTCCGTGGGTCAGCCCCATGGACCACACAGTCTTACTCACCAGTCAGACATCCGCAGAGGCCAGGAGAGCCCCTGGCCCTGGAGCCTTCTCCCAGCACGTCAGCTGTTGAGGTGTCACCATTCTTTTGGCTTGAATATTTCCATCAACTCCATCTCTAATATTTTTAAAAATTGGTCATTTTCACAGCCCCATGTGAGAACAGGAGTAGGCCAGGGTGGGAGGTAGTGTCATGAAGCTTTCCCCAATTTACGATAAAGCCTCTGACGTGTCCATGCCCGGGCAGGATAGGACCAGGCCCTGACTGTTCCTGCTCCGGAAGAGTCCCCATCCCCATCACAGCTGGTTCATCTCTAGCCTGGAATTGGGGCAGTTCCTGCCACCACCTCTCCTGGCTACCACCAGCCTCTGACCCCAGGCTGGAAACACTATTTCTTCCCCTCTAGCAAACACACAGATGCCTAGAAGGATGTTTTCTGAGCAATTTTACCAGGGAGCTAATGCAAACAGAACATGGCTACAGAGCTGCAAACAAGAAGAATGTCAACAAAAATGTTCTAACTTCTAGGCTGGGTGGGAGCCAGACTGTGATTCCATACAGCTTCTTTCCTACTGCCTACCCGCTTCCGGGTCTTGCCTCCTCCAGGGAGACCCCCAGTGCATTCTCTCAGGACATGTGTGGCTTCTCTGGTTTACCGAGACCCTGCTCTGCTCCCAGGGTCCCTGGATGACGAAGGTCCTTCCTCTAGGCCTCAGAAATGCCTTCCCGGGCCCCCAGGCACCCCGTGCTGCTCCTATCAACCCTTCCTTCACCCCATTCCTGGGAAACTCTCGGGTTCCACACCCTCCGATCCTATCCTTGCTCCGATGGTGCCCCTGAGCCCTGCTCATGCTGCTTGGAGCACAATGGCTGTCCTTTGGGTCAGCCCTTCTCACCAGGCCTGCCCAGGGCCTGCAGCCTTCTCTACTTGGGCCGTTTGTTGTGGCATCATGACCCAACCAGAAACAGACTGCTCAATCATAGACTTGTTGTTTGGGATTCCCTTTTGGGTCACGCACTGAGTTCCTAGCTAGAGTTTCAGGAATGCCTCCAGCTGTCAGCTCCCTAGAGGAATAGAGATGTCTGTCACCCTTGAGTCCGGGCACACCCCAAGCCCTCTTCAGGGGTACCTATCCTTGTCTATGGGCCTGTATTCTCTGAAATGGCTCACCCCAGAGGTGACCATTCACTCACCTAGAATCCATCAGTACCCTGTTCTCACCAAAGACAGAGAGGTTAGTGGCCAGAACAGAACTGAGCCTTTGAGCCCTTTGGTATCTTTTCCACAACAGGCTGCAAGAGCTCTCACACTTTTTTTTCCTTGGCGTCACCCCTCCACATTGTCCAGATGCCTGACAGTCTTCCATTCCTCCCCGTTCCTTTCTCTGCACTGCTTAGGAAGGTCAGGTTGGTCCCAGCAGGAGGGAGAGAAGAAAACTTCCAGTACCCGTGGAACCCCAGGGTGCTAATGAAAGTCTTCTTTTGGGTACTTGTTACTTACTTAGGTTTCAGTCCTAAAAATGAAGAGGCAGTTTGATAACCTGGCAGCTACTCTGGTTTTTCTCCTGGGGCCCTTAACCCACTTTGGGACCATCGCCTCCCTCCTACATCTGAATCTCAACTCTGCCACTTTCTGGCAGTGTGACTCTCAGAAACTTCTTAGTCTATGTGACCCATTATTTCCTCTTGTCTTATCATTGCTGTTGCGGAGTTTAAATGAGATACTGTGTATGGTGCCTGGTTCATGGTGGGTGCTCCATCAATGTCATTTATCTTCCCTGTCCCTTACCCCGTCCCCTTCCTCCAAACACAGTGGCAAGAAAACAGGCTCTGTCTCCACTGGGGATCAGTACATCAATTCAAACAACCAGGGGACCTCGCGGTCCCTGCCACCACTCCCAGCCCCTACCATCCACTGCTTATCTGTGTTCTGAAAATAGATCCTCTCCACCCTACCCCCAATCCACTCGAGAGAACATGAGTCCTTTCCCCTCTTGGCCACAGCCAAAGTTCATTGTTGTAATTTCCTGGCCTAATTCCTGACCCCTCCTCAGGTCCTTTTGTCCCATCTCTCTCGCTGAGATGGGTGGATGGGACACCTTCCTGATCCAGTATCATCTGCAAAGTTAATTAATGTGTCATCGGGCTGTTGCCTGCTTCCTGATCCTTATCATGGATTTAAATAAAACGCAGCAGCCCCAGTTCTGCCCCGTCCATCTCTTTCCCTTCATCTTAGTCATCAGTCCTTGACCTCAGCCTTCTGGCTAGCTCTTAGCTTCCAGCTGCAGGGCTGGTGGCCCTGCTTCTGCCCAGGCCTGGTCTGGGGGCAGAGGTGGCATGCAGGGCTTTAATGGAATGCAGGGCTTTAATTCTGCGAGAGAATCATGGACATCAGGCCCTTACCTCAAGGTCCCACTTCCTTCAGGGATTCTCCCTAAATTTTAGCCATAAGGGACTTTAAGATGCCATTTAGTCCAACATGCTCTTTTTCAGATAAGGAAACAGAGGCCTAAAGGGGTTCGTGACTTGTCCAAACTCACACATCTAGGAAGGGCAGAGGTGAGAATTCAGATCCTGACAATCAGTGGAAGGTCCCACAGAAAGGTTAATTGCTTTGTTTATTTATTTAAATGTGTGTCAAGGGCCTGCCATGTGCAACACATTCTTCTAGGCACCGGGGTTATAGCAGTGAACAAAAAGGCCTGCATTGTCACAGCTTACCTTCTCCAGGGCAGAAACAGGTAAAAAACAAACAAGCAAATATGTGTTGTGTCCGATTGTGATGTGTGTTATGGAGAAAAATACAGCAGAGGAAGGAGAACGGCTAGCACTGGGAGAAGGGGATTACAATCACATACGAGTGATCTGGGACGGCTTCACAGGGAGGCGTCTTTCAGCACAGGCCCAGGAAGTGACAGGATGGACCACGTGGCCATCTGAGGAAGAACTGTCTGGGTGCAAAAGTCCTCAGGAGAGCATGGTATTCTTGGAAGTTCGAAGAGTAACATGGAGGCAGAGTGGCTGGAAAGGAAGGGAGGTGACAATAGGAGATGAAGTCGGAGAGATAGTATGGGACCAGGTCACGGGAGCGCTTTAAAGGAAATGAATGTGTCCAAAAGAAGCAAAAAATGCTGAAGGCTAATAGTGAGGGAAAGGCCCCACGACCCCTGAGCAGAGCCCCGACCTGTACTAACTGGACTGCCAGGCCAGCCCTGGGCTGCAGGTACCATGTCCTTTCAGCCCTCAACGCCCCCATTCCTCTGCTCGGCTCTGTCATCCCCTGACTGCAGTCTCCTTAGTCTTTCTTTCACATCTGAGATGTCAAAGACCACCAATGATTCCTAAACTCCAGCCTGGCCAAGGAGAGACAGAAGTGCCTCCTTCAAGAACCATAACCAAGAGCCTTCTCTCTTCCTGTTGACACTTGCCTTCGTGCCAAGTTCCTAATGAGATGAATGACTCTTCCTGCTGGCCAGCCTAGGAGTGGGAATCTCCCTTGGCCTCATCTCTCAGAAATCGCTCCAGCAAAGCCAGCTCCCTCTTTTGTCTGTGGCTAGATTGACCATGTTCTCTCCCTTGGCAAAAAGCTGGTGGATGGTCAGGTTCTTCCAATATGGTCACATTCTCACCCATATCCCGGGCCCTGAGCCCAAAAATCACTTGATCCGCAATACCGCTTGCCACATCCTCTCTATTTCCCTGGATTCTGGCAAATCTCCGTCTAGTAACATCATTTCTATGGCCTAGCCTAGGCAGTTTCATGCCTGAGAAAAAAACATTTCTTCCTCCCTCTCCCCACCTTTTTTGGTCTTCCATTTCATGCCTCCCAAAAGTTCCCCTCAGTTCTTGGCTTTCCCTTGCAACTTGGCATCATCCGGAGCTTCTTCACATTTCATTCATTCATCCATGAATTTAGCAAAACTACTAAGCCAGGTACAGTGTTCAGCATGGGGGTGGGGTGGTCACACAGTCCAAAGATGAACAACACACAGTCCTTGAAGATCTTACGCTCTGTCGGGGAAGCAGACACATAAACAGATGATTTCAATACACTGGGACTGGTGTCATGATAATGGTTCACTCTGATAGGAAGGCACCTAAATCAGAGTTTGGGGGTAAGTGGGAAGGATGGGGTGGTGTAGGGAAGCTTCCCGGAGGATCTCAGTCTTCTTTCAGGTCCCACATCAATAACAAAACCACTAAGCTGCTGAGGACTTTCTATGCGCCAAGTGCTGTGCTAAAGGCTGGACATGTATTATCCCGTTGGACTCTAGGTAGAGTAGAACTAACCCAGGGTGCTCACCAGTTAGCCTGTGGGGCTGTTCACTCTTTGTCCTTTTCCTGGAGGAGAAAGAGAAAATCCCAGTGGCCCACAGGCCCCAGGAAACAACAGAGCAGCTTGGCATCTCTGGAGTATGCCCAGCTGGCTTAGTGGAAGTTGTCCAACCCAGATGACATGTCCCTGTGTTACATTCTGGTTGCTTCTCCTTGCTACAGAGCAGAGTTTTCTGGGGTTTGGGGAGGGATACGGGGAGCCTCCATCTTTGGATTCTTTTGGTACAGGAACAACATCCCTCCAGGTGACCTCCACCTACCATGGCTCTGTAGACGCCAGCTCCTCAGCACAGGACCTGAGGTGGTGAGCTGGGAGGAAACCCACCAGACGTGCTCTTCTTCCTGAGGTGCTTAGAGTCAGGTTCCACAGTTTCAAGCATGGCCAACCTCCACCTTCCCCTCTCTCAGCCCATCCACCTGATTCTCCTTTGCTGTTGGTTGAAGAGCTCAGACAAAAGACCAAGGCTGTGGCTCCAGTTCCAGCACTGCCTCTCCCTGTGCATTAGACCCTAAGTGAATTTCTTAACTTGGCTGAGCCTCTATTTTCCCATCTGTACAGTGGGGATAATACCCTTCTCCACAGAGTTGTTGAGAGGATCCACTCGAATGTAAATTATGAAAAAGAGCTGTCCTTTCCAAAAAGCCAAAAGAAGACTGTTGGAGGAGGAGGTGGGCGATACTCTTCTCCTTCGACAGGTGAATATATTATGGGGAGACGTTTCTAGGTGGAGCTGGAAGCCCGGTCTGAACTCAGTCACTATTCTTATTAGATCAGGTGAGAAGATCACACAGGATTCAGATGGCTCCGAGGTGACAAGCTCAGGAATAATCCCAGCTTCACTGTTAGAAACTGCATTTTCTGGGTCTTAAGACATGGAAATCTCCATCCAATGAGGATGTAGATCATTGAACAGATGTACACCCTCTGTACTGCACTGCATCAGGAGTCAGGAGACCTGGCTTCTAGTCCTGGCTTTAACATGAGGACAAAGCTCTATAACATCTGCAAAGTCACAGCCCTTCTCTGGGTCTTGAAGTCCCTGTTAGAAAATCAAGTGGTCCCACTAGAGAATCCATACGATATCTTCAGCCCTAAAGTGCAGAAGTCCCAAGACTGTCACTCTGTGCAAGACCCACCCCCATCTCACAGCTGGGGACTGAGCCAGGGCTCAGCAATGCTGGCATGAGACTCAAATGCAAAGATCCTGCTTCCCGTTGCCTCAAAGCACCAGCTCTCTCGCTCCATCCTCCCAAGAGCCTCCAAGGCGCCATTGGCTTCCTGGGACTCTGAGTCTGCCGGCCTCTTTTCCTGACTCCAGTTTCTTCTGGCCTGAGCCAATGGGGCATGTTCTGTGACTGCATTTGCATCTCGGATTGTGTTTTTAAACCCATTTTCTCCCATATTTGCCTGAAAAATATATAGAAACTGATATACAATCCAATCCTCTGGTTTGGGGTCCCATTCAACCCAATGCCAGAAATGCTTCGCAGTGGTTTGCGGTACTCGGATCACTTCTTCTCCATGGACTGGAAAGCCCTGGGGGGTGGCAGGCTCCTGAATGTAGCTCCTGCCCTAGTGAGGGAGCAGCAGGGGCCCCAGAAGGCTCAGAATCTCTGTCTTTGGGGCCCTCCTGAGAATTCCTACTGCTGGGAGTCCCCCGTTTTGGGATTTCAGCCTTAAATCTACCATCTGAACCACTGCCCTACCTGCTGGGTTTTCCTCCCAGATCACCACCACAGGTCCCTCCATCATCTCAGGAAAGGACCCAGTGCTCCTAGAAGCTCATCCCTCTTTTCATCCACAAAGCCCAAGTGTGCCCCACCCCATCCTCCTCCCAAACTCTGCCCGGAACCAGCAGCCCCTCCCTTCCAGCACACCCTTTCGCCCTTATCTCCAGCATCACCCATTTATTCCAATCCTCACCCCACTGGAGCGTCTGCTGGGTTACCCAACCTCCCCTAGGTCAAGCCTGTGTTGGATGAGTTGAGTCATTACCTCCATCTCCTCCCAACCCTCCCAGGTCTCAGGAATTGGGCTGGTTTGGCAGGCTGGGAGGGAAGCCTCCAACCCTTCCATGGAGGCAGCCTCCTGGGACCAGGATTTTCCTGGTATTGAGCCTAACTTTGTCTTTCCCGGAACACCCTTGTCACCAACTAGACCACCCAATCACCCACCTGAGTTTGCTCACTGTCCATCTCCCCACACCAGCTCCTTCTGTGACCAGTCATGGAAACTTGGACACAGCAATGAAGCTCTCTGGCCCTCAGATGACACATCTGCGAAATGGGGGATAATGATACCTCTCCCGCCCTAGGGGAGGACATGGAGCTGCTACTATCCCATGGTCCTCCTCCAGCTCCCCTAGGTTGTTCATGTCAGCTCCCTCTCTCTCCCTTACTCTTAGAACACCTCATCTGCAGGCACTTAAGATTTCTAGTCTCTGTGCCACCGGCTCTGTCCTTGGCTCCTACCTCTCTCCCATCCACATCCTCCCACCCTTGGGGTCTTGGCAACTGTGACAGCCACCAAACAGGAACTGCAGACAAAGCCCCCAGAAGTTCAGGCCACCGCTTCCTTCCCTGCTGCACCCCACACTGTCCAGGGAAACCCAGAGGTTAGACAGCAAGGTCCAGATTCCCTCTGGGGACAAGAAGCCAGGCTCTGTCCTTGGTTCGCACAACATTCTGGAGCTGGCAGGGCCCTGGACGATCCTTTGTGTACAGCCCGGGCTCTGCGGCTCCCATCTTTGTGCACGCCCTGCACACACATGCAGGCAGCAGCCCTACTCAATTCTCCCACGAGCACACGCTCTCTTGCTCTCCCTCCCCCTTCTCTATTTCTCTCTCTGAGCTGTGCTCCCAGAACACACCCTCCCAGCCCACCAATCCTACACATGCCACTGCGCTTTACAAGCATCAGCTCAAGAATCTCCCAGTTCCCCACTTGCTCCCTCCACTCCATCTCTCCAACTCCTCCACCCGCAAAGGGTGGGCCCTGTCTGCCCACAAGACTAAGATGTCTCAGCTTCTCCAGGCCTGCCTTTGCAGGAAGAGTCTTTGCTGGCTTCCTGCAGCCCCTCATCTCCCTTTCCCTACAGGCAAAAGCAGCCCAAGGCCCCCACAGCCCGGGCAGCCCCTCCCCAGCATCTGGTGAGAGGACAAGAAGAAGGAAGAACTGTGGGTTCTTTTCCTTGAGACTCCTAGATTTTGTACCAAAATGCAGGGTGTGCTCCTGTTTGCATTTTTTTTTTTGTTTCCTTTCTGAAAATAACCATGAAACTATCATTTCCTCCCACTGCCTTTTCCCTATCTTATTTGGATTAGCAGAGTTGCTGCAAGAGGTGGTTTGGAGCCACTGACAGCCTCCTTTCCTGACCTGGGTCCAGGGAACTCATAGGTGGCTTTGGAGCGGGCGCTGCCAGATGGGCGCTGGGTCCTCTGGGATGGCAAGAAGGAGTGCAGGCACTGGGCACCATGGGGTCACCATGACCTCTTCAATTAGAGACCCCTGGGAAACCAGGTTTGAGCCTGCCTTGTGCCCACATTGGTAAATATCGGGAACAACCTCAGGCCTGGCTTTCTTTCTGTAGCTTTTCTGGAATGGGGGGGCAGCAGCTCAGCCCCCTCCCTTGGCTGACAGGTGGGGAAGATGCAATAGATATAGGCTCTCCACGTGGGAAGGGGGCCAATACAGAAGAACTGGTGCTTATACAAGAAGAAAAATGGGGTGCATGGTGAGAGGGGGTGCCTCTCTTCTCCCTTGTTTGTATCCAATGCCTCCTCCCACGCGGCTGTTCCGGGCCTTCATGCTGCTCGCTGAGAAGCAACCTCAAAAGGATCCAGCTTCAGGGTTGGGGGCAGTCAGAGAGACTCCCAAAGAAGCCTGCCTCTTATGCCACCCAAGGGCCTACAGGGCACAGCTTGCTTGAGAAACTGAGCTTCCCTGTAATCCCAGCACTTGCTTGAGAAACTGAGCTTCCCTGTAATCCCAGCACTTTGGGAGTCCGAGCGGGGAGGATCGCTTGAGGCCAGGAGGTCGAAGCTGCAGTAAGCTACGATCACGCCACTGCACTCTAGCCTGGGCAAAGAGCAAGACTCTGTCTCAAAAGGATAAAAAGAAAAACAAAAGAAAGAAAGAAAGAAATGAAGGGGGCAGCAACCCAGGCCTCCCTGCCCTGAGGATAGTTCTTTCATGAGGCCCCCCGCCACAGGCCTTCAACCTCTGAAGCCCACCGCTGCCTGACTTGTTTCTGGTTGAAGAAGACCCCAGGGGAGGGCCCCTCTGCTGGTGCTGCCATCCCTGGGGCCTGGCCAGTTGCAGTTCCATGAAAAGCAAAGGATGGCTGAGGCTGGAAAAGGGGACCACGGACCAAAGTTGCTTGGTCTGACCTTCCTGGCAGAGGGAATTGGTGCCCCCGGGAGCCTTCCTGCCCTTGTTTGGCCTCTCTTCCGTCCTGCTGTGTGCCTTCTTTGGGGATTCCTTCCTGATCAGTCCAGAGGTACAGCAGGCCAGGGCTGGAGGGTTGCAGCCGGCCTGGCCTCAGTGGCACCACTGTCTCCTCCTATCCATCAGTGAGGCCTTCTCCACATGCCCCTCATGCTGGTTACCACCTTTTCACTGTGACCAGATTTGGCATGTGCCCCATCTAATTTCTCTAGGCCAGCCTGCTGCAGCGGAACCTCATCCCTTTCTTTGAGGGTCCTGGCTTGCCCCAAAGGTGCTGGCCTTGGCATGAAATCCTCCCCCAGCCCCCCGTTGTCCTTCCTGACACATCCACACTATGCATCCCTTGGTTCTGCCTCTTCCTTCCCAGCGGGACCCTTCTCCTCCCCCAGGCTGAGCTCCTGGGCTATTTAGGGCACTGCCGGCCTTGTGGTGTAATCAGTGCCCGGGGATAATTGCCACCTGCCCTGCCGGTGTCTGGGGGCTGTCTCCACCACAGCAGCAGGGGGTGGACGCTGGGCAGCCAGGCCTGCAGCAAGGTCAGGCTGGGGCAGTCCTGCCCTCTCCCCAGGCCTGCTGCTCACGCGTGGGACTTGCAAGGATTCCCTAGGAAAGCCATGCGTTCCTAGAAGCTATGCTCACCTGGGACACTCTGTGGCTTCAGATGGGGGTGGATGGCTATCCCAGCCAGGGGACAAAAGTCCTGAGGCTATTCTATGCACCCACACACAGCCCAAACCCTGTTCTTCCATACTACCTTCCGAGGTCAGGGGATACCCCCTGGCTGCTGACCTCTGGACAGAGCAACAACCAAATCAAGAGGGACTTGGATTTGACCTTCAGTCCACCAGGCCTCATCCTCCTCCTTCAAGGAGGCAGCAAGGGCTAATGACTGTGAAAGTGAGTCTACTATAAACGCTAGCTTCCTCCCTTTTTGCTACATTATTTTCTGCTCCAAGGCAGCCTGGGTTTAGACAGCCTGGGTTTAAATGCCTGTCCTTCTCACTTAGCCAATTCTGTGAACTTGGGCAATTAGTTCAGCCTCGGTTTCCTCATCTGTAAAAAGGAGATGATCAGAGGAGCTGCCTCACCAAGTTACTGCAGAATACACGATCTAATACATGTAAAATGCTTCACCCAGTGCCAATGAGACTCTACAATGGTGGGTATTATTATCGGGAACTGCAAAGGGCAGAGAACGGGGGTTGGGAGCATCCATACGCCAGCTCTAGGTTGCCCAGGAACGCAAAGCGGGGCTGAGCGGACAAACCAGAGGCAACCCCAGGACTGGACACTCTCTATGGCAGCTAAGATTCTGGAGGCTGGGAGTGGGGCATCTCACAGACCTTCTCCATCTAGGAGCACCCACTCCCACTCTTTTGACCTCATTTCCTGTAAGGTGGTACCATAAAAGCTTTTTGAGGCCAGAGCACACCAAATACCTGTGACTACTTTATTTTCCAAAGAGAAAGTCAGCAGCAGCAACATCCAGATGAAATACTCTGATCTTGAGAGATGCAGAAATCGAATTATGTTTCTGTCTCTTCCTTTCCTGTTACAGTAAAAAGGTTATTTGTCCTAATGCTTGAAGTTCTTTACACAAATATTCATGGCCCTGTCACTTGAAAGGCCATTCAGATAAATAAATGTCTGCTTTCCAGAGTGAAGCATTTGGGGGTGGGTGGTGAATGGGATGAAGGGGTGGGCCAAAAGACCAGGACTGACAAGGTCAGCCTGCCCCCAAAGCAACCAGGCAACCCAGCACCATTTTCTCCCTGCTTCAGTGCCTTCCCCAGCAGGGCCCAGAGCTCCCACTTCTGACACCTTGCACCAACAGGCTAGACTGGAACCTCAGCTCTCCAGCCCCACCAGCACCAAGGTGGGAGCAAAGAGGGCCGCACTGGGTAGGAACATCAGCCAAAAGTACTAGATACTGCCCCATGGAGATGGAGAAGAAGGGAGAAGGCCAAAGGGTGGGGAGTGGGGCATGAGCACCAACCTCACCTGCCAGGAATGTCTCAACCCCAGGTAGAGCCATGAGGGCCCCAGCTCAAGGCAGCGGCCTTAGCCATACCACAGCCTGGCATGAGCTCCACATCACAGACATCCTGAGCCCCAGCTCAGGAGCTGTGTCTTCAGTGACTTCCTCTGACTTCCCCTTCTGGGTGTGCCCTGGAGCTACCTGGAGGAACAGACCATCCAGACCCAACTCAGAATCTCAGGAGCCTTGGACTCAGTGGTCCTACTGCCAGTTCTCTCCAGTGGGTACCTCCTATTGTGGGTCTGGGGCCATCTTAGAGCCTACCTGTCAGGGGGCAGCCCAGCCTGGACAGCCCTTGGCCTGATGCCCAGGGAACATATCAACCCGGGGGGATTGTTTTCCCTACTGGTGCACTCTCCCTCACTCATGTCTCCTCCTGGTTTCTGTGAGCTAATCAGAGAGAAGGAGGGGGAGGAGGGGGTGCTGCTTGCCTTCCCCGTTATCTGCAGCAATCCACGGTGACTAATGCTCCCAGTTGGTAAAAAGGCAGTGTAATCAAAACACTTTTTTTTTAGTCCTTAAAGTTAGTCATTCTCCCAGAGTGGAGGAAAAAAAAAAAAAAGCCCACAGCAGGCACCACGAGATGCAAGCTGAGAGGCCTGCACTGCTGGGTGGAACCAAAGCATTGGCTGTGGCAGCTCCTGCAGGTCAGAGGCCAGGACTCCTCCTCCTCTGGGTCCTTGGCTATCCTTCCTCCACACCCGCATTTGTTCTTGCTTTCCCCAGCATCTGGGCCTTCTGATCCCTGAAGGACGTCCATGCCATGTGAGGAGCTGCCCTTTCCTGTCACCCTGCCCGGTGCTGCCACCTGCTGGCCTGGCACTCTCCGTACTGGAGGAAGCATATAAAAGCTCCCAGGATGAGGCTGAGCTTGGCACCCTGGTCATAGGGTGGCCCTCCCTCCACCCACAACCTGGCCATTTAGTAGCGGTGCTTCTCCTGGTTCCATCTGTCTGCTGGCTTCTGACCTCACTGTGCCTTGACAGAACCAAAGGTTGTTGGAGGTCAAATGGCAAACTGTAGTGGCAAAAGCATAAGGATCAAAGCCAGGGTGCTCAGGTCAGAAACCCCACTTCACTGCTTCATGAAGCTATACTATTGCTTCATGGCTATACTTCAGCGCCATCATCTGTGAAATGATAATAATGGTAGTATCCACCTCACAGGGTTGAGGCAAGGATTAAATGTGAACTGCAGAGAATAGTGCCTGTCATGTCATGAGTGCTCAATTATTGTTAACTTATAATAAAAATAATAACAATAAAGTGGAATATAAACCATCTCATCGCTCTTTCTTGTCCAAGGCAGACATGACTAATCAATCATAGAACTTCCCCACTGATGGCAGATTCCCCAGAATCCTCAACACTGCATTCCAAGCAGACAATCAGAGTTGGCACATGGGATGATATCCATTCGCCCTCCCAGATCTAACCTGGACCTTTCCCATTGCAGTCAAGGAAAATGAGGCCCAGAGGAGGGACAAGACTCCCTCAAGCCACTTGGAGGCAGAGCCACGGGTCAGACAGGCGTTCCTGGTTCTGCTCGCTTCTTGCTGTCCTGGCTTCTGATGTGTCACTTCACCCTGACCTTTGAGCAGTCCGTGTGGGCCTCCCACCACTGGAAATCTCACCCTGATTTCCTCCTTCTTCTCCCACCCTTGCTCCTCCTCCTATGTCCTTGCCCCCCAAAGGCCCTGGGAAAGCTATTTTTCTGAGACGTCCTACTGAGCAGGTACAGAGTAGGGAGAAGTGGGGCAGTGAGGCCACAGAGAAACCTGAGGCCTGTGTCTGAATATCTGCAGGAGCCTCCCTGAGGAATCAAGACCTTTAGGGCTCCAAGAGAGCTGAGCCCACCAATTTGGCCCTATCACATTCAGTTTTTCAGCCTTAGCCCAGTGCTATAATGAAGTCCCTGACAGCCCAGGTCCAGGTTCTGGGAATGCTCACTCTTCACTAATAAGAGGTTGGCATGGTGAAAGACTCGGGGGCCAGCCCTAGACTTCTGTGTGGGAAAGGCTGGGAGAGACAGGACATGACAATCCCAGAGATGAGAGTCAGTGGGAAGCACCTGCTTACCAACTTCTGAGCAAAAACCTCCAAGGAAAAGTTGGGGGCTGATGGTGGAGCAGGTTCTGCTGCTGCTTTTCCCCTCGTAAACAGCTTTGTCCCAGAAGTAGACCTCTGCCACCTGAACAGTCTTTTACCTTCAGGCTCAGACTTCTGGGGAAGAATCAGTATTTACAAGGCTTGAAACCAGGAGTATCCACCTCTACCCAAAGCGCCTCCACTCTCAGCTTCTACTTAGAAACCCAATTTTCTCTTTTCCATTCCTTCCCTGCAGGGGCAGGATCAATCTGTATCATGCTGTCCCTTTGGTTATAAATAAGAAAGACATAGCTCCCGACCCTGCAGGCTGAGTTTTTCACAACAGTGGGAAGTGTTTGTGTGTCTCCATGTTCAGCTCCCCAGGGATCAATGCCTCATGGCACAGCAGGCTCATGGAGGAACACAGGATAGCAGGATGCCTGACTGTCCCTCCTCAGCCCAGTGCCCCTCTAGCTGAGCGAATGAGCCACAGGTAAGGAGACCAAGCAGGCACATTCCAGACAGACTCCTGGGAGGACACCATTCTTTTTAGTAACCTCAAAGATCCTGCTGGCTGCATTAAAGATTTCGAGGTGACCTGTCAACAGCACAGCCCCAGAAAAATTCATATTTAGCTTTATCCAAGATATCACCAGTTCCTCAGACCTGCCCACTTCTCTGGGCTTGCCCCTCTGTTCACCTGCCTTTCCCATTCTCCTATTTCCCTAGGGCCTCTAGAGTCAACAAGACAGCTGACTTGGAACCTTGCAATGTTGGATACTTTGGGATGTGATCTACCCACTCCATCTTATAGATGAGGGGACTAAGGCCACAAAGGGGATGTGACTTATCTGAGGTCAGTTATAGTGTCAAAGGTTGAACTGGAAATAGAGCCGCAGACTCCTCCAGACTTGTAGTC
This sequence comes from Homo sapiens, assembly GCF_000001405.40. Classification (NCBI taxonomy): domain Eukaryota; kingdom Metazoa; phylum Chordata; class Mammalia; order Primates; family Hominidae; genus Homo; species Homo sapiens. The sequence goes on along the minus strand of NC_000008.11, from coordinate 22,670,963 downwards.
CAGAACTTATCCATTCTAGTCCTCTAGGATGTGTCTGCTGCCCTCCAGCCCTGAAACAGACTTCTACTAGGATATAGCAGTTACCTAGGCTAAAACGTTTGGAAATATTTATCCCTGTGGGGCATAACTGAGGGAGGCAGAACATGGGGAAGGGAGGAAGCAGGTGGGAAAACTATTCACAGGTGCTAACTGCCAGGAGGCTCCTAAACCCACAACAGCCCTTCCATCCGTCACACTCTCTGCAAAGCAGCAAGGACTCTCTCTTTCCCTTTACCCACACTCTCTGCCCAGGCTACCCTTTGGTGACTTCTGCTCTTCCTCTTTACTCTTCAAGGCTGCTCTTGTGCTCATTTTGGCCTGTTTCCTGAGGAACAACATGGTAATGAAGCTGATCTGCATGATGTGCTTGGGGATCCAACCTCCATTGGAAACGTCAATTGAGTCAAACTATGGACTCTCAAGAATGGAAACAGAAAACACAAATGAGAGACTGCATCCTGTGGCCCACCCTCCTACCTCTCCTGCTCAAGCCCTCTACTCCACCCTAGGAGGTCAAAACAAATCATACACTACTTCTGCTCTAGGTCATTGGTCATATTTTTCCCGCTAGGTCATTGATTAGCAACCCCCTAAGCAGTCCCTGAAACAATCCCGGTCCATCTGAGGAAGGAGAATTCCTAGAGAGAAGGTCACTGGGGGCCCAGCAGCACCTGCACGGGCCTCACTGCCTTCTTGTCTCTCTTCCAAGGCAGGGAGGTACTTAGCGGTGAGGAAACCAAGTCGGCCCAGAATCCCAGGCAACTTGTGAGCCACTAAGGCCCTGAATTCTGACTTTGGGAGACCCGAGGCAAGTCAGCTGCTTGCTTGGTCCTGTCTGTGTCTTAGCCATGGTAAGTTCCCTCTGCCTGGAGCCTCGTCACCCCTCATCTCAGATTCACCTGGCTAGCCCCGATTCTGCCTTCAGGGCTTGGCTTACACACTGGCTCCTCCTGGAAGCCTTCCCCAAAACCCCATGTGCTACTTCAGGGTCCCCTTCTAGGCTGCCACCACACCTCATTCTATCCTATCCTATAGCATGATTATAATTGCCTGCTTGTCTCTCCCTCCAGGAAAGTAGCTCTGGGAAGGAACAAGAGCAGGGCAGATACTTCTCTGAGATAGCTGTATCCTAAGGTTGGCTCGGTACCTGACACTAATATTAGTGCAACTAGTATTAGTTAAATGAAGGAATAGAACGAATGGGGCAATTTACATCATTTGAGTCCTGTAGAGGAGACCAAAGGGAAGGGCTGAAAGGCAGGGAACAACTCATACTCTGCGTCTTATTGTGTTGAATAACTCTAGGAAACATTCCAACCTGAAAAGCACCTATCTATTGATATTCAGAGCCCTGTGCCATCTTGGAAGGGAAACGTCCGTTTGTTTGTAACAGGTAATGCATGTGTGGTGTACAAACTGTAAAAGATAGGAAAGAGCATTCAGAGAATGTAAGTTTTCCACTTTCTCCATCCCAAATGGCTTCTTCTCCCACAGACAATTGCTGCCACTGTCTCTGGATTAGAAACCACTTGACAGAGGGGACAGCCCGGCTAAGGGCCCTGCATGGTCAGGTGAAGAGATCTTTAGGAGTCAGTGTTGAAGGCAGAAAACGCCCCCAGAGGTTCCCCTCATCCCCCGTTGCAGCCTGTGTGTCTAAGCGCTTGGCCAGAGCCAGAGAGTCGCCGGCAAGGGAAACTCCGCGGCGAGCACGCAGCAGCAGAAGGGTTAACGCGCCGGGCTCCGCCTCCCAACCGCCTCTTCCGGGCAGAGAGGCGGGCTTACGTCACTTCCTGGAGACTGGTTGAATCCGGAAGTGACCCTAGAGAAACGAGTTGTGGCTGAGGACCCCGGCGGCAGACGCAGGTTCGGGACCATGAGCTGGTGAGTGAGGCCCAGGCGGCGGGAGCTGCTGGACCCGCGGACCCGCGAGGCCCCTGGCCCTGTGTCAGTGCCGCGTCCCGGCTCCCTCCGGTCCCGCGCGACCCCTCCGCCCCAGAGCAAGGCCCGACAGCCCCTGCCCTAGGGTCGTTCCCTCGGTGCTTTCCGGAGTCGCAGTCTCTCAGCAGGACTCCCGGGGAGAGTGGCGGATGATCCTCTTAGCCTGGGACTCCGCGTCTGACCCGTTTTGCCGGACTCGCGTCCTCCTAGCTCCTTGAAGTGAGGGACTTCCTTGTTCCCTCCTTTTTTAAACACCCATTGAGGTGGAGTCAGTGTCGTCTTTCTCTCCTGTGGGCATCTCTGCCCCGCGCCAGTCCCTCCAGAGCTGTGGCCCTCGCTGTGGCAGCCTGGACCCAGTTCACTAATCAAAACCCACTCCCTTCTGGGTAACTATCCTCTTTGCACGACTTAGCAGGCTTCAAAAGACAAGGAAAACTTGCTTCTCTTTTTAAAGGGGCCAGAATTACACTCCGCACACACCCTTCCACTGTGGGATTGGACTGGTTTTAATCATTCCAGAGCTATTACTCACTGCCTGCCCTCTAAATAGGCATGGTTAAGTTTAAACTTATGGGAACTATCATGCCATGAGAAAAGAAGCCAGGGAGTCTTAGAGTAATAGAGTCACAATTCCAGTTGCTGCAGTATGATGTGATACTTGGGTCATAGTAGACACTTCATAATGGTGTATTTATTTTGTAAGACTCAGTTTGCCCAAAAGGCAATCCCCATTTGTTGCTCTCGATTATTTATGTTCACAGGAGAGAATTGTGACTTGCCTGCCTTCCTGGGGCTTTCTTAGAGGTTAGAGAATACTCATATGCAGCACCTTACCTTACCGTCAGGCCCAAGGACCTATATAGCCACAACCCTGGACCTCAGGGGATTCAACTATAGTGTGTGAATAAATTGAGCCCCAGAGATGTACAAGATTAATCAGCCCATGGACATAGGGAACATATTTGCCACTCTGTCCTCAGAGGCTAGTGTGTTTGTTTATGCAAAGCGCATGATAACCAGTTATGAATGAATTAAGATAACAGAATGTCCTTCAGGAAGGCTTTTGAAGCTTAATTTTGGCCATCAGTGGAGAACGCAAGCAGCTGATATCAGTCAGTGTCAGGGATACTTCTCTAAAGTAAAATGCGAACCATCTGTCCCCTCCCCCACCTGTTTCTTAGACCAAGATTGATGGACAAATGTCAGACAATCACCGCAAGCACGGGAGGAAAGCCTGAAGCAATGTCCTAATAAGCCCCGGCAGGAGCTTCTGCTTTTCCCTCCACCATTTGCTCCAGGAGGCCAATAAGGGGCTGGAGCCTTAAAAAGCTACCTTCCCTGTCTTGTTATAACCTAGTTAGTGGTGGGCAAAGCGGCAATTCTTCAGTTCCCTTTCCCAGAGGAATTACGTCCTTTCAGTGTCATTCTGGGCCCCCCAGTCTTGCAATATAGATATCCTTTTGGCTGCTGCGTCTTGAATCTTTGGAGTGTTCTTACCTAATTTTTCAAAGTGAAAATGAGGCAGTACAGATGCTTTATATTGCCTAGATTGGCCTTTACTGAACCAATCTTTCCTTCACAAGTTGGGAGAAGAGCACAGCAGAAACTAATAAAGGTAAATGATTCTCTGGGTGATCCGAAGCAGGTTGTTTCCACCTGTCTCACAGAAAGTTTCCCTTCTGAAAAAATAGTAGCCCATTCCTTAAAGGTTATCCTGTCAGGTTGGAGAGAATTGAGATTGACAACTGTCTAACAAGAGCTGAGATTTTCATCTAGTAGCTTTAATTTACCAGTACATGCACATCTTGGTATCTCCTTGGACTGAGAGTCACAGCCAGAAGGGTGGCTTTGTCCCTCAAAGCTGAGATTCCTTTCTCTTCCCCCTTAAAGGGCTTCTACGTCATCTCTTGCGTGGACCCTGACCCTGTCTCTCAAAGACGGGAACAGCACCGGCGCCTGGGCACACAATCACACTCAGTTCCTAGCTCAATGGCTGGCAAGGAGACCGGGGCTGGGTCCTTCTGATTCACTCCCTGAGTGGTTTTCCTGCCCCCAGAATGAATCCATCCATTCATGTGAGACTGGAATTCTCATTAGGGGAAGAGACCAGAGTGACGTAGAGCCATCATGGGAGGCTGATGCCCAAGGTCAAGTTCACCAAGTACATGGGCTGTGCCAAGCCATCATTAAATAAGGCACATGGCCCATGGTCCCCAGAGGGTAACCATTGTTCTGGGCTAGGCTGAGCTTTCAAAATGTCACAGTGAGAAATGTCCAATATTGATGCCCTTTGCACACTGTGGACTTTGCATGAAGAGTGAGAGGCCTTTGTTCTCTGCTTCCTCTGTGCAGGCAACCCGCCCACCCCCTGTTTGTTTAGTGGGTACCTGCTGCCTTCCTGCACCATCTACCCATCCACTCCCCATACACCCATCTGCCTTTCAGAAAAGTGACCCGGTGGTCTGTCCTACTAGGAAGAAGGCATTTGATATTCACATCTCAGATCACAGATTCACTTCTTGGCCTCAAGCCAAATGCTTCTCTCTCTCTCGCTCTCTTTTTCTCTCCCATTGTCCACCCCACCTCCCCCCGCCATTTGCCCCCCTCCCAACTTTCTCTCCTCTCCTCCCCACTCACCCCCTCCCTCCCTATTTCTGTCTCCCTCTTGTCTCCCTTTTCCCCTTCCTGTCTCTCTTCCCCATCTTCCAGTGTATACTCAGGTGGCTTTATTATGGTATGGAGAGAGGATTAAGTAGAATTAAGAATAGTGACCTCAATCTAAGCTGGCTCCAGGAATTGTAGCCTCCTGTTGAACCATACACCTTGATGATTTTAGGCTTAAACGAGGAGGAAAAGGGAGTACTGGAAGAAATCTCCCTATACCTAGGGGTCCAGTAGTTTGACAAAAAGGAAGGAAATTAGAGGCAGAGCAGGTAAGTGTGAGTAGGAGTTAGAGTGCTGCGTTCAGGTTCTGGCTCAGCCACTCACAGTGCGGCCTGGTCAAGCATTGAGCTGTTCTCTGTCTTAGTTTCTCCATCTGTAGCATGGAGTGGCCATTCCTGCTGACAATTTGCCACCTGAGCCTGCTGTGAAATGAGTGGAGTGATATTTTTCTGACTCTTCCGGGGTCTTCTACCTCTGTCTGCCCTTCACACTTTGGTGTTCCTCATGTTTGATCCTTTTTGTTTCTTTCCTGTTTTCACCCTGTAGTCCCTTGCCATCATCTTCAGGATAGAGGCCCAACTCTGGGCCAGGGCTTCTGAGGCCCTCTGGGCCTGGCTGTCCATCTTCACTCCGTGTGTTCCATCCTCCAAGCTTCTCCTGCTCTCTCGTGCCCATGTGCCTCTGGATAACTGTCCCTTCTGCCTGAAATGTTTCCCCTTCACTCACACCCTGTCCACTAGGCCAGCATCTACTCATCCTTCAAGAGTCAGGCCACGCTTCACCTTCTCTGAGGGTCTTCCCTGAGTGGCCCCTCACACCCTGCCATGCTGCACTGGGTGCCGCTCTTCTGACCTTCATCAGCATCTGTACTCCGCTGGCTGGTTTACTTGTCTGTGAGTTCTTGAGTATGGGGACTGTCTTGTGGTCATTGCTATTCCCTAGCACTGTTCCTGGCAGTCAGGAAGTGTTTATTAAATATATGAATGGGGCCTTTTTTCCCTTTTCCTGACTTGCCTCAGCTCAGGAAAAATGTTAAGATAAAAACTTGCAGAACCTACAAACCACTTCCTAAAATGAAGAGCCTCTGAAAGTACTATTGTTAAATTGACCGACACAAGTGGCTTCCAGGTCAGGCTGCCTGTGATTTCTCCTCCCCACTCCTTCTGATCCTCCACTCCAAAGTGCTTTGCTGGGTTTCTTCTGTACTTCCATAGTGCTTCTCCTGTAGCACTTCTGCATCCTTCTGAGTATCACAGACGTACACCTCCCTTCCACACCAACCCCATGAGAACAGGAGCGACATAGAGCTTCTTCATCTTTTTGTACGCATAGTGGGTATCATGCACATAGTGGGTATCTAACAGGTAATTGTTAAATGAATGGAATATAAAGAAGGTAAACTTCTGGGTCAAACAAAACCATTATTCAGTTTTTTTCTCAGTGAAGTCCTTTCCCCTATGATTACCGTTGCTGTCTCACATGTGTAGAGTGCTTCTAACTTTTCAGATGGCTTTCCCGTCCTTTGTCTGACTTCATGCTTATGTCTGCGCAAGCAGTGCAGTCTTATGATCCCCCTTGGTAACTTACTAGAATTCACTCAGCTAGTACCTGGAAGAACTAGAACTAAAATGTGTCTCCTGAGTATTCTGTCCCCATGATCAGGAATATTAGAAGAGTAGCAGACCATTCCCAAGCTGATTGGATCACGGAGTTTCACTTTGCTAAGGTGTGTTGACACTAGCAGGTTGGTAGTGAATCACAGGGAGTTGACAGTCTTCACACATAAGTGATAGAGGAAGTCCTTGTGTCCTGCAGACCTCTAGGTGTTCTGTAACTGGCTCAGCTTCTTCCACCTATGGGGCCCCTGCCTAAGGCAGCCTCATCACTCATGTCCTCTGTGACTTTGGACACACCAAGCTTTTCTTCCTCTGTGGAGAGCATAGTAATGCCTTGAAGACAGGGGCCCTATAAAATGTCTGTGAGATTCTGTATGTGAGCTTGCTCTTATTTCAGGCGTTTAATGAGAGGAGAAGGATTTCTTCCAGATCTTGGAGCAGTCAGAAAGAGTCAAGTGTCTTGAGTCCCACAGCTACTTAGTCAGAGGTGTTATATGTATTATACTCTTTAAGGAAATCTGTCGGAGTAAGCTTTAGAGTCAGCTGTTAAACCTATTAGAATTGTTTTCCCAAACTCATGATTTTGGTGGCTAATCCATCAAATAGGGCCCAGTATAGTGTGATGCACATACATGGTGCTCAACAAATATTTGTTGATTTAATGCTTGTTCAACATTTATAATGTGCAAAAGTCTGTGCTAAATGTTGAGGAACATTTAAAAGACTTGCATGAGTCGATCTCTATCTTCAGCCGGTGTATGGAAAGTGCTAGGGATTCAAAAGGACAGCCGATCACTAAATGTCAGTATGGCATCATCAAGAAAGACTTGAAGCAGATGTAATTTTAACTGAACCTTGACTTAGCAAATACGTGCTGTTTCAGTGGGAGGGAGAGAAGGATCCAGGTAAGAAGCATGGCATGAAAAAGGTGTGTGGAGTCAGAATGCGTCAAGAGTGTTTGTGCGGACTGTCAGGAGGCCAGCTTGGAGGTGGTAAGTAGTGGTTTGGGTAGAGGCTGCATTGGGGAGAATTGGCACTCCACCTCAGGGCCACGTTATATAGTGCTTTCAGTGCCATGCTGAGGACTTGAAATTGAGCCTAGGCTTTTGGAAATTGAAGGCTTTTGAGCAGGGAAGTGGCATGGCCAAAGCAATGATTTAGTCAGATTATTTTGGCAGTGGCCTGCAGGATAACTCAGAAGAGAAAAAATGGAGCCAAGGATGCTAACTTGGACAATAGTTTCCTTTTTTTTTTTTTTTTTTTTTTAAACAAATCGGGGGGTCTCACTGTTGCCCAGGCTGGAGTGCAGTAGTGCAATTACAGCTCACCACAGTCTCAAACTCCTGGGCCCAGGCAATCCTTCTGCCTTAGCCTCCTGAGTGGCTGGGACTATAAGTGTTAGCCACCACACCTGGACTAGTTTCCACAATTTTTTGAACACAACTCACAGTTAGAAATACCTTTGATATCACAACTCACACACACACACACACACACACTTATACTTGAAATAAAAGTTTGACACAGTATGTGTGCAATGCACTCTGATATTTTCTATTATGTTCTTGTTCATGGTTTTTCGTTTTTTGAGACAGGCTCTTGCCCTGTTGCCCAGGCTGGAGTGCAGTGGTGCCATCTCAGCTCACTGCAACCTCTACTTCCCGGGTTGAAGCGATTCTCGTGCCTCAGCCTCCCAGATAGCTGGGATTACAGGCATGCACCACCATTTTTTAGTAGAGACTGAGTTTCGCTATGTTAGCCAGGCTGGTTTCTAACCTCTGGATTCAAGTAATCCACCCGTCTTGGCCTCCCAAAGTGCTGGGATTACAAGCATGAGCCACCGCGGCCAGCCTTGTTTGTTTTTTTAAAGAATGACCCACCTCAGTTGACTTTTTTTTTCTTTTTTTCTTCCTGAGGTGAGTGCATATGATTTTTTAATTTCATGACTGATTTTGATCTATGTATATAATGGAAGACTGTGTAGCAGTTTAAATGACCTTTGAGTGATAGATGTTCTGCAAAGACCTCAAGTTTGAAAACCATCTGTCTAAGAGTATCATTACAAATACTCAGACGATAAGCTAACACCTTTGACTCCAGCAACTGAAGATAGGGTTACTTGTGTATTTGGTTGTTTCACTGGGTTAATAAAAAATAACAGAAGGGGCAGCTGTAAAGAACACTGGCTGAGTTCTTTATAAGAACTTATTCCATAGATTTGAAAACTGTCAATTGCTTTCCAGAAAAGAAAACCCAAGTGAACAAAAGCTCATGTAAAGATGTTTGGTCCTATTAGTAATCAGGAAAAACAGATTAAACCAACAATGAGATGCTGTTTCACAGCCATCAGACTGGCAGAAATTTTAAAGCCTGACAATGCCAAGTATCTGAGGGTGAGGAATAGTAGGAATTCACATACACTGCAGGAGGGGGTGTATATTGGAGATTTTGGAGTTGGAACAGTGGCTGTCCCCTACCCTAGAGAAACTCCCATACCTCCATGCAGCAGGGGACACATGCCAGGAGTGTGAGGGGCATCGTCATGTGCAGATGCCCAGCCTCTGGAGAATGGGGAAATAAATTGTGATGTCTTTACATGATGATATGTTATGGGCCGGGCGTGTTGGCTCACGCCTGTAATCCCAGCGCTTTGGGAGGCAGAGGCGGGCAGATCAGTTGAGGTCAGGAGTTCAAGACCAGCCTCACCAACATGGTGAAACCCCGTCTCTACTAAAAAATACAAAAATTAGCCGGGCATGGTGGTGGTGCATACCTGTAATCCCCGCTACTCAAGAGGCTGAGGCAGGAGAATCGTTTGAACCTGGGAGGTGGAGATTGCAGTGAGCTGAGATCATGCCACTGCACTCCAGCCTGGGCAACAAAGTGAGACTGTCTCAAAAAAAATGTATATATATGTAGTAGTTAAAATGGGTAAAATAGAGCTGTATGTACCAGTGTGGGCAAATCTCAAGAATGTAATGCTGAATGTAAAAAGCTAGCTTCAGAATGATACATTCAAATAAATAAGAGTGATACACTCAACATTGTAGGCTGGGCACGGTGGCTGACACCTGTAATCCCAACACTCTGGGAGGTCAAGGCAAGCAGATCACTTGAGGTCAGGAGTTCAAGACCAGCCTGGCCAACATGGTGAAACCCCATCTCTACTAAAAATACAAAGATTAGCCAGGCGTGGTGGTGCACGCCTGTAATCCAAGCTACTAGGGAGGCTGAGGCAGGAGAATCACTTCAGCCCAGGAGGCGGAGGTTGCAGTGAGCCAAGATCATGCCACTGCATTCCAGCCTGGGTGATAGAGCGAGACTCCATCTCAAAAAAAAAAAAAAAAAAAAAAAGAATGATACATTCAACATTGTACTATTTATGTAAACATTAGACCTATAAGGCAATACTATATTTTGCATATGGACTTAAACTTATACAGTAAAAGTATGGGAATAGTACTAAATTTAGAATAGTGGTTACTCTAGGATAACAAGGAGAGAAGGAAATGGAATCTCAGGGGCCAGTCGAGGTGGCTCATGCCTATAATCCCAGCACTTTGGGAGGCCAAGGCGGGAGGATCGCTTGAGTCCAGGAGATGGAGACTAACCTGGGGAGCGTAGTGAGACTGTCTCTACAAAAAGAAAATTAAAAATTAGCCAGGGGTAGTGGTGCAAGCCTGTAGTCCCAGCACTCAGCAGGCTGAGGCAGGTGGACTGCTGGAGCCCAGGAATTCAAGGTTGCGGCGAGCTATGATCACACCACTGCACCTCAGCCTGGATACAGAGGGAAACCCTGTCTCAAAAAAACTAAGTTAAAAAAGAAAAGAAAGAAATACAATCTCAGGGTGCGATACTCAGGGAGCCTGAACAGCATCTGTACTGTTTTGTTGCTTAAATAATAATATCTAAAGCAAGCATGGCTTCGTTAGAATTTGACAAAGCCAAGTGGTGGATACATGAGTATTTATTATATATTCCCTGTATTTTTTGTGTATTTACAATATTTCATATTTTTTTAATTTTTAAACCATTGCTGGGGCAGACCTCACTTTCCATAGCAAGAGAACGTTTGCCCGCGCCCCCCGCCCCTGCCCCACGGGATGGGGACGATGTAGGGAGGGGGCCTAGAAGTCAGTTTCCATCCAGCCATCTTCCTTCTACCTCTTGCTTTCTAGGGGCCAAACTTTCAGCAGAGAAGAGGAAAAAGGTAGTGTGAGAGCTCTTTATAATTGCTGATTGGTAAGAGACAGGAGCAAAGGTGAGATTAAAGATGGTACCTCAGAAGCTAAACAGCCGGTCTGGTGCTCTCAGAGTCTAAGCCACTGTCAGCCCATCGGAATGGAGATGAGGCCAGTAGAGGTGCTCTCCTTGCGGAGTCCGCAGGACAAGCCTTTCACCTCCAAATGCAAACCCATTTTCTACCCCTTCTTACCTTACAGACTAGAATGAGAATCGGTGATTACTTGTCTGTCAGATATTAGGATCTTCTTAAGGGGCTGCAAAGAAAATCCAAACTTGCCTCCTTGAGTTGCCTGCCTTCCTCTCTTAGGTGCTCTGTCGGCCTCCACACTTTTGTCAAAATCCTTTCACTATTTGGGGGGAAGTTGCCACTCAAATTTAGGCAGACTTATCACTTGGGCCTGGTGGTGGTGCATCACGGTATGGGACAGCTGTTTGCCCCCAAAACAAAAAAATAATTTCAGGTTTCCTAACCATTCTTGGGGGGTGAGTATACTTAATCTCTGTAACTTCTTACAAGTCACCCCTTCTGGACCTGGTTGGTCGTCGTCATCAAAATACCACTACTACCTTCGCAAAAAAACAGACTGCTTACTGTGTGTCAAGATCTGTTTTAAGCATTAAACTCGTTTAACCTTCATAGCGACCCTAGAAGATGAGTAAATTATTTTCCATCCTATTTTATAGATAAAGAGACGGAGACACAGGAAGGTGAGGTCACTTGCCCAGAGTCTCACAGCTGGTAATAGGCAGAGTGAGGTTTTGAACCCCAGCTGTCTGGCTCCAGGGCCCATCCCCTGATCTACTGCGCTGTTTCTCCTGTGAAGTGCAGGAGTGGACACTTCAAATAAACGGATGTATCAGCAGTGCCTGTGCAGAGTCTGGCAATAGTAGATGCTCAATAAGTGGTTGCTTTGATGAGATGATCGCCCAGCTCTCGTGTGACTTAACGTTGTGTGCTTCATTCTGTCTTTACTTTTCAGAGGTCAGCCTGTGGAGCGGTGGGGAAGGAGGGATCACAGCTGAGCTGGAAGATTGTTCTGGTCCAAGTCACAAACCGCCAAGTCACAGTCATCCCTTTTATTTTTAAACACACACATACCTCCTCGGACTGTTGGCGGGTCGGGGTCAATTTCTGTGTGTTCTGGTTTTGGATCAAGCTAATTTAGAGAAAGGACTGAGGTGGGGCTGGAGGCTGTGGTCATAGGCACTGGAAAGGACTGATTTCCAGCTCAGTTCATGTCCCTCTTTCCTGGGGTCTCCGCCTTGCTCAGGCTGAACTTTCCTTGGCCTTTGGCATTGTGGCCAGCTGGCCCGACACAGAGGATGGCATCCAACCAGCAGCTGTTCTGCCGGACCTAGATGGCTCTCGATAAGCCCTGCCCCGGCTCTGGCTCTCTGTTGTTTCTCTCCCACCGTTAAGGTGGTGGTGGCCTTGTGGGGCCTCAGGCCAGAGCAGGCAGCAACCCAAGGATAGAGTAACAGAAGGCCCCGGGGGAGGGGCTTGTCCTTCCAGCCTGCTGGAGCTGCTGCCTCTCGCCCACCTTCCTGCTCTTGCCGAGACAGTGACTCAGGCCCAGACCACTCACCGGGGAGCCAGGATTTCAGCCACTATCAACCACCACCGCCTACTCTTTGCTCAGCCCTCCCTCCATTCTCACCTCCCTTACCTCCCTCGCCCCCAAAACTGTGGGTCTCTTGCCCAGCTAGAGATAGCAGAAAGATAAGGGGTGGGGCAGACTGAATCACTCCAGGGTTCTTTCCATCCCCAAGCCAGGCCTAGGCTTATCCATGTTTAGTAGGATTCTGGAGGCCAAGCAAAGACCCAGGAAGCAGGTTTAGGGTTCTGGGGTGACCAGGGGATCCCTCCCCAACTGCCATCTGGGCCTGCCTTTTATCTCTGCCTCTGCAGAGGGAGTGAGGAAACAAAAGATGGAGAAACCTAGCAAATTGAAAATGCAAAAGAGCTGTTTTTGTAAATAGACATTACACAAGAGCAGGGGCTTTTTTGGAAAGGTTTTACTGAGACAGACAGAATTAGCCAACTGGCATCATGCTGCTAATAGAGATATTTACTGTTTGAAAAAGTATATTTGTAGCTTTGGAGAACATCCTGTTGACTTTTTCTTTATTATGAAAGAAAATAGAATCTTTCCCCCCTTTGCCCTCCGTACACACAGAACTTTTTTTCTTTTTTGCGGTGGGGCAGTTGGGGGTTGGAGAAGAGGAGGGTTGAAAGAAATGTTTTCTCCATTTTGTTGCTGAGACTAAAATATCTCTTCTCCTGCCCTCTGGTGCTCATATTTATGGAATGGGAAGCAGAACCAATCAAGGACTCCTACTCCAGAGGCAGAGAGCGCAGAACCCTCTTAATTTCTTCCAGAACTCAGAGACGCTCTGGGGAGCAAGCCTTGTCTTCACTCTGGCTCTCTGCCCACGCCCCTGATTCCAAGGGGAGCACTGAGGCAAGTGTGAGGAGGAGGGAGGAGAGTCCCGAAGCCCAGTTGGGCCTCCTGCCCTGGAGCACTGCCAACCCCGGGCTGCTGTGACCTGGCAGTACCAAGGCTGCTGCTCTCAGGCTGTGACACTGTCGCTGTTGCCCCATGCCCTCCAAAGCAGCTGCTTCTCCTAAGGAAGTCCCCTGTGCCTGCAGTGGGAGACCCACGGGGATGAAATGGGGACTCAAGGGAAGAAGAGGTACAAGAGCCTGCTGAAGTGCAGTTGTGTTGCCTTTCCTCTCACTCTCCCTTCCTTGCCACCTTTCACCACTTCCTGCAGGAATACTCCATTTCATCGCAGGGAGAATCTGATCTTTACATCAGGGCATCTGCCCAGTTTTTTGCCGACTTCTCTGGCAGAGTGGGTTCACTTCTGCCATTTGGCAGCCTCGGAATAAACCCAGCAGCCTCTTCTCCTTTCATATATCCTCTTGGGCTCTGTAAAGTATTTTCCCTTGACCCATCGTACTCCAATAACTTCGTCAGGCTTTGCTTTCAAGGCCAAGGGCCCACTCCATTTTCTTGGTCTCCACTGAATGTACTGTTGCTGGACCCCAGCGCTGGTGGGTATTCTTTTTAGGTTTTTGGGGTTTTTTGTTTGTGTTTTGTTTTGTTTTTTGGTTACACAAGGATTGGGAGCCCAAAGACAATGATACTACCTTTCTTTGTTCTTTATGTAGCATTACCTAAGAGTAGCTTTCTTCAGGAACCTTAAGTCAGAGCATGTTATTTTACAGGCCCCTTGGGCAATGCGCTTATTTTAGTCATTCATTTAATTATTCATCCGGTGCTTACTATGTGCACAGAACTAGACTATAAGCTGCATGAGATCATAGAAGGAATCTGCCTCGTTCATCCTGATATCCCTAGAACCTAGCATAGTATTTGGAACAAAGGTGGCCCTTAACAAATGTGTCCTCATTCAGTGAAAAGTTGAAAATAGCACTGTGCCTAGTACAGTACTTAACAGGGGTTGCCAAGAAGCATGACATTCAGTCCTTGCCCTTGAGGTGCTGTGTGTCATAATCAGAAAGCAGGACATTCACACATCAGAGTTAATTAGCCTGTACCCTTTACCAAGCAGAGTTTACTTAAGTAATGAAAGGATGGCTCAATATTAGGAAATATGTTTACACCGTTCAACACAATAATAGGTTATAGGAGAACAAACTGGTCATCTAAATGCATGGTGAAAGGCATTGGTGGAATTCAAAAACCTAATATTTGTACCTTTTAGTGAACTAGGAACAGAAAGATATTTTCTTACTGTTAGGAACGTTCCTGGCTGAAATCAAGAATAGCTGCTTTCATATTTGATAGTGAGGGATCAGATGTAAAGCATTCTTACCAAAGTCGGAAACATTTTCTATAACTTCAAGCTAATGCAATAACATAAGGCAATAAATAGGTGTAAATGTTGGGGAAAAAGATGAATTTTATCATATTTTCATACCCTAAGACTGTCTACCTGGAAAGCCTAATTAGTTATTTTTCTTCTTTTCCAGTTGAATTTCTTAGGCTATATAAATGAAGTATGTAGACATGGTGACTGGTTTCAGAGTAAATGTGCCAGGAAGATAAAATGAAACAGAGAATCCCATTTACAGTATAACCAAAAATATAAAACTTCATGGAATGAACCTAAGACATGTATAGAGCTAAAACTTCACATGTGTTATTTTGGGATCTTAATATTTAACGAAATAAATGTAGAGGAGATGGATATGAAAAAAAAAAAAAAAACCCTTAAGACCAAGGGAGATAAAAAGGCTTGAATGAATGAAAAGAAATATGGCCCTGAATGAGCAAACCAAAAATAGGATCTTCAAAAGTTAATCTATAAATATATTGCACTTCTGGTAATATCCTTATCAGGGGTTTTTAGGTGTGGGGGTGAGAGCACACAGCTAGTGAAATTTATCTTGAATAATTAAAACAGCCAAGAAATTACCTGGAAAAAAATTTTTAATGAGAAGGGATTTGCTTTGCTAAGTATCAGGAACTTTTATACATCTAAATAAATCTGTGTTATTGGCAAAAGGGTAGATTACTCTGTGGTATGGAATAGTAGATGCATTTAATGCTGATAAAATAACTTTTCAAAGGTGGAATTTTTAAAAACTATGTTAAAACAATGGACTAGTCATACACTCAAACTCTAAATGCAGCAAAGATTTAAATATAAAAAATAAACCACTAAAATTCACGTGGAAATGCAAGGGACACACAATAGTCAAAATGATCTTGACAAAGAACAAAGCTGGAGAACTCACACTCCCCAGTCTTAATACTACAAAGCTACAGTAATGAAGGTTGTGTGGTGCTGTTATCAAGATGGACATGTAGATGAATGGAATAGAATTGAAATAAACCCTTACATATATGGACAATTGATTTGTAACAAAGATGCCAGAACAGTTCAGCGGAAAAAGAATAATCTTCAACAAACAGTGCTGGGACAAATGGATAGCCACTTGCCAAGGAATGAAGTTGGACCCCTACCTCACACCATATTTAAAAATTAACTCAAAATGGATCAATGACCTAAATGTAAGAGCTAAACTATAAAACTCTTAGAAGAAAAGACAAGAGTAAATCTTCATGACCTTGGATTTGTCAAAGGATTCTTACATATGACACCAAAAGCATGAACAACAAAAGAAAAAACAGATAAATTGGACTTCATCAAAATTTAAAACTTTCTGCTTCAAAGGACACCATTAAGAAAGTGGAAACCCAGCCCATGGATGAGAGAAAATATTTCTGATTATGGGCTAATACCCAGAATATATAAAGAACTCTTACAACTCAACAACAATAATAATAAAAGTTTTAGAATGAGCAAAGGATTTGAATAGATGTTTCTCCAAAGATATACAAATGAACACATGAAAAGACGCTTAACGTCATTAGTCATTAGAGAAATGCACATCAGAAATACTACCTCATACCCACTAGGATGGCTAAAATGAAAAAGACAGTGTTGGCAAGGATGTGGAGAAATTGGAACCCTTATATACCACTGGTGGGAATGTAAAATGATACAATTACTTTGGAAAACAGTCTGGCACATCCTCAAAAGGTTAAACATAGAGTGACCATATGACCCAGCAGTTTTGCTCCTAGATATATGCCCAAGAGAAGTAACATATCCACACAAAATCTTGAACATAAATGTTTGTCACAGCATTCATTAATACCCAAAAAGGGAAAACAACCCAATTGTCCATCAAATGATAAGTGGATAAACAAAATATAAATCCATACACTGAACTAGTATTCAGTGATTAAAAAAATAAAAGGATGAAGTACTGATATATGCTATGACATGGATGACCTTCAAAAACATTTTGCTAAGTGAAGGAGGCTGACACAAAAGGCCACATACAAATATAATTCTACTTCTGTGCAATGTCCAGAAAAGGCAAATCCATAAAGAAGGCAAAGTAATGGTTGCCAGGGCTGGAGGAGGGGAGTTGTTTGCTAATAGGTGTGGGGTTTCTTTTTGGTGTGATGAAAATGTTCTGAAATTAGATAGCAGTGATTTTTGCACAATTCTGGGAATATACTAAAAACCCCAAATTGTACACTTTAAAAGGGTGAATGTTATGGTATGTTATTTAAAAATAAACCAGATTCTGAGTAAAGATGACAGATTGAATACATACATCTAATTTATCTCCCTCACAAATCCTACAAAAAGCACAGTAAAGCAGTTTTTTAAGGCATAAATCCATAGTTCAGGGAGAATAGAAGAGACATCAACAACAAAATTTGGGAATTAGGGTGCAGTTACATGAGGTAACTGACTTAGTTCCAAGAAAGTCAAGTCCCAAACTGGCGTTTGAGAAAACCAAGAGCCATCCCACCTTACATCCCAGAATTCTCAAAGGTTTGGGAGTTGGTACTAAGTACCTCTAGAAGTTAGGTGAAGCCAAGGGCTGAGATCAGGGTGATTGGTTGAAAACTATGAATAGTTTAGAGCCCTAACATCTCCCTAACTGCTTATCACTGGGAGACTGTCCCCACCCCACCCCACCCTAGCAGAAGAATGAAGAGTCCTACACCCCAACCCCCACCTCCAAAGAATTCTGTACCAGGGGACACAAAGGTGGATTTAAGGTGTGAAACTTACAAAGCTTCAGCCTCAGGGTCCCAACTTAAATGGACCTTTCCCAAGACCCTGGAAGGAACCCTAGGCATGCCTATGTTGTGGTAAACTGAAACATAAAGTGTTTACATTGCAGCGAGTTAGGAAAACCTCTGTCTTCATTCCTGCTTTTACTTCTTCATACTATCCCTCATGTCAGGCAATCCTGGGGTAGCCCAGGCTTTTTTGGGGGATGGAACTAAGGAAGGGTGAATTGGGAGTATACTGTTTTAACTGTACGTTGTAAAGACATCTTTGGAAAATGTTAGTAAAACAAGAAATCACAGGCTCCTGAGTTGGAAATGTGTAACGGTTACCTTTTGTGGTCAATTTTAAATTTACTTAAAAACTAGAGAGAAAATTGGATTTAAAAATAATGGAACACAAAAATGATAAGGTGAGTGCTTAAATATGTAGAAATCATTCTGAAATATAGCAAAGCATAACAAAACATTTTCCAATTGTACCAAAAGTGAGTAATCCATTAAGAGAACGAGATCCATTTTAAATAGGAGTGATGATTGTTAGAAAACTCAGTTAATGAAGAAGAGGAGCAAATCAGCGGAACACACTGATAAAACATTTAAATTTCTGGCGGATTTAACATGAAAAACATAACAAAGATAACAAAATTCAAAATACGCCCTCCTTCAAAGACAGACATTAATGACAAACTGGTCACTGTCATTAATTCAAAGAACACTTAAGATTAGTCACTGTACAAGAAACCTTGAAATGTGCCCTGACATCTTAGTTTATTTGCAGAGGAAACATGAGATTTTTCTAAATTTTACAACAATCCTAAAATTTGGATATTACCAGTAAGCTGAAAAAGGCTCTTCTAAACCATCAGTAGTAGAAAAATTTCGAACAACCATACCAGAGGAAAGAGGGAATTACCTTTTTTACTCTAAGAAAATGATGCTACCAACTCTGCATCACATGAAGAGGCAACCAAACACTAAGCAGCCCAAAAATGTAGGGAGACAAAGATAGAGGTGTGTTAGGCAGATGATTCATAAAAATACTAGATTATTTCCTGATGTTTGTGTCATTTATTAGCTTTTAAAACTTCGCATTTGTTTTGCTCTTTTCTCTGCCTAAATATTCACTTTCATGCCTATTTGTATATTTGTAATTTTCTTGAAATGGGGCATACAAAATTGTATAAACTTCAAACCCGCCTCTGAGAGGGCAGCCAGCACAGCTGAGGGTGGGACTGCCCTAGTGAAGTCGGGAGGATGAAGTGAACGCACACCCTCAGAGTGCCAAGGCACACCCCTTCCCCTCCCCACCACACATGCGCACATGCACACATGTGTACACATACATGCACACGCAGGCTCTTCCATTGCCGAGTTCCCAGAATGGCAGAAGGTTGGAAGAATCTTCTCTAAGGAATTTTACCTGCCCAAGAGAAAAGAGTAGAAAGATAGTGACATCAGGGAGTTCCCCACAAAACTGTTCAGCCAGTTTGCAGATTGTCCTACCCAGTAGATAAACATGGTTCGTGTGCTCAGAGCTTCTTGTCAGCTCTTTTTGTCTCCCAGTCATAGATGAGAGTAGGCAACCAAGAATTACCACACATCCAAGGAAAGCACTTAGTATGGAAAATAAAGACTAAACAAAAAGAAAAAAAGCAACTTGGAGGAAAACTGAAACTATAAAGGGAAGAAGAAACTTTTTAATTAAAGCTGTTGTTAAGATCCTCAGAGAGATAAGGCATCCATGAAATAAAAATAAGATACCATTTTAAAAGGACATCCTGAAAATTTAAAAGAGCTCTTAGAAATTAAAAATCTGATAGCAGAAATGAAAAAAAAAAAAAACTTGGTAGAAGCGTTAGAAGATGAAATTGAGAAACAGAAATTAGAGGACCAGCCAAGGAGGGTCAGCATCGAAATTGTAAGTTTCAGAAGTAAGAAACAGAAAACAAGAAATCAACAACAAAATTTTTAAAATCTCAGAACCGAAGATTATAAATTGCCAAATTGAAACAGTCCTGTGAGTACCCACCACAGTGGATGAAAATAGACCCACATTGTTGTAAAATTATACAACACCGTGACAAACATATATTCCTATAAGATTGTGTAAGAAAATAAAAAACAGGTTATATACAAAGGATGGGAATCAGAGTGGCTTCAGACTTTCCCACAGCAGCAGTACTGGGAAGTTAGAAGACAGGGGAGCAATGCCTTTGAAATTCTGGCAGAAATTATGTCCAGCCTTTAATTCTATGCCCAAATTAGCCTGCAGGTAGAAGAACAAGGTTTTAGGATGTGCAGTCTCAAAAGTGACCTCCCACATACTTTGTTCCCACCAAAATAAGGGGTAAATGAAGAAAGAGGAGGATCAGGGAAAAATCATGAAAGAGAAGTCAAAGGAATCCCAGAAAGATTGGTGAAGGGACAGCTGGTGCTGAGAGCCTCACGGCTGGGGAGCAGGCAGCCAGTCCAGGTTGGAGCGAGGCAGCAGTTGCAGGGCAGACTGTCCGGAAGATGCAAAGGAGAGAACACCTGATAACGATGAATGTGTTGAAACCAGAGTTAGACCACAGATTGAATTGGGGATAAGTACGTAGACAAGCAAATGAAAGAAAAGTGACAATTACCAATTTTAGGGAAAGTTAAAAAAAAAGTATGCATGTTATTTATGTATTACTGCTGCGTGACACATTATCCCACAACTTAGTGGCTGGAAACAAATAGTTTCTGTTGGTCAGGAATTTGGGAGTGGCATAGCTGGAGCTTTGACTTGGAAACTCTTACGAGTTTGTGACTCAGTACATCGGCTACAACTGCTATGCCCTAAAGCTTTGACTGAGGCTGAACAATCTGCTGGCTCCCAAGGGCAGGATGGAAGAAAACTCACAATATCCTCCTAATAGTTTACTTAATATTGAGCTAACCAAGTTATTATACTGTAACTATATTGAGAAGAAGAGCTGCAAGTGTGGCTTCATGAAATAGCGATGGGTACCCAAAAATATTTTGTTTGTTTAATTTTAAATCTTCATCTTCCGAAGTAAAAAGTCAATAGCTAAAGTAGATTTTTAGTGCCTAAAAACCTAACGATCTAGAGGTAGCAGTATAAGCATTTATCTTTAGATGTGCAAAGGTAAATACTAGAAACTCAGTTGAGTTGAAAGTGGTTGTTTCTGGCAAATGAGATTAGGGAGTCCTGGGAACTAACGTTTTACTTAAGAAATCTTGTTGCCTTATTAGACTGTGCACACTATAACTTTGATACTAATGATAGAATTTAGATTAACAAAAGGAAGCCATAAAAGTAATAAAGTAAATATAGGTAAATAGTTGCAAGTTGATGGAGTGGAGGAAGCAGGTCATCCTCAGTTTGATACCAAAAGAAGAACTCACAAAAGGCGGATTTAGTAGATTTGATTTCACACTAATCAAAAGCTTCTGTACATTAAACACAAGCATGTACAAAAGTGAAAGGCAAACACTAATCCAAGAAAAAAATCCTGATATACAAACCAAAGTGTGGTTAGTAAAATGTAAACTGTTTCAATCTTTTCAAAAATGTTAAATGTTTCAATCTGTCTCTAGGGCAGTTTGTCAAAATGTGTCAAAGCCTTGAACACAGTATACAGAATTGATCCTGTATGACTCTTAGTGCACACCAAGATTTACCTATTGGAGTTTTTGTTCATAATAGAAGAAAAATTTGAAACGGTTGCAATGACCAGCAGTAAGTGATGAGGTTACAGAAATAAAACGAGTGGTACATTTCCATTATATACCTGAACCACTCATTTTACTTCCGTAGCTCTTAAAAATCAGGAGAGTGAAAATGATATATTCTCATATAAAACCATTCATGATATTTCTTTTACTTATTAATTTAAAAATTATATAAAATTTACATATGCACATGCACACACACATGTACACACTGTGATTCAGGATATTACTGTTAATTTTTTCCTTTGGGGGTGTGTGTGTGTGTGTGTGTGTGTGTGTGTGTGTGTGTGTGTGTGTTGTCCTTTGCGTTTTTCTATCTCTTCCAGGTTTTTAACACTGATCAGGTGCTATTTTTGTAGTCAAGAAAAAAACAAGGGTGTTTTTTTGTTTGTTTGTTTTTGTTTTTGTTTTTGGTTTATTTGAAAGAAAAATGTGGAAAGTGCAAAGAAGAAAACAGTAATCATATTCTCACCACCCAGAATTAGCCACTACCAACATTTGGCATATTTGCTTCAGTTTTTCTTACTGTAAATTTAAAAAATATAAATAGCAACACTGAAACATTAACCTTGGCCATCTTTTAGATGCGGAATCGTGGCTGGGTTTTTCCCTCTCCTTTTCCTCCCTTATACCCCCACCCACCCCATCCCCTTTTATTTCTCAAGTGTTCTGCAATGAGCACGTTTTTCTGTAATAGTTGTTTTAAAGTTACTGTTTCTCGTGTGAATACTTTACTTTTTAAGGAGATAAACTGTAATTAACTGTAAAGGGTAGAATTTTTTAAATGCCAAATAAGTCTTTGACGTTTAGAAGAAGGTGAGAAGTTTTCCTGGGAGCAGAGAAAGCATTCCATATAGGTGGGGTAGCCATTTGTCCTGGTTGCCCTGGGCAGTCCAAGTTGTCCTGATGACGTGTACTCCAAAATGTCCCAGTTTGGGACAGGAAATTATAAGGAGTCTAGATTTGGGGGATTAATGAACAGCCACTTGGCTGAATCATGGCAGTTGTACTGAGTGAATAGGAAAAGTAAGGTTGAGAACATATTACAGAAGCACATTGAATACTAATGTAAGTTCCTCCACTGATTCTAGGGCTGAGGCAGGAAATGTACAAGATGCACTTGGTACATGTCGTAGAGCTGGAAAGTAAGGAAATACACACACACACTTACATACATACATACATACATACATACATACATACATACATACATACGTTGATGTGGATATGTCAAAGGGACACAGAAGCCAACTGAAAGAGCTGCCAGTGGTGAAAGCTGGAACAGTTTGAGCATCAAAATAATGTATTAGATTATAACCCAAAATATAAGATAAATATCTGTGAGTCCATACTGATATTGAATGGTTGAATAAATAAGAAATAGGATTCTGCATGATGGCTTCCTCCCAAGGAGTGCAGTAGGGAAAGGGAGAAGGGAGAGTAACTTCACAGTAGGAAGCTGAGAAAGATGACCTCAGCCTGGTGATCAAGGTTCACATCAGCAGGGTAAGGCATGTTGACATCGTGGACCCTGGGTATGATGTGGTGAGGATGGCTCTTCTGCTCTGTGATCTTCTACCCCAAAAGCCATAACTCCAGTCTAGTCAGGAGAAAAGCATCAGACAAGTCCAAGTTGGCATTCTGTAAAATGCCTGACCAGCACTTAAAACTGGCATGGTCATCAAAAGCAGGGAGAGATTTAGGAACTGTCACAGCCAAGCGGAGCCTCGGGGCACATAGTGACTGAAGGTGACGTGGGGACCTGGGTGGGATGCTGGAACTGAGAAAGGACATGGGGAAAACTGAGGAGGTCTGAAGAAAGGATAGTCTTGACTCTCACTGTTGGTTCATTGTTTGTGACCAATGTACCACACCAATATCAGATGTTAATAAAAGGGGAAACTGAGGGTGGGCAACATAGGAATTATGTACTTCCTTCACAATTTTTCTTTTCCTTTTTTTTTTTTTTTTTTGAGAGACGGAGTCTCACTCTGTCGCGCAGGCTGGAGTGTAGTGGCGCAATCTCGGCTCACTGCAAGCTCTGCCTCCCAGGCTCATGCCATTCTCCTGCCTCAGCCTCCTGAGTAGCTGGGACTACAGGTGCCCGCCACCATGCCCAGCTAATTTTTTTTTTTTGTATTTTTTATAGTAGAGACGGCGTTTCACCGTGTTAGCCAGGATGGTCTCGATCTCCCGACCTCGTGATTCACCCGCCTCGGCCTCCCAAAGTGCTGGGATTACAGGTGTGAGCCACCACGCCCGGCCTCACAGTTTTTCTTTAAAACTTTTTAAATGTGAAGGATTTTTTTAAAGTGTTCTAATAGGGCTTTTGAGCAGGTGAGTTGAAAAATAATCAGAACAGTATGATAGGTCTCTGTGATCATCAGTAACTGTGGTGAAAATACAAGGAAAGAGCTGTTCCGTCTGCGTGGTGTACATAACCTCTTATTGTGCCAGAGCACCCAGTTCAGCACGAACGTCCTCCCATTCACTTCCAGACCCTTAAGAACAATGAGCCCCTTGGAATTCTGTAGGACTTTGAGACTAGGTGTTTTCATCACATACTTATAACAAATTCATGTGAAAAGAGTATTGAACTGTGGGTAGCAGAGAGAAAACTGGGCTGGACACCAGGGGTGCTGGTTGCTTCTTCCTTGTTCTCTTGTGAGCCAGCAGAGTGACCCTGGGCTTGTCACTGAACCTTTCTGGATCTGCTTCCTCATCTACAAAAGGAGAGGGTTGAACTGGGGAAAAAATTTCTATGGTAACTTACAGTTCTAAAAATACCGTGATACTAAATTAAGGTTTAGAGGGAGGCTGTCACACCACAAATAATGGAATCTACGTTTCTGATTCTTGGTCCCTTGTCTACAGTACTAAACTCCAAGAATCGTTTTGAAGACCACTCTGAGACTTCTTTAGAATTCTCATCCTACTCCCCATATTCTTGGAGTGGAGATTCAGTTTAGAATTCCAGTTTTAGATAAGCTGAAGGGATTCCAACTCCTTTGTTTTATAGTTTAAGAAACTGGGCTCCAGAGAGATTGAGATTTGTTCAAATCACAAAATGAGTCGGAGGCAGAGGCCACGTTTTCTGATACCGGGTCGAGAGCGCTTTCAGCTGCAGCATGCTTCCCACAGAATACAGGCTGTCTGTCTGCAATGCCACTGGGACCTCATTTGCAATGTCTCCAGAGTGGTCCTTGCCACCAGGACCTCATTTGCACTGTCTCCAGAATGGTCCTTGAGGGCAATTGCTCACTGTCCAAAAACCATCCTGTCTGTCAGCTGTAATCCCTGAGAATGGGAAAAGTAACCAGGGTGTGGGGAAGGAACCCATCTCCCCGTGAACCTTTTCTGTTTAGGTCTGAGAAAGGAAGCAACAATTTCATTTTTTCTTTCCTTTTCATTTCCAGACCTTACCTTTCCTCCCTGGTTATTATGTAGTCAGAATTTATTTGTTTACAGAAGATGCGAATCAGCCAGCCCCCAAAGGGTTAACACTCCCAAATTATGGGGCTGGGTTAACAATAAACAGGATGTCCTCCAGAAATTAAATTTAAACCACTGTGACTCAGGCTGGCCCATCCCCTCCACTGGATCACTGTTTGGGGTCATTATCGGTGGTTAATTACACCCTTGGGTTTAGCAACAGTGTGTTGGTCAGTTTGGGCCAAAGGAAAGCAGGCTCAGGGAGAAGGGGGTGTGGAGGGAAGGGTGGGATGTGGGCCTGGTGGAGCGGGTCTGGTGCATTGTGGAAACGGGAGGTTTGAATGGAAGAGCCAAAAGGAGAGGGATGAGCATGGCTGGCTGAGAGCCCTCTGCCGGAGCTGATCGCAGGGATTCTTGACTCACTTCCTACCTGGGATCGGGAGTCTACCCTTTCCATAGCCATTGGGATGCACTTTCTAGCCTGGCCTCTTTTCTTCCTGGAGTTGGAGAATCATAGAATGCTCAGTGCCTCAAGGAAGCTCCTAAATTACCTAGTTTAATCTACTCGTTTTATGCAGCAGGAAATGGAGTCCCAGTGCAGCCGTCACCTGCCGAAGGGCAGCCTGCTCAGTGGAAGCGGAGGCCAGGCTAATGCTCAGGTTGAGACTCCTAGACCCATGATCCTCCTTCCGCTGTGCCATGCTGTAAAGTAGGGAATCTGAGGTGCAGCTCTTCATAGCAAGTCCAAGGCAGACTTGGGCTGGATTTCAGATTATTTTCCAAGTTAGCAGCTTTTTGATTTTGTGAGTTTTCCCAGGGAAATAATCCAGCCCGGCCAATCACTAATGCCTCTGTTATTTATTAACTCTCCCCAGCCTCCAAAGAAGATTTGCAGATCCAAAGTTTGCCCCTCTATAGAGAAGTAGCAAAGCACCTAATATAGACCATAATGATTCGTGATTTCAAGGATGATAGCTATTACAGTGAGTCTGTAATTTCTGAGTTTGCACCTCCTCAAGACACAAGGTTTTATTGTCATTCACAGGGTGTCTTCCCTTTCCTGCCATCCTCGCGGGTGTCTTCCCTTTCCTGCCATCCTCGCCTTTCCTCTCTTCCCCTTTCCTTTCCTTTCCTTTCCTTTCCTCCCCCTCCCCTTCCCCTTTCTTCCCTTCTGTTCCCTTCCTTTATCTCTTTAAAAGACAGGGTCTCCCTCTGTTGCCCAGGCTAGGGTGCAGTGGTATGATCATAATTCACTGCAGCCTCAAACTCCTGGGCTTAAGTGATCCTCCTGCTTCAGCCTCTCAAGTGACTGGGACTACAGGCATGTGCCACCACGCCCGGCTAATTTTTGGTGGTTGTTTTTTTGTGTTTTTTTTTTTGAGATAGGATCTTGCTATATTGCCCAGTCTAGTCTTGAACTCCTGGCTCAAGCAGTCCTCCACCTGGGCCTCCCAAAGTGCTGGGATTGCAGGTATGAGCTGCCATACCCAGCGGATTTTTTTTTTTTTTTTTGGAGATAGGGTCTTGCTCTGTCGCTTAGGCTAGAGAACAGTGGTGCAATTATAGGTCACTACAGCCTCAAACTCCTTGGCCTCACCTTTTCATTTTCTTTAAATGACAGACTATCAGTAGCAAAGATGTTCTGGGGCAGAGCAACCTGCATCTGACACTGTAGGTGGGAGGACCTATCTCTCTCTTAGAACCAAGCCCAGATGCCAATGGTTGTATGCCCACCAGGGCACATGGTCCAAGTAGCAAGCCATGGCCACGCTTCCTCGCCCTCCTGGGGGAAAGTGGCCTGTACTGTACTGATACTTTGAGCTGCATCCTTCCCCACTTCTCACAATATCTCTCTTTGTCTCTTTCTCTTATAGGATTCCTTTTAAGATTGGGCAGCCCAAGAAACAGATTGTGCCCAAAACAGTGAGTAACTCGATTGTTTTGCTGTGAGATTCAGTTCTGTATCACATGGCCTTTGCATAAGAATCAAAGCTTTGAATCAACACATCTTGGGGCTGGGAAGACAGCAACCTGGGCCTTCTTCCTGCTTATGCGGATCTAGAACCTCACATAGACTGAGGCTTAGAGGGGCCTCCTGTCCTGGGACACTTCCCCTAGGAAAGGTTAGCCTGGGCTCTTTATCATCCTTGGGCAGGGGGAATGGGTGGATTACAAAAATGTAGAGGAAGATATTGCTTTAGAACGGTCCACCTCTAGGGACTGGCTTGTGGTCTATACTTTTCCTAAGAGTGTTCCTGAAAGAGTGGCCCCCACCAAAGACACTGCCCAGGCATTTATTTCTGTTACCTCAGCTGCAGAAAACTCCAGGAAGCTTTTCCCAGTGGCCTCGGCCTGTTTGTGTCAACTTCCAAATGCATTCTTGGCCATGACCCAGAGTCACTCAGCAGGAAAGGAAGATTGAATCCCACCCCCCTTTAAGCCCACAGTTTTTATCCCTAGAAAGTTTTTATCTCCAGAATGGGAAAGGAAGAGAATCATAGATTCTTAGGAAGTTAGAGCTGGAAGCTCATAGAGACCATCTAGTCCAACCTCCTGATTTTTCCTGATGAAGAAAATGAGGCCCGTGGAAAGTTGCAATGACTTCCTCAAGTTATAAAAACCCCACACTGGCAAAGCTGGAGTTAGAACTCAGGCGTGAGCCCCTGGCTGATACTCTTTCCATTGCCTCATGCTTCCCTGGGCAGTGAAGCCCTCCCAGTGTTTTGGAATCCCGGTGCAAAATAGCCTTTTCAACCTCCTGACCCACAAATCTGAGTGGGTCTCTTGGTTTTAACATGGGAGACCACAACTGTAGAGCCTCTCTGATGTGACAGCTACAGGAAGTCCGGTGCTGTGCTGGCGGCAGAGGCCCTCGTCTGTCATCCCAGCCCCTGACGGTTCTCCTTGTCTTACTAGCTTCTCCCCTCCTTGGCAGAGCTCTCAAAAGTACAGGAAAGAGATTGCTTCAGTGTGGTGAGAAGTTTGGCACACATCTGACCAATGGCTCCATCTCTAGCAAATCCAGAGTAAGGTCACTTGAGAGGAAACAGGCCCAAGTTAAAAGCACCCTCACAGGGTCCAGTGGCTTACGCCTGTAATCCAACACTTTGGAAGGCCAACGTGGGGGCATCATTTCAAGCAAGAAGTTTGAGACCAGCCTGGGCAACAAAGAGAGACCCCGACTCTACCAAAAAATATGCACGCCTGTAGTCCCAGCTACTTGGGAGGCTAAAGCAGGAGGACTGCTTGAGCGCACGAGTTCGAGGCCACAGTGAGCTCTGATTGCACCACTGCACTCCACCCTAGGTGATAGACTGAGACCCTGTCTGTTAAAAAAAAAAGTTGGGGGGTGGGGCCTCTCTGCTTCATGCAGAGGCAGGGTGCTGACCAACTCAGCGCTGACCTCTCATGCAGAGGCTGACCATCTGTGGAGGCTCTCAGCTGAAGTCCAAAGAATCTGGGTGTGCATATGTTGGTCTCTAGCCGGCTGCAGGAAGTGGGAAGGTGTGGCTTTGAGTCTCCAGAGTTTAATCCATGACAGATCTGAAAGGGAAGTGGTTTCAAGAGGGTTCTTTTATTCTGAATGCTCACTACAAACAAAAACCCTCCCAGCACCCCAACCTTTATCAAAATGAACTTTGTTCTCCACAGAAAGTGTAGACAAACCAGCTGCTTTGCCAGTGTGTTGGTGGCAAGATCTCTGGCTCCGTTGATCTAAGGAGTGGCAAGGACTCGCAGTGCGGGCAGATGCACACAGGGCATCCCTCTTCCCTTCCTCGCATCTGTCTCGCTGGAGATGGAATTGTGGTCCTCTGATTATGGCATCTGCTCTCTGATAGACTGGGGGTCAGGTAGGGGTTAAGAAACTAGGTTTGGGAGGCTGGCAGCCTGGGTCCCCATCCTGGCCCTGCCACATGCTGTCTCTGACCTTGGGCAAGTTCCTTAACCTCTGGAGCCTTCATTTTCTCGTTTATAAAATCAGGATGATGACAGTACCTGTGTCACAGATGTTACTTTGAGGCTCACACAAGATAATACACTGAAGGCACCTAACACAGTGTCTGGCACAAAATAAGTCCCCAGTTAACTACATCACAGGAAGCTGGTTGATTTGACCTTCTTTATGAACCATCAGGGACTCAGCCTGTCCCAGGCAGCTAGATTTCCCAACGCAACAAAAGTCGGCTGGGCCTTTGATCTCTCACAAGGAATCACAGCTGAGCTACAGCTCGGAGTAGTTATTTGCTTCCCTGGCCTATACCCCTCCACTCCCCAGAGGCACTGAAGTAGAAGTAGTAAGACCCTGCCTCTTCAGTCTCATTCCCCACCCACCACCCCCTCCCGGCCCCCAAAACAGGCCTGGGCTGTGCAGTTGTCTCAGCATCTCTGGCAGCTGCCCTTGAACAGCAGTGACGCACTCTGTTGTTCTTGCCCAGGCACTTTCAGGGAGGGGAGCAGCTGTGGCTGCCTGGGTTATTGGAAGTCATGGAGCCCCTGTCATGGGAAGAAATGCTCACGTTATCTTCAGGGAGTTTCAGGAGGTTTTTGGCTCAAGGCACCCAACTGTCAGGCACAAAGAAAGCATTGTGTCCCTACCCTCACTGCTCTCCTGTGCCCAGGTTATTAACACAAATTCCATTATTGTCAAGGCTTTGGCTAGAATGGCTTGTTCCTGCTGGGGCTGACCATTAGAACTGAGATGGAGGAACAAAAGCTCCCCCGATCCCGATCCTAACCTTCCACCCAGTCCCCTCCCACTCCCCAGGTCCCATAAAGTGGCGGGAGCATCGTAGCGTAGGAAGAAGCCGCCACACCTTCCTCCATAACCTGGGAGGATGGAAGAGCTCTTCGAAGCTTTGCTCTTCGTGTCCCCCTGAAACAAGGGTTACTGTGAGTCTTGCACACAAGGAACATGCGCTCCAAGGTTCCTAGCCAGGTGGGTGCTCTGCAAAGTTAGGGCAAAGAGAGTCTGGCCACATGCAGCCTCTCCACTGGAGAAGGATTTTCATCTGCCAGGTGGCGGGGCCCTTAGCCTCGTTAATCCTGCTTAATCCTGCTAGAACATACCTACAGGGAGCCCACTTTCCACGCAGAGCATCCCTTGAAGGAGGGGCTTCCCAGAATGCTGAGGATTCTGGGCTTCTCAGACTCCGATCAGATGCACCTCAGCCCTGGGATCAGTGCCCCAGCCCTGCCTGCCAGTTTCCTTTTTCACTTCACCATGAGCATAAGTTTGGGTGGGAACTCAGCCTGTTCATTCACTTCATACTGAGTTCCCACTCTGTGCCAGGGCCTGACCTGTGCACTGCCAAAAGAGCAGGGAACAGCAAAACCCTTTCCTCCCACCGTGGGCCTTGGAGAATGAATGCAGGGGGTGGCCACGGGTAGTCGTCTGGGGCTTGGTTCTCCCTGAGCTAACCTCGCCAGCCTGGCCCAGCTTGCCCTGATCCCCTGATGGTCCGTGCACATGTGTTTATACTTGCATTGTTGACTGGGGTCCAATTGCCTTTTTGGCAAAGGCATCAAGCATTCAAAGATGTTCAGATCTTTTCTGTCTGGCTCTTTTCCTCGGAATGAGGCTCCAGTGTGTCCCTTTAGTCCCTTAGCCATTATCTGAGAGGCTAGAATTCTGGCAGTGTCCCCGTGCATCTTTCCCCAGTGGAGGAGAGAACTCTCGGACCAGTGAGCTAGAGAAGCAACCCACCCCGGCCGCTGGAAGCAGGGGAGGTGAAATGTGTCCAAACTCCTCTCAGGCTGTCAGATGGCCTTGAGCGGCACCAAGTAGAAAACGCGCTCCCACCCCTGACCTTCTCCTCAGCTTCATTGTGAGACCTCAAGTTCCTCAGCTTCCAGGATGATCAACCTAGCTGAAAACCTGAAGTCCCTCCCGGTACAAGTCCAAGCAGTCCCCAGCCAGGGAGACCAGGTGTTGTCTGACATCCCACACACATCGGCACACTTGGGGGATTGCAAAAGGGAGGAAGGGAGCCAAAGGCTAGGGCCCCGGGGTTCAGCTAACACTCAGCACCCCTCCCAAAGAGCGCCCCCTGTGTGTTCTGGATCTCTAGAGGGGTTTGGTTTGGGCCAAGTAGTGCTTAGTTTTAATTTTCTCTTTCTGGAAATAAATACTTTTAATAAGTAAAGATGCTGCTCAGCTGTCATATCCTGCAAGGTTAGAGGAAAGATGTGGGCCGTGCGCGGTGGCTCATGCCTGTAATCCCAGCACTTTGGGAGGCCAAGGCAGGCAGATCACTTGAGGCCAGGAGTTCAAGACCAGCCCAGGCAACATGGTGACCCCATCTCTACCAAAAAAAAAAAAAAAATTCAAAAATTAGCCGGGTGTGGTGGCTCACTCCTGTAGTCCCAGCTGTACGTGGGAGGCTGAGGCATGAGAATTGCTTGAGCCTGGGAGGCAGAGGTTGCAGTGAGCAGAGATTGTGCCACCGCGCTCCAGTCTGAGCGACAGAGTGAGACTCTGTCTCAAAAAAAAAAGAAGAAGAAGGATGTGTCCAGCAGGCTGGGCACAGTGGCTCACGCCTATAATCCCAACACTTTGGGAGGCCGAGGCGGGGGGGATCACCTGAGGTCAGGAGTTCGAGGCCAGCCTGACCAACATGGAGAAACCCTGTCTCTACTAAAAACACGAAAATTAGCCAGGCGCGGTGGCACATGCCTGTAATCCCAGCTACTCGGGAGGCTGAGGCAGGAGAATCGCTTGAACCCGGGAGGCGGAGGTTGCGGTGAGCCGAGATCACGCCATTGCCCTGTAGCCTGGGTGACAAGAGCGAAACTCCGCCTCAAAAGAAAAAAAAAAAAGTGTGTCTAGTAAAGGGAGCTAGGGCATTATCACAACACCCAAGCATGGGACTCCACCCTTAACCAACATCAGGGTTTCCCTGGCTGCTAGTTTCCTGTGTGCTTGGGGCAGCTTATAGCCCAGGTTTATAGCCCAGCCTGCAGCCCCAAATTGCTCTGGTCTTCCCAGCACCCCAGTGAGCAGGAGAAAAACACAGAAACTAACATTTAGTGAGGACTGCCATGGGCCAGGCACCTTGCAATCTGCTCTACACGCACTGCCTCTTAATCCTCAAAAGGAACCACTGGGGTAGATGATATCAGCTATTTCCTCGTAAGCCACCTAAAGTTGGCTGGGTGAGGTGGCTTAAACCTGTAATCCCAGCACTTTGGGAGGCCAATGCAAGAGGATCACTTGAGGCCAGGAGCTCAAGACAAGCCTAGGCAACATAGCAAAATCCCGTCTCCACTAAAATTTAAAAAATTAGCCAGGCATAATGGCATATGCCTATAGTCCCAGCTATGCAGGAGGCTGAGACAGAAGTATTGCTTGAGCCTAGAAGGTCAAGGCTGCAGTGAGCCATGATGCCACCATCGCATTCCAGCCTGGGCAACAGAGCAAAACCCTGTCTCAAAAAAAAAAAAAAAATGCTTAGTACTATCAAGTCTCCACAGCTAGTATCAGAGTTCATATCTTACCTGTCTCTGCTCATGCCTCTAAACTGCATTCTTCCAGCCCTGCTGGAGAAAACCAGGCTGACACCAAAGTACAGACTTTCAAGGGCCCTGGCGAGGCTCCTTCACACCAAAGCAAATTTCCCACCTGCAGTTACACCAGAGTCTTTCCGTTCCTTTAGCTAAGACTTTGGTTCCTGCAAACTTGTAAATCCCCTGGGACAGGCAACACTTTAAATGCTCATCAAGCATTTGTGCTTTAGTGGGAGTGATTTTTGAATTTTTTTCTTACGAGTAGCTTTTGCTGGATCCTAAGGTAAGTAATGATAAAAATAGTGGGTTCCTGGATGGAGAAAGAGTCTGTTGAAAAGAGGAAGAAAGATTGTAGGATGGGAGGCGGGGGCACCAATGGTGGGTTTTACTTCACAGTTTTGTGGAAGGTTCTAGATGCTAGGATCATAAAGTAAGGAAAAGATCATTTTTTTCCTGCTTCTGGATTTTACAGTTGAAATGAGGAAGGTAAGCTATCTCCATGCAGTGAGTCTGTTGTCATGCCCAGAGAGCCAGAGCTAAGCAGACTCTGTGTTCAACTCTCTCTGGCCTCATTCCTGCTGTCCAAAAGGCCCATCATAGTCAGCAAGTAAATTTGTATCTGGCAGTTGTTTATCTCCACCACCAGGGCCCATGTCTGTTTGAATCACCAGGGTATCCCCAGAACCTGGCAGAATGCATCGCACTTAATAGGTGCTCATACATGTTCGTAGGAATGAATGTTGTTTAAATTTGAAACAAAAAGACCTGAACCAGGACTCTGGATTCTAGCCTTGCATTGCCACCAGAATGTCCTGCATCCTTAGGGAAGTCACTCCTGTCTCTGGGCTTCGGGCTCCTCATTTGTAGCATAAATGCTGTTTTGTCATTCCAGGGCTATGTTGAATTAATCTAAATCCAAACGTGGAGTGCTAAGGTTAAGGGGCTTAGAATTCTCTCATCAGGTCAGCGTTGCTGGAAGACAGTGGTAGGAATAGCGTGGCTTTGACAGTTTCTGCAGATGTGTACTCCCTGACCCTCAGAGCAGAAGTCAGGATCTAGGGCTCTTGGGGACAGGATTCCCAGGGAGCAGCCAGGAAGACTTCTTTCTTGGGTCAGCAAATGCCTTCCAGGAGAATGATGGTTACGAACACAGGCTGTGGAGCCAGGCTGCCTGGGTTCCATTCCCACTGTGCTCAACTCTACCCCTCACCAATGGGGTGACCTTGGCCAGGGTACGTAACCTGGTTCCCGGTGACCTGCCTTGGAGATGAGTGTAGAGAACTGCATTCTTGTAAAGCACACAGTGAGGGCTCTGTGAATGTGAGTTAGCGGTTTTGACTTCTCAGAGCACGAAGCCCGAAGCTGGCACCTGACGGCTGCAGCTCTGGCCAGGGAGGGCAGGCCTCTAGCTTAGTCTCCTTTGCCTCTCGATGTCATTTACTTCCCATTGCATGCCCATAAGAGACCAATCATGAGGCTCCGTTTTACAGATAGTGAAGTCAAGGCACCAGAAGAAAGTACTAGACTTCTTAACTTCATCTTCCGCAACAAGTGCAGCCCCGGGTTCAGGACTCACCCATTTGGTTTCAGTGTTGCTGGCTCTCAAGAGAGTTGATACCCGGTCGGGAATGGAGAGAGCCTGACCTGAGTCAGTAGTCACAGTGTCTGTGTTTGATGCATCCCAATCACAAAGCACAGGTGCACGATTGTTCCTGACCCACCCTGAGCCCAGCAGGGGCAGGTGGCCCTGAGTGGAGGGCCGCGTAGGAGGGGAGGTGCCCTGCATGGACCTGGAAACTAGGAAAAGGCAGAGACAGACCCCCAATTCCAGACCCGCCCTCTCCTCTGCACTCTGCTGCCTTCCTGGATGGGGTCCAGTCACGTTCTGAGCACCCTGACTGCCTCCAGCCTGGGGTGAGGAGGGCATGCAGCGAGTGCCTTGCTCCCAGCTGGGAAGAGCAGAGCCACAGTCCGCTGGCACCTGCCTGGCTGGACCCTCTGGGAGGGGAGCCTTCCTCCGTAATTCAAACACTTAATTAACTTGGGATCTCAGAAATACCGTGTCAGGAGCGATCTGTCGGTGCTTGTGTGAACTGGACCATGTTGTTTTCTGCGGACTGGGGCAGGGTGTGGAGAGAGTTTCAGGAGGCTGGGAGGTTTTTTCCACCGTGTTGTCATTTCTCCGATAATTGAGTTATCTCTCTCGTTTCAGGTGGAGAGAGACTTTGAAAGGGAGTATGGAAAACTTCAGCAGTGAGTGTCAACCCCAGAAAGATGAGGTGGGAGGCAGGGAGGGACAAGGGCCCCCTGCCAGGTCTCACCTGTCTGCCCCGTGCCCTGCCCCGTGAGCACCCTGGAAGCTGAGGGCAGCTCAGGTCACCAGGCTGCTGGAACTGTTCCCTGGCAATGGCCATGTGAGAGTCATTCACTCATAGCCTTTGGGTGTAGTGGCACTTCAGTCAGCGGGAAAAGTCCCCGTGGAGAAGATCCCTTTCTCCTCCTCCTTGGCAGGCCCTCCAGAGCACCTGGGCTTCGCTCAGGTAGGGGGAAGGAAGGGGACCCCAAGCAGCCCGTCCCCTGCCTTGCAGGCTGGAAGAGCAGACCCGGAGGCTGCAGAAAGACATGAAGAAGAGCACCGACGCAGACCTGGGTAGGTGACTTTCCACCCGCACCACTCGCTTGAGCAGGTGGGGCAGAGGTGGGCACCCTCCTCTCTCAGCCCCCCAAGGGCTCTGAAGTTGCTGCGCTCAGAGGACGTGTACCCAGTGTCCTGAGAAGCAGCCTCAGGGCAGTCACTCCTCACCAGTCACATCCCACTTTGCACAGAGCTCGCACTGCCCCACTCTGGATGTGGGTGCTGGGGCAAGGCTCTCCTGGGACTCCAGTCAGGACAGTACAGCAGCTGGTGGAAGCTTCTGGTAGCAGATGCCTCCATTGCCTCAGAATCCTGGCCACCGGCTCAGGCTGTCCAGAGGGAAAGGGAAGCACATTCCTTCCCGCAGAAACGAGACTCCGTGGCCTGCTGGGACAGGCGCTCCAGTGGCAACAAGAATGGAAGCTGTCATGTGTTTAAACAGGAGGTTGGGTTAAAGTGTAAGGCCAGAAATACCCCAGATAATTCTATGATGACAAAGGGCACCGGGAGGTCCTTGGGAAGTGGGGGCCAGCAGGTGCTGGGAAACAGCCAGGGCCCTTGGGGAGGTTTCTTGGCTGGAGAGCTCTTGTTTGAAACAAGGAGGAACCAGGCCTGGGAGCCTAGAGACACAAGCAGGTCGGGAATAAGGGAGCATCCAGAGCCCTTGCTGCAGGCCATGTCCCAGGAAGGAGGCGACGAGCAGCCGGGAGAGATGGAGACCATTCCTTGAGGTTCTTTCTCCAAGGCCTTGACTTTCCCACCCCGGAGCAGCAAGCACTTGACCAAAGGTTGATCAATAGCTTCAGCACTCCCTGCGCAGCTCTGGACAGCTGACTTAGCTCTACCTCAGTTCCGTCACCCGAGAAGCACAGGTAACGCCAATCCGAGTGGCACAGGCTGTTGCTGAAGATGAAGTTGGATGAGCAACGTAAAGCACTGAGAACAGGGCCTGGCACGGGTCAGCTCTCGGGGTGTCCGCTCCTGTCATCACCGTCGTCATGGTCGGCAGCAAGCCTCCCTGACTGGGTGGACTCCTGCAGCTCCTTCCCTGGGTCCAGTGGGGAAGCCGTGTCTATATACCACACTGGGACGAGGACCTGAAAGAGACTTGGGTATGGCCAGGACTGCCCACTTCCTCTCACTCAGCAGATGCTGACCGAGAACCCACGTGCACCAGGCACTCTCAGCACTAGAGACTCAACAGCAAGACAAGATGGGAGCTTACGTTCTAGGAGGAAGACCTGCAAGAGGTCCACAAGCGGATCGGTATATAATGACACGTCGTGGCGTGCAAGGTCAATAAAAATAAGGAGGTGGAGAGTGACAGGGTCAAGGGAGGCCTTCGTGGGGACGTGATCCCTGGGCAGAGTCCTGAAGGAATGAATAACCCACACAGGTAGAGCCAAGGGAAGAGGGCCTGAAACACAGTGGACAGCAAGCGCGGAGGCCCTAAGGTGGTGCACGCTGACCAGAGATGCAGGAGAGGCAGCAGGAGGGTGGAGAAGCCATCTTCAGTCCCCTCGGCCACTCCAGCTGCTGAATAATGCCATGTTATGGCTGTGAAGAAATTTCACCTCCCTGAGCTTTTCTGACCTTGAGATTGGCAGGGCACATGACACACCCATTTTATAAATGGGCATGTCCATTTGATAAAGGAGGAAGAGTTCAGCTCCTCTTCTCCAAGTCCAGGGCCTTGTCTCCACAGCGAAGCCTCCCCATGCCCCACTCATTCCTTTGCCCACCCCCGTGCCCGCCACCAAACTAGAAGGTGACCGAAACAGCCCCCACTCCGGAACCGTTGCCCATCCACTCTTTGCTTGGCTGTCTGTGAGCCTAGTGCAAATGGGGCGGCCTCACTGTCTCCTGACACCATTCAAAGGGCCACAGGGCAGTGGGCACCTACGGGTGGGACTTGAGGACCAGTGTGCTCCTACTTGGTACTGCAGTTACGAGGAAAACCCTTGAAATGTCCCAATAGAGGCAGTGATTTGAATTTGTTCCCATTTTATGCCAGCTCCTAAGCCTCAGCCAGTTACTGATGTGTAAACACACCTTTCCTACAAAGCACTGATCACAAAAGGAAAGCGTTCCTTCCCTGGGAGCCGCCGTCACCACCACCATGCCCGGGTGAGCGCTGACTGCCTGTGCAGGGACTGTGGCCGTCTTGGTCTGTGCCATGAATTTTCATGCCAGTGCTAATTCCTGGGCCGTGGGCTGGTCTGAACATGCACCTTGCTCCTGGCCTCTAGCGTTGCCAAACTATGTGTGTCACAAGCCAAGGACTGGATTTGGGAGTTTGTCTGCAGTTGTTTGTTTTGTAGTTATTTCAGGTCTGAGTTACTTGGGTCGCATTTTTCTTGATCGGTCCCCACTGCCTTTCCAGTTCGGGAGCTGCTGTGAGCCATTGCTTCCTTTCCTTCCTGCTTCTGCAGACAGCTGCATTGTCAGAGCATAAACGAAGCCAGGGTGTGCTGTGTTCACAGTGGCTTGCTACGGAACCAAGGAGGGCATCAGGGGTCCGTGACGCACCGTCCATGGCTGTGGAAAGCTTAGTTTCCCAGCAGAGAAACCAGAGTTGAATGGGTAACTGCAGAAGCCTAACACTACTGTCCTCAGTCAGGAATGGATGTGGGCAGAGACAGTGCCTCTGAAGAGCGGTGGTGGTGGTCATGGGGCCAAGGCGAGCCTGACAGCCACATCAGTCTCATGTACGGGGCATCAGTGTTGTAGGCGGGCTTGCTGTGCCGTGGGCCGCTGGGCCCCACCTCCAGCCTCCAACTAACTCATGAGCTGGGCGAGACCTGAAAATGTGTGTCCCTGGAGTTCCCAGGTGATGCTGAGGCCCACACTGTGAGCTCCACTGATCTGGACAGTTGAGGGGAATGGAGGGATGCTTTTCCTGAGCGTGGAATCTCCTGCGCTCCCCCAGCAAGGTGGAAAATCCCCAGTTATTCTAAAAAAGATGACCTTTCTTTCAGAAACTCATACTACTTTCAGAGTGCTCTGGTGAATCTTTGAATCTTACATTCCAGAGGCCGCATCAGGACTCCAGAGACCCGGGTGGGGTCCAAGACCCTCACTTTCTCTAAGGTTCAAAGATCACCAGCCTCCTGGTGTGGGCCAGGCTGACTGTGCCCCTCTCCCAGTCCCTGCAGGGAACAATGAGGGGTATGGGCTGGGGCAGGGACCACAGGTCCAGAGGGGCATGGAGACCTGCTGTTTATTTTTGTTGAGGGGGAACAGAGTCACACTGTGTCATCCAGGCTGGTCTCGAACTCCTGGGCTCAAGGGATCCTCCTGCTTCAGCTTCCCAAAGCACAGGGATTACAGGCATGAGCCACTACGCCCAGCCAAGACCATGGTGTTCTTGGTGTCATCTACCCCAGCTCTGCTCTGCTCACATGAAGCGGGGGCATCACTGGGCGGGGATTCCAGACCCAGTTCTGCCCAGGGCCGGCCACTGAGCCCACTCAGTTCCTTGACTTCCTGACAATGCAAGAGCTTTAGGAAAGAAAGGGGAAAATGCAGCTGGGCTGGGCGCAGTGGCTCACACCTGTAATCCCAGCACTTTGGCAGGCAAAGGCAGGTAGATCACCTGAGGTCAGGAGTTCGAGACCAGCCTGGCCAACATGGTGAAACCCCGTCTCTACTAAAAATACAAAAATTAGGTGGGTGTGATGGCAGGCACCTGTAATCCCAGCTACTTGAGAGGCTGAGGCAGGAGAATCACTTGAAGCCAGGAGGCGGAGGATGCAGTGAGCCGAGATGATGCCATTGCACTCCATCCAGCCTGGGTGACAAGAGCGAAACTCCGTCTGAAAAAAAAAAAAAAAAGGAAAGTGGAAAGACCGTGTCCTCGCTCCTCTGGCTTTTTGGGTTGTTTTCCTCAGATATTTTTTTAAGAAATAGCAGAAGATGTTTTTCAGAAACATTTCCAGCTTTATCCAGAATTTTATTATCTTTTTATTATGCTGTATGTGATCATTTCATAATCAAATCAAGTTATACGTAACGTTTGTTCCTAAATCTACAGAGTCACTCCACAGAATTTAAGAGGTGT
Source organism: Homo sapiens (assembly GCF_000001405.40). Taxonomy (NCBI): domain Eukaryota; kingdom Metazoa; phylum Chordata; class Mammalia; order Primates; family Hominidae; genus Homo; species Homo sapiens. Next base: position 22,632,479 of record NC_000008.11, on the reverse strand, counting down.
TTTTCCCTCCGTTGCTTCAACATTTCTGGAAAGTTTACATTTCCAGCCTTCTCCCACAGTTTGCCCTTTTGCTGGTTGACTGTAGCACTCTCCCAGATTCCAGAAAAACCCCAGGAGGGTGCTCCGGGCTGGCTAGTCCGCTCAGCGCTGCTTTGCTGACTGGTGAAGGGGCCTGGCGGAGGCAGACCCTTCCCCGGGGAGCGCAGGGTCAGGGTTCAGGTTCATGCCATGGAGTGCTAGGCAAGGCCACATCTGTGATTAACTGGGAGGCAGACCTTATGTCATGGGTCCTAAGACACTTTTTCCACAGTTAATGTCTCTGAAATCAAAGTACTGAAAGTGTAGCCTGGTTTGATTGACAACAATTTTTTCTCCCTTAGTAGTTCATACAATAAGTGACTTATAATGAAGAGCATCTTAAATTCAGTAACATGCATATGGTAAGAAATGCATTCACAATGTGTCTTCTCTCCTGAGACCTGCCCCAGATGCACTCTGACACTGGTACAGACGGCATCAGGCCAGCATGACCCTTCTCCAGGGCCGCTTCCTGCCCCTCCAGAATTTTGTTTCTAGAATCTAGAAATAATGGAGGCCTGAAAACATGTTCAGGACCAAGAGCTCCAAAGCTGCCAGCAGGTCTCCAGCCCGCCTCTGAGCCGCCTGTGACTCCCAGGCTTCCCATCTGCCCAGCAGGGAATGTCAACACAGGAGGGAGGAGCACAGAGGGGTGGGCGGCACATTCATGGGGATCCGGTACCAGGGTGCCTTGAAAAACGTCAGTGGATGCCTGATGGACAGAGCCTGATGGACCTGTCCACTGGCTTCCTCTAGGCCAGATCAGAAGGAGAGCAGTGAACAGGGAAGCAGCTGCCCAGGGTCAAGGGTCAGGGCCCGGCTGGCGCACTCAGCCGTTTGACCTTGGAGGCATTACAAACCCTTTTGCGCCTAATCTGCCTCCTCGCTAAAATGGAACCAAACTACATTTCCGCTAGACATCCCCTGGGTTGTTTGAGCCCTAAATGAGAGTGCATGGGAACCTTGGCAGAACCCTAAGATGGGGACCTGCTGGCAGCTTTGGAGCTCTTTGTCCCGTACAAGTCCCCAGGTTTCCATTATTTACAAACAAAATTCTGGGGGAGCAGGAACAGACCCGGGAGGAGGGCCCTGCTGTCCCAGTCCCGCCTGTACCAGCTGCAGTGTGTGTCTGGGCGAGTCTTGGGGGAAAACACATTTTCCAGCGTATCTCTTCCTACTGGATATTGAGGAAACCAGGGGTTGGCAGGGTGCAGCTGCTGGCCTAATCTGACCTAGTTTTGTCAATAAAGTTTTATTGAAACAGCCACATCCCTTTTTTTATGTGTTGTCGCTGGCAGTTTTCACAGCACAAGGCAGAGTTGAGAAGTTGCAACAGAAATTGTATGGCCCACGAAGCCTGAAATATTTACTGTTGGGCCTTTTGTAGTAAAAGCATGTGTAAACTGGAGTACTGTTATTCTTGTCCATCCAGGAGTCCCAAACCAAGCATCACGTCCAAACCACTTGGAGAGCGGTTTTAAATGCATATTCTTGGGTACCGGGTTTACTGAATTAGAATCTTTGGAGCCAGAAACATATTTTATAGCCTCCCACCCAGATGGTCCTTTTCTAACCCAGGGTTTGGAGAACAGGTAAAGCGGCTCAAAAGAATTGTCTGGAGCAGTGTTAGGGTCAGGAATGAACATTAAACCATGGGGATCAGCAGCTTGTGGTTGTGTGGTACTTCGCCGTTCTTGACGGCCGTGGCTGTGGGAAGAGGTCTTCAGGGTGCAGGCCCCTGGCATAGGAGGACGGGGTCCTGGAGAGAAGGCCGTGAAACCTGCCCCTTCATAGAAGGTTCACCGAGCTTTGGCTTCCCACAGCCATGTCAAAATCTGCCGTGAAGATATCCTTGGACTTACTCTCCAATCCCCTCTGTGAGCAAGACCAGGACCTTCTGAACATGGTGACGGCCCTGGACACGGCCATGAAGCGGATGGATGCCTTCAATCAGGAAAAGGTGACTAGGTCTTGGTGTGGGGTGGGCAAGCATGACTTCTGCCCGGTCTGGGCCTCTGGGTGGACTGTGCGGGGAGGCCCGAGTGGGCTCCCTCTGCTCTCAGGGCTCTAAGCCCTCTGGCCTCGTGTGCTGCAAGGTGCTGCAAGCCCACAGGGCTCTTTCCAGACTGTTCTGCCTTGGCTCTACCTGCCTCCTGAGGCTCCACGAGCTCATGTTACTTACTGTGAGGGTTGCCGGCGGCAGTCCTGTTCACCCCAGCCCCTGAGGCTTCTGTGGCCAGCCACCCGGCCTCCACCCTGAGCAAAGCCAGGCCCAGGACAAGGACAGCACCCTGTGGCCCTTTAGACTTCCTAGCCCTTTGGTAGTTAGGGGCCCTGCCTTGCGTGTCGCCCTCCCCTCCCCACCAGTTTTAATGTCTTTGGGTTTTTCTTTGACAGGTGAACCAGATCCAGAAGACTGTGATCGAGCCCTTAAAAAAGTGAGTAAATGTCACCTGGGGGCCTCGGGGCACTTATGGGAGAGGCAGGTCAGCAGCCACTTGGGGACTGAAGAGGATTTCTAGCTGCGTGTCCCCAGATTCCCATGGGGCCTGACGGGAAACTCAGTGGGGACGTCAGCTCTGTGACCTGTGGCCTAAGCGTCCATGCTCCTGGGGGCTCCAGAGTACCCACATGGCCCAGGCGAGCTCAGGGTACCCCTGCCACCACCCCCTTCCCACCCCACCCAGCAACCGCCGCTGTTCTGGTGGTCATTTGACCGCTTCCTCCTGATTGAGAGCCACTGGGGCCAGGGCTTGCTGAATGGAGCTAGCAGAGATCTTGGCCAGCCCTCAGCGGACATGAGCAAGGCCTTTCATCTTGCCCCGCCAGCTTGGGAGAGCAGCTGCCTGCAGCACTCGGCTCTGGAAACGTGGGGGTGGCCGCACACAGGGAGGGGCGTGGCAGCGGGGTCTGGCCCGGGAAGGTCCTCTAGCTTGTGACCTGTTGGGGTCAGGAATGCTTCTATGAGGCTCATCTTCTGTTGGGCAGGCCCTGGTCAGTGATCAGACAGGCCTATTCCCTCGGTCCCCAGGGCGGGGAACAGGCAGAGCCGTGCCTTAAAGCCCCGAATCACTTCATCTTCCCTGGCCTCTCTCGAGCAGGCTGTGACCTAGAAAGCTCCTGTTCGCCCAGCTGCACTTCCTTGCCTCTTCTGCGGTGGTCCCAGGCAGTGCCTTGCCAGGGCCGGGTAATGAGGCTCTGCCTAATTATCACTGGCCTGGCCCAGGGCCCACACGGCAATGAGAGGAGCAGTTTTTGATCCTGCAGCCCCTGGTGTTTCGGATTGCTGAGCTGTTCGTTGATTGTGCAGGCCTGAAGTATGGGATTAGGAAAAGGCCCGCCTGACCCTAGCAAGCTCTTGTTTCTAAGCCAGGACCGTGGAGGCTCAGCGAAGGCAGGGAGGGAAGGGACTGTGCCTCCGGCTCCGGCCCTGGCCCCCCAGCCTCCCCAGAGTGGGCATCCACCACCCCCTGCCTGCTGGGGACAGCGCAGCCCCATGCCACAGGGTTGCGTAGGGAGCTGGGGTGCAGAAAGAGCTCCGTGGCTGTGGGTTTTGGTCCTGGGCTTCGGGACAGACTGTTCAGGGCTGGTTGGGAAGGACATAGACTGAGCAGACCCTGCCCACAGAGGGCTTTTCTGTGCCAGGGCCACAGGGGTCCCAGAGACGGACACAGAGGCTGCCACAGGCACCCATGGCTGGTAGAATGAGGCAGGGACTCAGAGAACTGGGGAACTGACTCCCACCTCAGTTTCAGTATCAGCAAGGCGCCCTTGAAATCTGATCCCTGGCTTCTGAAGCCCAAATGGAGAGAAACCCCGGCCACTTCCCACCACCCTGGTGGCCCACCACCTGCCAGGAAGGTGGGGGCGTGGCAGAGGGGGCGCACATCTCCGCAGCGGATCCGCTGACCTCTGCATGAGCCCTCAGGCCTGCCTGGCTGGCTTCTCCCTGCATCCCCACAGCTGACATACGATCTCCCCCAACCACATAAAACCGCGCAGCCTACAGCCTCTTCCCATTGGCTTCCTCTTGCCAGAAGAGAAGCTCCCAGGGACCCCAGCACCGGAAACAGGAAACTCCAGCTTTCCTGTCCTCTGATGAAGATCACGGCCACATGGCCACCCCACCGCCCCCAGCCTCCCTGCAGGGGCTCGGCCTCTAATCCCCAGTCTCTGGGCCGTATTCACATGTCGGATGGGGATGCTTTCAATTTCCCTTTCCTGGTGGGTGGAAGCTCCCGGCTGCGTGGGCACAGACCAAGGCATGGCAGGCATTCCCCACCAGTGCTGGCTGCGCCCAGCCCACCTCCCAGCCGGCCTCGCTCACCTTCCCTCTCCTTCTCCTCTTCGCCCCTCCCATCCCCAGGGGAGTGAGTTTGATATTGAGCCTTAGGACAGACAAGAATTGGGCAGTGATCATGGGTAATGCTTTGATCACTGGCCTGGGCCCAGCCCGGCCCCCTTCTTTGAGGATAAATGTAAAACAGACTTCAGGAGCTTACAGTCTAGTGGAAAGCCACAGCGTGTTCTCAGGTCAGCGGCCAGGTGTGGCAGCTGCCAGCGTGGTGCAGGACCATGGAGCGGGGCATGCTCGGTGGGCTGTCTGACCTGCCCCCACCTGGCCTCGGAGGCTGTTTCCTCACATGTGGAAAGAGAAAGCCAAACTGACTTCTCATAATGGGACAGTCAGCACCTAGGAGTGGGAGAGGAGGTTTTGGTGGGCTGAGGTGGGCAGGGAGAGAGGAGGGGTGAAGTGCGCTGGAACAGCAGAGTGGAGCCTGGGTCCTGGCTTCACGCCTGGGGACAGGCTCCCCCAGTGTGGTTGGGTAGAGTCAGCAGGGCCTCTGTGGGGTCCCAGGGACATATCTGGGAGGGGCTGGCACAGGCGCCCAGCCTGTGCACGTCTCCACCTCCCCTGCCAGCAGCCTGAGCCCTGACCTGAGATCCCACACAGCACCGTGGCACATCCACTGTCCACCCCGGGGCTTTGGCAAAGTCTGTTCTGTTGCTAAGAAGTAGAAAACGGGGAGATGGGGCCTCAAAGGGTCAGTGAGTGACCAGGGCAGATGTGACAGAGTCCTGGTCCACTACTCTTCAGCCACCTTGGCACAAGCTGCGCCCTGCCCTGACTGATGTGAGTTCCCACTGAATGTAGAAAGGTGTGACACTTGTCCCTACCCCTAGGGAATCCCAATCCCAGGACCCAACCTCCCCCCACCGTGGTTGTAATTTATCAGCAATCACCTCCAGTGGCCTGAGCAGGCAGAGCCTCTTGGTGGCTAAGGGGTGCTGTCATGGGAAACGGAGGTTTTCATGGTGAAGACATGCTCTTCCCACTGGGGCAGGCGGCCTGCAGAGGCAGGTGGTCTTGGTTCCAGGGGGCTGGCAGGAGCCCATGCAGCCAGGTGGCCACCTGGAGACACCACCACGCCATCCCCCGAGGAGCTCTGTAACCCGGCCTCCCTCACCCCCGCTCGGCACTCCGCTGTAGTCAGCGCTCCTGGTGGCTCTGACTCTGGCACAGGAAATAATAAGCCCCAGCCGACAGCTGTGGGAAGGGGGCTATGAGAGTGCCTCAGGGGATGTTGGGGGGTCAGGCTGCTGGAGCAACGAGCATAGGGCTCCTCCCATCCTGCACCGTGGAAGCCACCTTGCGCACACACGGCTTCACGCTGTGATGCCCTCCTTCCTGAGGATGTGAGCTCAGGGTGGTGGGATTGGGGCCAGGGCCAGAGAGCTCTCCACCTGCTGCCTCCTGCCTGCCTCATCCTTGCCCTGTCCCAGCGCCTGCACCTACCCGGCAGCTCCCAGGCACCCACAAGGCCCAGGCACTGGGACCATCCAAGCAGCAGGTGGCTTCTAACACAAGGATCAGGGCGAGGACCAGGGTAGCTGCCGGTGGTCCCTTGGCCATTTGGGGCTGAGGGAGAGGTGGCCTGGTAGCCTCTCAGGCCCAGCTGCACCTGCTGCCTGAACACGTGCCTCTCAGCTGCCCAGGAAGGGGGCAGGGCTCCCCAGCAGCTGCAGCTCCACCACGCAGCCGCCCTGGGCAAAGCATCAAGTCTAGCTCCTCCCAGCAGTCTCACCCCAGCCCACGCCATGGGCGACTATGCATCCTGGTGGTGTCTGCTTCCCACCCTCAGTTCCGTAGTGCTGAGGGGCCCGCGTTCTCTGTGCACAGTCCTGGGAGGCCCATGGCTTCTGCCCGGCAAGTCGGTCAGATGCTGGTTTGATTACTATGTCTAAGGGCACGGGTGAGCATTCAGGGTGCTTTGGTGGCTTCACCCACTTAGCACCTTGTTAAGACAGGGAGCCCCTTATGGACACTGTTGAGGTAGAGGATTCCTGTCTTGGGGATAAGCCCTTTGTTTCATCAAAATCTACTCCCTGGGTCTGACTTAGTTTGGGGGCATTTAATGCTTTGGTAAAGTTAATATCCTCTTACTCCCTGGCAAAACTGTTCATTACTCTTACCTCAAATGTACACTTGATTTGCTGAGGCTTTTTAAAAACAGGCCGGCCACGGTGGCTTACGCCTGTAATCCCAGCACTTTGGGAGGCTGAGGCGGGTGGATTACTCAAGGTCAGGAGTTCAAGACCAGCCTGGCCAACATGGTGAAACCCCGTCTCCACTAAAAATACGAAAATTAGCTGGGCGTAGTGGCACACGTCTGTAATCCTAGCTCTTCGGGAGGCTGAGGCATGAGAATTGCTGGAACCCAGGAGGTGGAGGCTGCAGTGAGCAGAGATCATACCACTGTACTCCAGCCTGGGTGAGAGAGCAAGACTCTGTCTCAAAACCAAATTCCTGGTCATGTCCTTTGAGAGGCACATCTGGGAGTCCTGCTCTGTGTGGTAGCTGAGCTCCTGGAACCTGACAGTGAGTCTGCCAGCATCCTCTCAACTCTGAGTGCCTATGATCCCAGTCTCAGTAACTGCTTCCTGCCCTCGTCTTTCCTCCTCTCTGGGTTCCTCATAAAAATGTCCAGGAGGAACCAACTCTTCTGGTCCTGGGTCACCTCCGAATGGCCACAGAGTCATGAGCTCCCTGGGCTGCGCAGCCTGATCCTGGACACTGCAGGGCTCTGGCTTGCCTGGTAGACGCCCCCTGCCATTGCACCGAGGGCCAGCCCTCCAGCAGCAGCAGCGAGAGCCTCAGGAGAGCACTGCTCCTGGTCACTAGAGGACACATGATCCACAAAGACGAGGCCGGTGTGGACCTGCAGCGTTGCATCGTCCACTGCTGCTCTCTCTGAGGGCCACTCCTCTGAGTCTCCCACGCGGTCCCTTCTAGTCACAGTGGAGGTCCTCAGGGCATTTTCCTGAAGCAGCTGGTTGGAACTTTGGCGGTTCCAATGGCAGAGCCAGAGGATTTCTGCTGCTTTCATGTTGCCAAGGAGCCCTTGAAGGAGAAGGTGCCCTGGGGCAGGGGTGAGTTTAGATTTCAGTTCTGCCACCTGCCAGTGGCACTGTGAGGGCTGGAAAGGGTGCCAGACAGAGAATGTGGACACCTGTGTTCTCTTCTAGACCTTCTCTGCCTCATCGTGACTTTGGATGAGTCATAGGTCATCTCTCTCTGTCCTCAGTTTCCCTCCTTTTTAAAAGTGAGGTGTTGGCCAGATGACTTCAAGGCACCTTCCCCACCATCCCCTAGTCCGTTGTGTGATAAAGCTCACAGGAGGTGGGGGTCAGGGCACCCTTCATTCCTGGGCCACCCTGTGCCACCCAGCTCCCTGGACCTGGCCCACAACCCCACCTCCTCTCATCTGCCCTCACCCCATGACATTGTCCACGTTCGCACAAGCTCCAGGGGACAGGGCCTCATCTGTCTTGTTCACAGTGAACTCCCCAAGACCTAGAGCAGGGTCTGGCGCTTGGTAGGTGCTCAGGGCACATTTTTGGACAAGTGAGTGCTGGCCAGGACGCCCCTCCAAGAGCGGACCCATCTCCAGCCAGGCCACCCCTCCAAGAGCAGACCCATCTCCAGCCAGGCCACCCCTTCAAGAACGGGCCCATCTCCAGCCAGCTTGTCCCACAGGTTCGGCAGTGTCTTCCCGAGCCTCAACATGGCTGTGAAGAGGCGGGAACAGGCCTTGCAGGACTACAGGAGGCTGCAGGCCAAGGTGGAGAAGTATGAGGAAAAGGAGAAGACGGGGCCAGTGCTGGCCAAGCTCCACCAGGTACCAGGGGAGACAGGTGGGCAGGGGCTAGACAGGTGGGCCATCGTGGTCACCTGTGGTAAGTCCCTCCCCTCACCTGGGGGCACCAAGACACCAGACGTCCCCACCCCACCCATCCCGTATCCGGCACCCAGCAGTGAGAGAGTTTTGACACCCAGGTCTTGTTCCCTAGGCACGAGAGGAGCTGCGGCCTGTGCGGGAGGACTTTGAAGCCAAGAACAGGCAGCTGCTGGAGGAGATGCCGCGCTTCTACGGCAGCCGCCTCGACTACTTCCAGCCCAGCTTTGAGTCCCTCATCCGAGCTCAGGTGAGGCCGCCAGGTGCTCTTCCCCTGGGCTTGGTATACACAGCTCATGCCACTCCCTGTCACCCACACTGGAAGGGTGGCTTAGCCATTCTCCGTAAAGACAGGGCACCCACCCCAGGCAAAGCCCTGAAGGAATTCATTCCATTACCAGAGTCCCAGGCTCAGCGACTTGGGGGACCTGTCTGCTGTTAGACTCCTCACATTGCTCTCTGGTAAATCCCATACCAGGAATGGCCGAGGTTCCCTTTTGGTCCAGCAGTTCCGCCATGGATCTCTCTACATTTCACTATAAGTAGCTCCTCTGCCCCGCACCCTCAAGTGGGCGGTTTCTTGGCCCAGGGTGGTGCCGAGAAGAAAGGGATCTGGAGAATGGAGGCCTTTTCTGAGGACTCAGCTCCCCTCCCCTGCCTACCGTGAGCCAGTCTTTTTAGCAGGAAACGGCGGGAGTCCTGCCTTGGAACCACTAAGGAAGGGGGCTCCAGAGCCCTGGGGAGAGCCACAATCAGGGCTGCTCCTAGGGCCCTGGGGTGGAAAGGCAGGCCTGGAGGCATGGGGGCGCCACTGGGGGTCAGACACGGGCCAGGCCCCAGCGTCTCCTTCCACTCGGGGACGGGAGGACACGGAGTGGCATGCTCCTCACCCTCCTCCATCTTCAAGCCTTTAGGAAGGATTGTTCCCCCAACTGGCAAAATAGAAAAGGGTGGGCACCCATGCCAGAAGCGGGTCCCTTCCACACAGGACCCTGCTGATGGCTTGCGCTCAGCAACAGCCTTAGTACCCCAACACCCGTGGCACCCTGCCAGGTCCCTGTGGCTCTGCCCCTCCTGGCCCGGGTGGTCTGAGCGTGGCTGGGCGTCTGGCGCCCTCCAGTGGCCATTTCCTGCAGGCCCGTAGTCGCAGCCGTGAAGCCTGGCCAGTGCACACCCACCCTGCCGGGCCAAAGTCAGGGTGGCCACCTGCCCCAGTCAGGACACCTGAGCAGGGTTCATGCCGGGGCGGGACCTTGTCAGTGACCCACGTACTTGGTCCTGTGCCATCTTTAGGGGGCAGTGAGACCTAGAGCCTTCTGCAGGAGGAGGTAGGGACTTCTCCTGACACTTGCTCCTGCAGCGAGGGCTCCCTCCAGCCGCCCCATTGGGTTCACGGGAGACCTGGGCCTGCCTCTTCCTCACTGTCACCTGGGTGCTGCCCTGCACCCTCCCTCCTGTTGCTCACAGGAGGAAGCCACAGGGTGCCAGGCTCCCGCGTGTCCAGGTTGGAGCAGATGGGAGGCCAGGGATGCCCTTTAACCAGGCAGCATTGCTGGGGGCTGTTGACTGCCTCTTGGGCCCCAGCCTCCCCCTCGCCCGCCCGGCTGCCATTAGTCATGGAGAAGTGAGTATTCCCAGTGACTCAGCGCACAGTGGCTTGGGCAGGGAGTGGGGGCAGGGTGGGCCGCCGCCAGCCCAGAGGTGACAGCAGTGTGTTGAGACCAGCTCACTTTAGCACCCCCTCGGCCGGCGGAAATCTCGCCTCAGGAGTATCAGCCGTGGGTCCCCGCCCCACCTGGCATTTCCCACAAGGTCCCCTTAGTGTCTAGAGCTCCTCCTCATGTCTAGAGTGAAACGTGGAAGCTTTCAGGAAACTGCATGCTTTCATTGGGTCATGAGGTAGAAACTGAGGCAGAAGTGGCCCCTATTGTCTGTGGAAAAGCCCCTGGTCCTCAGCCATCTGGGAGAATTGACGGGCTTCCCCATTCCTCCACCTGCCCCACCCTCAACCCTGTGTCCCCTCCCACACCATTTCTGGTGCCTCCCTAGAGGGACCCTGGCAGTGAACCTGGCCTCTGAGCTGTCCCCCTGGCCACGCAGCTTGGGCCATGAGCAAGGGTGGGATGCAAGTTGGGAGGGAACAGAAGGCTAGACGGGCATCCCCTTTCTTGCCTGTGCCTCTAAAGCTGGCTTAGGGCTTTGGGAGCCATCAGCCTACCATGCTGTCTTTCTGCCATGGACAAAAGCCTTGGGTTCTCCCCTAGCTTACAAAAAGCAGTAAAACTCCAGTCATGGTGCCCATCATTCCACAGTCGCCCTAGGAGGCCCATGCCTTCCTGCACCTGCTGCTGGGGGAACCAGGAGCCCGAAGCAGGGGCGCCTCCACCTCCAGCCACTGAGGCCCTGTTGCTCCCCGGCTCCTTTTGGTTCAGTCTCAGCTAGAGCCCTTCCGTGCCCTGCATATCCCCAAAGGCACGCTGCTGCACAGCTCCAGATGGGTAAGGGCAGGGGGTAGCAGAGAAGTGTGAGCCTCTGGCCCCCTGAAGCACACGGTTCCCTGGAGCCAGCACGTGCCAACCCCTGTCGCCTCCCCCAGGTTGTGTACTACTCGGAAATGCACAAGATCTTTGGAGACCTGTCCCATCAGCTTGACCAGCCAGGCCACTCCGATGAGCAGCGGGAGCGGGAGAACGAGGCCAAACTCAGTGAGCTCCGGGCCCTCTCCATTGTGGCCGATGACTGAATCCCCGTCACTCTTGGAGGACTCCTGTGACGTGGTCAGCCTCATTCATCCTTGCCCTTCTCAGGGCTAGCTGCTCCTCTCACAGGCTGGGGACAGAGGTGGCCCTGGTTCACTTGCCGGCCCTTTGCAATGAATGACTCTTCCTGAGCCTGGCACCAGGAGCCCTAGGCAGGCCGCCGTCTCCCCACTCACAGCCCCAGCAGGTAAGCAGTGTAGACAAACCCTTGGGGCTTTTTTATTTGGAGAACCGTCCAGCATGCATCCTGGCCCACGGCCTGAGCAAGCTGCAGCCCTTCTGAGGCCATGGGCTTCGTTGGCTAAGTTGGGGGTCTTAGCCTTGCATGCGTTGTGGGCATCAAATCTACCTCCAAAAGACCCATCCTGGGGAGCCCTCTGGCCCCTCGTTGCCTTTTCACTTCAAAACCTCTTTTTTCTGGGAGAGGCCCTGAACCCTGTGCGGGAGAGCTGGTCCTCCAGCCCTGGCAGGCCCTCAGCCAGCTTCCCAGCAAGACAAAGGGCACCCTTGTGGCTTTGGGACCTAAGTGGTTGGGGTTCCCGAGGTCACTGAGGACTGGTACCTCGGGAACGCAAGCTGTCAGTGGAACTGTCCCACAAGAATTCACAGGTCTCAAAGCAGGAACAGTGGGTTTGTGTCTCACCTGAGTATCTGGAATTTTATTTTTTCAAGTAAAATTTTCAATGAAACGTCCACATAGTATTGTGCTGTAACTTAGGCGAGCAGAGGAAACCCCTTCCTGGGCCTGCTGCCCTCCACGGAGCAGCAGCACCCTCCAGCAGGCAGCCCAGCATGCCAGGGGTGTGTGCGCACCTCCCCGGCCCTGGCCCACCTTCTGGAGCGAACTGCACCGTGGTCCAGCAGAGGCGCTGGGTGGGAGGGCACGCGGGCAAGCCTAGGAGAGTAGGAAGAGCTGTGGAGGACACACTCTCAGTTTGTTTTTGACTTTGGTTTATTTAAAAAACAAGCCAAAAAAAAAAAAAAAAAACCCCAACTTTATATACAAAGTCAAACTGAAACCACGGATTATGGAAAGAGGCAAGAATTATGGGTAACAGGGGAGAAGGCTGGGCCAGAGCCAATACCACATTCTGAACACAGGAGCCACGGGAAAGAGGTGCTGGTTTCTTCTGGCAAGACCGGGGTGACTGGAACGCAGTGTTCTACTGGCAAACCCAGCCCAACACTGAGCTCTTTCTAGCATGGACTCCATTCCCGTGATGGCCAAGGGAGACCCTTCCCCCAGAAGCCTGTGTCCGGAACCTAGCAGAGCCTGTGCCATCCGGAGGAGGGGGCTGCTTAGCCCCAGCCAGGCTCCATGTCTTGCTCTTCAGTTCCGTTCACTGACATCAGACCTTGTCCCACACTCGAAAAGCCTTTTTCTCCCCTGTCTTATTCTAAACTGGAAGAGGACAGGAGAAAGTCAGCACAAGACTAAAAGGGCCCCAGGAGAAATACCAAGGTTGAGGGCAAAATGACATTCTAGGGGTGCAAAAGATGTTGTATTTAGTTGTTAAGTGGAACCGGGGTTCCTCACACATCCATCCCACATAGCACAGCCCCCAGCCTGATGGCCTGCCGTCCCCTAGAGGCTGAGCATGGGGTCAGCCACCCCTGCCCTGGCTCCCAGGTCTCGCTCTCGCTGCTTTCTGGTACCGCAAGGGCTCCAACTTTGCCGGGCGCCACCGCTGCCCTCACAGGATGGCAGTTCCGTGCGAGGCCGTCAGTTGCTAGGTGCCGGCTCCTCCTTCTCCACCCAGCTGTCAGCCTGTTTGAAACAGATGATGTACCCAGAATCGGGCCTGGCAAGGTGATCTGAGGACTGCGGACTGCGGACTGCCTCCTGCTGGGAAGCTCCCACTGCACGCTGCTGACTGCTCAATTCCCAGAGAACCTGCAACCAGGGGCACACTGCCTGGCAAGCGATGGAAAGACGAAGCCGGTGCCTGCTGGCCCTCTGGTCACTCCCGACACGGGCAAGCGCCCTTCTGGGGACTTTTGGAGCTCAGGGAAAGGAGCTGTGCTGCCTCCTGGTCCACCCCCACCTTACCTTTTCCACCACCCGCTGGATCTCCAGCTGCAGGGGGGTCAGACGCCTGCGGAGCTCCTGCAGCAGCCGCTGGAGCTGGCTCTTCTGTCGCTCCGCCGTCCGGGCGGTCTCCTCGGCCTCCGCCAGCCGGACTCGCAGCTCCTGCATCTCTGCCGCCAGCGTCTTATTGGTTACTTCAGTGGCTGAGAAACGGTTATGGCTCTCCTCTGCAAGGTGGAGAAGGAAACGGGGACGGCTGCTCCATCAAGGCCCAGAGCACAGGGCAGGGCCTGAGCCTAAGCAGCAGGTTCCCTACTGGTCTGCATGTGACCCCATGGTGGCTGCAGCCCCAGGCCCTCACCCAGCTTCAGCTCCAGTGTGTGGATCTTGTTCTCTAGGTAGAGCCGGCCGCTGTCCTGCTGCTCCGCGCGCTGCAGCAGGCTCCCCACGTTAATCAGGCTGCCATTGTGGGACACCAAGGCTTTGTGTTCTGTGGGGGCAGCACCTGGCTTCGTGCTTTTCCCAGGAGGGGGCAGCAGGTCCAGGTTTCCTAGAGAGAACCGTGAAAAAGAATTCAGGATGGAGTCTCCAGAGAGGGCAGCCTGCCCTGCCCGTGCCCCAGGAAGGCTGCAGGGCCCCAGAACATACCGAAGAGCACCTCCTCGGGAAGGCCACCATCCAGGCCCTCCTGGCGGCTGTACTGAAGGCTCCGGTACTGGCAGATGTTCTGGGTCACCACCCTGCTGACCAGCTGCTTGGCCTGCAGAAAACACATCTGCTGATCAGAAGGCCCCGTCCCCGACCCTGGCCATGGGCGGGAACCTAGAGCAGGAGTAAGTGCAGGCCTGTGCCCATGTGCTGGGGCAGAGGAAAGAAGGTACCTGCTCTGCACTGAGCCGGATCCCAAGGGTAAGGAGGATCCTCTCTAAGTCTCGCCGGTGCAAGTAGCCACACCAGTTGGCATCAAAGAACACAAAAGCAAGCAGACAGTCTAAGGGGAGCACAGCAGAGGGATCCAGCTCCTTGGGCTGCAAAGAAAACAAAGATGAGCAGGATTTGCAAATAGTTCCCTCAGTGGCTCTATCGCCCAGGATTCAGCCTGTCCAGAATCCAGTGGCTTGGGCCACATGCAGTGATGCATGCCTGAAGTCCCAGCTGCTGGGGAGGCTAAGGCAGGAGAATCACTTGAACCCAGGAGTTCGAGGCTGCAGTGCACTATATTCATGCCTGTGAATAACCACTGTGCTCCAGCCTGGGCAACACAGCGAAACCCCGTCTCTAAAAAACAAAACATCAAGCACCTTGCCTGATGTTCATCACGCCCAAGCCAGCCTTCCTCTCTGGCCCACTTTGGCAAAAGCTCCTGTGCTCCTCTCTCAGGAGAGGATCAAATACCCCTCTCCCATTCACCCCAACAGACACTGAAATGTTCTCCTGGAGCCTATGAACGTGCCCTTCCATGAGCCAAGGACCACACTGTGTGTTGGGTCCATCAAGAAAGGAAGTCACTGGTAAGCATCCTTCTCCCAGGAGTGGGCCAGAGGCCTTGCCAAGCCTCACCACCACTGAGACCCAGAGTGGTCGAGAAGAGGCCTCACCATGTCCTGAAGTGAAGAGAACTCCATCTCTGACTGGTTTGAGGCAACGGACCGGACCTCCGAATCCTCCAGCTTTGCTCCTGCTACAGAAAGGCCAAGATAAATGGAGAGCAGGGCCCACCCAACTCCACAGTACAAAAATGAAAACCAGCTTGGCCACAGGTGGAAAGCCACATCCCAAGCCTGCAAGCTCCCCTCTCACCACTCAACATACCAAACTCCTCCTCTCCATCATCCCTCAGAAGCAACAGTTCTGGGTCCAGGGCCATCTCACACAGGTCCTCAGAAGCCTCGCCCCGGGGTTTTTCTTCTTCCTCTCCCCCAGAAGAGAGTGGTTTGGGCAAAAGCCCATCCTCCTTCTACAGAGGCAGACAAAGGTTATAAGGAAAAGGCAGGCAGTTACCATAATTACCAATAGTAAGCATGGCTGACACCTGAGTATCAACTATGCCCCAGGCACTGTATGGAGGGCTCTACAGATACCGTCTCATTTCATGTATTTAATTTCATTAAGTGGGATTCAGAGCATGCCAGGGCATCGCCAGACACCTGGGCTTTTTTCCTCAGGAGTTGATCTTGGTCCCAGAAGAAATTACATTCATTTGATTGATAGTATTTAAACAAGCAGCAGCTGGCCATGGTGGCTCACACCTGTAATCCCAGCACTCCTGAGGTCAGGAGTTCAAGACCAGCCAGGCCAACATGGTGAAACCCCATCTCTACAAAAATTAGCTGGGCATGGTGGTAGGTGCCTGTAATCCCACCTACTGGAGAGAGGCTGAGGCAGGAGAATCGTTTGAACCTGGGAGGCAGAGGTTGCAGTGAGCCGAGGTTGCGCCACTGCACTTCAGCCTGGGTGACAGAGCAAGACTCCATCTCCCCAAAAAAAAAAAAAAAAAAAAAAAAAAAAAAGCAGACTAGTATTTTAGAAAAGGTTTACAAATCTTTTTTTTTCTTTTTTGAGACAGAGAGTCTTACTCTCTCGCCCAGGCTGGACTGCAGTGGCGCGACCTCGGCTCACTGCAACCTCCGCCTCCCGGGTTCAAGCGATTCTCCTGCCTCAGCCTCCCGAGTAGCTGAGAAAACAGGCATGCACCACCACACCCGGCTAATTTTTGTATTTTTAGTAGAGACGGCGTTTCACTATATTGGCCAGGCTGGTCTCAAACTCCTGACCTCATGATCTGCCCACCTCGGTCTCCCAAAGTGCTGGGATTACAGGGGTGAGCTACAGCGCCCGGCCTACAAAATTTTCTAGTTAACCATCAGGCAATCAAAGCACCCCACTCTGCCAAGCGTTCTCAGTGACAAGGGTTTCTGTGCTGTCAGGCTGCTCAGCCATGCTCCCTGCACTCTGCGCCACCTTCCCTTGCACTAGGTGTGCTACTTACTAGCTGTGCGGCCTCAGTCCATGCCGAGCAAGGGTGCAGGGAATGAGCTAAGGCACAGGAAGCGCTCGGAACAGAGCCCGGGGTAAAGGTGCGCGGTCACGGTAAGCACTATGACAGCCCGAGGTGGCAGGGTACTCACCAGCGGGGCCTCTGACTCTGTAGCCGGGCCCTCATTCTGTGCCTCATCCTTGGGCTCCTTGACCACCTCCTCTTTGATGGCTTCTTCCTCCTTGGTGGCTTCTTCCTTGGCCGCCTCCTCCTTCTCAGGTTCAGGTGGGGACACGACCTTTTCAGGAAGGCTCAGTAGCATCTTATAAACTCTATAGCCAAAATCCCTCTGGAGCATCTCCAGAAACAGCTCGGCCAGCACCATCACCTGATGGGGAGGTGGGAGGGTCCATGAGCATCAGGAAGAAAGACTGCTTCAGGCCCACAAATCCCAGCCCACAGCCTCCCCAAGACTCTTGACACCTGCCTCAAAAGAGATCCTTTCCTTTGGCCTCCGATCCTCCACAATCCCATGGAGGGACAGGTTTACACAGCCAGGGCGTGCGATGACAGCAGGTTCTAGGGGGGGTGGAGGGGCCTCTGGGAGATCAGTGTCCGTTTCCTGCTGTGTGGTGGCCTCTGGAGTTTCTGCGTTCCGTCTAGAAGTGTCTGCTGCTTGCTCCAAGGCATCAGGTGCCTGTTCAGTAGGCTCCGTTTCCTGTGACAACAGCTGAAATGAGACCCTCTGGGTCCCGGGATTAGGCCACCTATATCCCCCGCTGCTGGCTAAGGCACAGCCTTACCCCTTGTGCCTCCTGGGTTGGGGGAGCTGCCTCTGCAGCTTTCTGCTGGCACAGGGCCTCCCACTCCTCCAAAGTAGGCATGATGGTCCAGACATCCGGCAGGTACACCACCACTGTCTGAAGCCGCCGGGGGGGTCCCGGCTGCAGGTACTGAAACTCGGCAAAGCGCCACCTGCACATGGCAAAAGGAGGTACTAACTTCTTTAGTGACAACTCCACGCAGACACCACGTTCACAGGCAAGGGCTTCAGTTTCCAGTCAGCACTCAATGAGCACACACTGCGAACCAAGCTTTGAAGACACAACAGGAAAGCTACAGACCAAGTCCTCAAGAAATGATCAGTCAGTGGGGAGGCCGCAACCACACAAGCACCCTACAAGGTGCAAGGACAACTCCAGGGAGTCTCAAGTGCAGCCTGGTGGCTCAGCCAGATTTTGGCATACACCCCACCCTACCCTGAGGCACCAGAGGGGGAAGGAACGGGACTAGGGGGCAGAGAGCTAACCAGCAGAAAGGGGCAGGGACCGGGCCTTCCCAACAAAACCTCCCCAACCTGGTGCGTTGGTGCAGCTGAGGCTCAGGAAGCCCACTCACCACTTGGTACAGCCGCTCAAATCAATGCCAGTCTGGGCCTGCGCACAGCGGATGGCGGTACGCACCAGCACCTGCGGGTCAGCCTGGGGGTCGAGGCCATCCAGGGAAGGAGACCATTCACCCCCAACCAGCACTGCCTCCTCTTCTTTCCTGCCCAGCAAAAACTGCAAGAAGAGATCAGGGATACAAAACAAAAAACTACATTACCTGGGTCTCCCACTGCAGGGCAAGGCTGCCACCCATCAGGATGAAGGCAGCCGGAAGTGGGGAAGTCCACCACACAGTGAGGTCTCTATCTGCAAACATGAACCAGCCACCTCGCTCTCTCTGACTAGTCGTAACAGCTCTGAGCTGCACCTTCCTCCTGGGTGAAATGAGGGGTGTTCGGCTCTGAGATGCCTCGTTTTATGCATTCAGGAACAGGAGCCGAACACTCAAAACATGACAGGTTGTGCACATTACCCGTGAATGCATCTCCTCCTGCTCTCCAGCTCTTACCTTAATCTGCTTCAGAGGATGCTCTGGCGTCTCCCTTGGCTCAGCCATGTCATCCACAAAGAGCATGCAACAACGATACAATTCCTCCAACCCCGGGGAAGAGAGCAGCAGTACCTGTGCAGGAGGAGACACTCAGAGCTGCCTTCAGCCTCCAGAAATCAGATAAGTGAGAGACGCCTGTCAGCTTACCTTCGAACTATAAGCGGGGTCACTGTCTGCAGTGATGGGCTCAGCACCAGCGTCTGGAGCTGCCTCCTTTTCAGAAGAGACCTGGATCCGGCTTGGATGATGGAGGGAAAAGGGCTGGCTCAGGGGGAAGGCTGATAGCCAACTCAGATGCACGGACAGAAAATCTGAGGGGACCAGGAGGCTGCGGTAACGGCGCTGGAGTTCTAGGAAGTCACAGATGGGGCTACAGGAAGACAGCAAGGGAATCCAGACTGAGCAAAGACTAAAACATTCGAAATGAAACCATCAAAGATTTGAAAAAATGGGCGAATTTTTTTTCAGTCTGAGAACTTTTGAAGTAAGGCACCTCTCAAGGAAGCTAGATCAGATCTGACCACTTAATTTACAAACTCTAGATGGCAAAAGTCAAACTGGGAAAGGGAAAAAAGAAAACACTTATAACACATGACAGAGAAATGGGTCATTGCCTTAATATAAAGGAACTCACAAATCAGTAACAAAAAGTTCAAAAGCCTAAAACGGAAAATTGACATCAATAGGTTCTTAAGAGAAATACATAAGAATTAGAGGCCAGGAAAATATGCTCAATCTCACTTACAATTAAAGAAATGCAAACCACATTATCATGTGTCACCAACTAGACAGACAAAGATGAAAAAGTCGGCTAACAGTGTTGGCAACGGCACGGGGAAATAAGGTCTCCACACCCCACTGGTTAGAGCAGAAGGGGCACAGCCTCTTCAGGAGAACTGGCAATAGCTATGGAAGCTTAAAGCAAAGCCTTTGAGCCAGCTGCTCCATTTCTAGAAATTGATCGCAACAAACACACAGGTGTAGGTAGAAGGATGTTCATTCCAAGAAAATTTAGGATAGAGTGCAAATGGAGAACTGGGTAAATAAATCATGTTCATCCATTCAATGAATACTGTGTAGTTGCTAAAAAAAAAAAAAAAAAAAAAGAACTAGATCTAATAAATGTTCATACGAAATAAAATCTAAAGTACATTCAGTGAAAAGGCAAACCACCAAACAGTATGTACAACAGGTTTCCATGTGCTTTTCGTTTTGTAAGAAAAGGCTGTAAGAACATACATGTGCACTTGCATAGACGCCATCTCATTTACATAAGAAACTATTACCAGCAGCAAGACTCAGCCCACCTCAGCCTCGCCACTCACCTGTCCACAGTGTAAGGAGTGAGGTGGACCCGGTAAGGAGGCAGGTCATGCCTTGGCTTCTTAGCACCCCAGGGCTCTCCACCAGCCCGCTGTTTGCGTTTCTTGGAGTCATAGTCATCACTAGAGGTTGACCCATCACCAACAGTAAGAAACCACATTGTTATATGTATTCAATACAAACTGAACTAAAAGAACTGGAAACAATCGAAATCCCTCACATTCAATAAATGGAAAAAGAATCCATGCTAACAGCCATATGACAGAATGTTATAAAGATATTAAAATGGATATTTACTGTTTTAATAAACATTCCTGTTAAGCAAAAAGCACACTCTGCAACATTGTATACACAGTAGGCCTCAGCTACTGCAAAAACAACTTTAGAAGACTGAAAGGAAATAAAATATTAATGATGGAAGCCTCTGGAAAGCTTACGAATAATTTTCTATTTTTCTGCACTTCATTAATTATAGTTAACGTGATTTTTTTGAAATGAGAAAAAAATGATTTTTCTTTTAAAAACAAGAGACGCATATATGGATCCATGCTATGCGTCCTTTAAAGTAAATTTGGCCGGGCGCGGTGGCTCACGCCTGTGATCCCAGCACTTTGGGAGGCCAAGGCGGGCAGATCACGAGGTCAAGAGATCGAGACCATCCTGGCCAACATGGTGAAACCCCGTCTCTACTAAAAATACAAAAATTAGCTGGGCCTGGTGGTGCGTGCCTGCAGTCCCAGCTACTTGGGAGGGTGAGGCAGGAGAATCGCTTGAACCCAGAAGGTAGAAGTTGCAGTGAGCCAAGGTTGCACCACTGCACTCCAGCCTGGTGACAGAGCAAGACTCCGTCTCAAAAAAAAAAAGTAAATTTTATTAGAAGAGACGGTTACAAGGCTGGGCGCGGTGGCTCACGCCTGTTATCCCAGCACTTAGGGAGGCCGAAGTGGGCGGATCACTTGAGGTCGGGAGTTCAAGACCAGCCTGGCCAACACGGTGAAACCCTATCTCTACTAAAAATACAAAAAAGTAGCCAGGTGTGGTTGCACACGTCTGTAATCCCAGCTACTCGGGAGACTGAGGCAAGGAGAATCGCTTGAACCGGGGAGGCGGAGGTGGCAGTGAGCCGAGATCGCGCCATTCCACTCCAGCCTGGGCAACAAAGCGATACTCTGTCTCACCAAAAAAAAAAAAAAGAGAGACAGTTACAAATCCTTAATAATACACATTAAAGTCATAAAAACACTCAAACCATTTGCTCCAGTAATTACACTCTTGAAAATTTGTCCCAAGAAAGTTAATTCAAAAGAAGAAGAAAGACTACACATAGTGGAAAAATATGAAGCAGCATAAACTGAGAGTAAAAAACCAAATACATACTCAGCAATACCCAAATTTTCATAGTAAATACAAACAATCACGCAGCCATTAAAACACTCAGGATTATGCTGCAATATGGAAAACTGTTTATAAATACACAAAAATAATTTGAACTGTAAGATTAAAATTGCAAAAAGTATGCACATGTATAGATAAAAACTAGAACACAGGAGAAAAGAGTGGCAAGAGATTTTCCTTTTCAAAATTATTTTCTAAAATTCTTTAATACCTACCTGTTAACAACAGTTACCTTTAAAGAGAAAGAAGGTAGAAACCACACATATTTTTACATATATATATACACACACACATATGTATACACACACACATATATACACACATATATACACACACATACACACACACACACACATATATATACTTTTTTTTTTTTTTTTTTTGAGACAGAGTCTTGCTCTGTTGCCCAGGCAGGAATGCAGTGGCGTGATCTCAGCTCACTGCAACTTCTGCCTCCCGGGTTCAAGCAATTCTCCTGCCTCAGCCTCCCGAGTAGCTGGGATTACAGGTACCCACCGCCATGCCTGGCTAATTTTTGTATTTTTAGTAGAGTCAGGGTTTCACCATCTTGGCCAGGCTGGTTTTGAACTCCTGACTTCAAGTAATCCGCCCGCCTCAGCCTCCCAAAGTGCTAGGATTACAGGCATGAGCCACCGCGCCTGGCCTACGTATTTATATTATTTTAATTTTATGTATTTATATTATTTTAATTTTATATAATAGCATGTACTGCTTTACACATTTTTATAATAAGTCACCACAGTATTACACTATAACTACGTTATAAGTGCAATAGATATGGGTACAATAAATAAAAATAGTTGAGGAGAAAAAACCTTTAGACCATTCATTATAACGTGCCAGACTGATAAGGGGAAAACCCCCCATGTCACATGAGAGAAATAAAACCCACTGCCATTTCTCTGTGCCTGGGTAACTGAGTTGATTGTATTCACCAGAAGGTTCTTGTTCTGCCTTTTAGACCTGCCTGGGTCATTTCCCTGTTCACACCCCAGTGACTAAGCTGAAGAGATTTATCATGATGCCTGCTCTTTTCTGTTGGCCTTGGTCACTTCCATGTGCATGAGCATCTCCATCCAAAAGTGGCCTTCTTCTCTAGCCCCGATGGGATGTCAGTAGCCCATGTTTCTAATAGAAGACCCATGCCAAAGCCACTTTGACAACTCTCCAGCTCGCAGGAATGCTGTCGGCCTCTAGCTAAACTGTTATGGTCCACTCAACGCTGTACACTGTGTGGCCACTTTCCTCCGCTTCCTGTACATTGTCAGGAGGTTGTAAGGCAGCACCAGGGGCTGACCTCTCAGGACTTGCAGCAGCAGAGCCCAGCTGGGTACACCTGTCTAAAAACCACAGCACAGCAGTAGCAGCTCAATGGAGACATTGTTCTCTGCATCCCAAAGCCAGGAATTCAAAATAAAGCTTGGCTTCCATGCAAAACATTAATGTGGCTGAGTCCTTCATAAATTAAAAGCTGAGAAACTAAATAAATAAATAAAAGTTGCTGCCCCAGAATGACCTACTTCCTACTACCCCTGGCCCCACTCTGCACATTCTCTCTACTGACGAATGGTAATATAATATCTCCCTCCCAATGGTAGTATAGGTTGAGTATCCCTTATCTGAAATGCTTGGGACCAGAAGCATCCTGGGTTTGGAATTTTTTTCAGATTTTGCAATGTTTGCATTATACCTACTGGCTGAGCATCCCAAATCCAAAAATCCAAATCTGAAATGCTCAATAAACATTTCCTTTTGAGTGCCATGTCAGCACTCAAAAAGTTCTCGATTTGAGAGTACTTTGGGTTTAAGGATTTAGGATGCTCAACCTGTACGTCCTTTCTGTAGAAGCTGTGACACTGAAGCATAATGGCCAAAGTAATACAACAGACCTTGCATGGGCCTCAGCACGTCCAGGACAATCAAATGCAACTGATAGAGAAAGCCTGAAATTAACCGTAAAGCAGAAAGTCCACGGCAGTCACAGAGTTTCACCCAGGCTACACCGTCTCAGAAGGCACCTGCTGTGATTTTGTAATGAAGCCTTTAATAAACTCACACACTGTGAAAGGGAGAAGGTCCCTAGAAACTGAGGACCAGGAAGATGCACAGGACAAGAGGAGTGGGTAAACACAAAATATATACCAGCGACTGGATATATTTATATACTTATGAATATGGTGTCTACAATGGAGAATGGGACACAGGGTTTCAAGCAGTGGAAACCCCATGGCAAACAATCCCAAAGCTTCCCCCTACTTAGAATTCACAATGGGCCGGGCGTGGTGGCCCACACCTGTAATCCCAGCGCTTTGGGAGGCTGAGGTGGGAAGATGACTTGAGCCCAGGAGTTCGAGACCAGCCTGGGCAACATGGTAAAACCCTTTCTCTGACCCCCACAAAAATAAATAAATATTTACTTATTTTTTGTAGAGATAGGCTCCCAAAGCACTGGGATTTATAGGCATAAGCCATCGCACCCAGCCTTACAAAAAACGTTTTAAAAAATTACTCCAGCATGGTGGTGCACACCTGCAGTCCCAGCTACTGCGGAGGCCGAGGCAGGAGGATGGCTTGTGCCAGAGAGATCAAGGCTGCAATGAGCCGTGATCACACCACCACACTCCAGCCTGGGTGACGGAGCAAGCCCTTGTCTCAAAAAAAAAAAAAAAAGAAAAAAAAAGGGTTAAGGGTTACATAACATTTCCCATTTGTCAAAACTGTCAAGATTTGTGCATTTCAATCTACATAAGTTCCACGTTAAAATTTTTTACCTTAACAAAATCAAGTGGGAGCAGTGAATAGATGGAGGTAGAGATGAAAAAGAATGGTAGCTGATACTTGAAGAAGCTGGGTAATGGGTATAATAAGGTTCCTCACACCTTTCTGTTTACCTTGCATATAGTGAAATTCTCCATTATAACAAGTTTAAAATGAAGACAGAACTAGAACGAGTCTTAAACAAATCATTCTGGAGCTTAACTTTTAGAGGTATAAGCAAAACACTCAGGGAGAGTGAGACTGAGGAAGGAACATGTGAACTGGAGAGAAGACGGGACAGCATGCTCCTAGTGGTCCCCAATGCTACAGATGACACAGCATCACCAGGATACCCTAAAGGCCCAAATCAGCCATGCTTGCTCCACACATGGCTGAGAAAGCTACCTGTGTGTCCAAGGCACGGGGGCCTGAACTCCCAGGCAGAGTGCAATATACACCTTCTAACAGCATACTGATGAGTATGGTGTCTATAAAGAAACGTTTTAAACAACGAGAACAGATACTGCAGTGTTCTAGTTGTTTTGACATGTTACTATTGAGAGTTTCCATTCCTATCATCTCAACTTAGGGACTAGAAACAGAAGAGTATTTAAGAAGTATCTCAACATGACATTTTGAAAGATGAACTGTATCAACTCCCTGCTTGCTTAACCACTGTATAAAATTCCAATATTTTTATACACATTTCAGTTGTGTCTACATACTTCACAGAAAAGGGACTAGGATCTAGCTGCAGGCAAAGAATGTTAGTGGTAAGCATAGCCACCTTCCAAGCAGTTGACCTGGGTTCACTTCCTGGCCAACACAAAAAAATAATAATAAAATAAAGAGAATGTTAGTGTCAACAAGTGGCCAAAAAAAGGGACATCATCCTCTTACCTTCGGCCCTGATCCAACCGTCCATGAGGGCCCCGGGCAGGAAATCTGTTCAGGTGGCTCAGGTGAAGTGTGTGGGATGTTTGGAAGAGACTCAGAGCTGCAGAAAGGAAATGACTGGTGACTCAAAAACCCTAAAAACCGGCCGGGTGCAATAGCTCACACCTGTAATCCCAGCACTTTGAGAGGACAGTGCAGATGGATCACTTGAGGTCAGGAGTTCAAGACTAGCCTGGCGAACATGGTGAAACCCCGTCTCCACTAAAAATACAAAAAATCAGCCGGGCATGGTGGTGGGTGCCTGTAGTCCCAGCTACTCAGGAGGCTGAGGCAGGAGAATGGTGTGAACCCAGGAGGCGGAGCTTGCAGTGAGCCGAGATCGCGCCACTGTACTCTAGCCTGGGTGACAGAGCAAGACTTTCTCTCAAAAAAAATTAGCCGGTCATGGTGGCGGGCGCCTGTAATCCCAGCTACGGGGGAAGCTGAGGCAGGAGAATTGCTTGAACCCAGGAGGCAGAGGTTGCAATGAGCCGAGATCGTGTCATTGCACTCCAGCCTGGGCAACAGAGCGAGACTCCATCAAAAAAAAAAAAAAAAAAAACCCTAAACACCTATCCAGATTGCCCACCTTTCTTCCAGTACATAGAAGTACCCACCTCTATGCTAAGAGCAGCAACCTGAAAGTCCATTGATCTAAACTACCCCATAATGCCACACCCAACAACAGTGCCACTCGTACTCACGCTTCTGAGGAAAGAGTGGGGGAATCCGGTGAGGCTGGAAGATCAACTGAGGCTGAGCTCCCAGGATCCCTTGCTTCTGGCCCAGGGCTGCTACATGCAGAAGAGGAGGTGCTGGGGACTTCAGTAGGGGCTGCAGAACAGGAGCCAGGAAATTCAGGGGACCCCATGGTTGAGGCACTCACTACCTTGGAAAGATGCAGTCCCACCCCCCTGACAAAAGTCAGGGTTTTGCCCAGCTGTCAGGGCACAGGGGCTTCCATCCCTTCCCTTTCCAATGCACATGCTAAGGAGATATGAATACCTGGTTGGAGAGCGTTTGCACCTTGACAGCATTCCAGGGCACTGCCTGGCCTGGGTTGTATGCAGCCTTCACCAGCACCTTCTCACCCAGCTGGGGCAGACGGCCCTTCACCACACTGTCAGCACACAAGCCAGAAGGCCCCATCAGAAGAGGGACCCTGGCCAGGCCACCCTGACTGCCCCTATGAGGCCTTTCCCATCAAGATTTCCCACACCTTGCACAAAAACAGCAAAGCAATGGCTTTGAGGCGGGTGGGGGCAATACCAGCATGGTGACAGAACTGAATCCAATAAGCATTTCCGTTAGGGGACCAACCTCAAGCCTACCTTAGCTGAAAAAAGACCTCTTCATCCACAACCCCAAAGTAGTCATGCAAGCTGGTAACAATACCAGTGAAGACCCGCTGTTTCTCCCCACCCTGTAAGAGAAGGAGACAGCTGAAAAGTAAAAGGGAGGAAACTGGACAAAATCACACTCTGCCATGAAGGTCTCATCTCAACCCACGCCCCAGCTCAGCGTACTGCATCAAGAGTTCGCACAGAGTGAAGTACAGGTGTGGTGGGCATACTCCATCATTAGGGGTTGGGGCATGTTTGAGCTGGTTCTTGACCCACAAGCTTCTTCTGGGATTTCCAGTTCATTAATTCCAAGACGTAAGCTAAAGATTTCCCTGGAGCGAGAAATGAAGATGCCCCAGTCTGAAGGCTATCTGGGCAACCCCATACTAGCCCACTACCAGGAGAGGGATCAGGAATGATAAACACTATTATGTAAGAGAAAAAGAGCACCAGGCCTCCATGCATTCAGTCCCAAGGGCTGAAACTTACTACAAGGGATGCCGAACCTACCTGAAGGTGCCTGGCATTCTGGGACAGTTCTGTGGCCACAGGAGGAGTGAGCAAACCAGGAGGAGGGCCCAGAAGAGATGTTGAAGCTGTGCCTATGGGGAAAGAGAAGCAATCTCCAGGAACCGCCCCTACCACCTTAAGCACGAGTCAACCAAAGGATGTGGTAAATCCAAAGGCTACAGCTCCAGCCAGCTCCTCCACAGAGCTTCACTGGCAATCACTGTGGGCATCTCCTGCTTTCCAGAGGAACATCAGCAGCAAATTGCTCTCCACCAGGGAAACCCCAAACTAACTCCAGAGCACATACTTCCCAGGATGAGGCCAGGTAGGGAGAACAGTGATCACCTGAGAAGTTGCGTCCCCCTGGAAGCGGGTTGATCCGCTGGCGCTTAAACTGGGACATTGGGAACGCTGTCCTCTTTCAGAGTCGTGGGGAAAAGGCTTCAATCCAAAAAGAAAGAAATTAACAGCTTATAAGGGAAATTTCCATCTATACCCGGAAAAGTGGAGAATCTTAAGTAAGGATATTTCGGAAAACAGGGAGGTGGGTAATAAGAATGAATGAAAGCAATGGATGGAGAGAATATAGAGAAGAAAGAAATGAAACAAGAAATTACATTGTTCCAGTTTGCCCTGACAATAACCTAGTGGTGCATGATACTGTCATGCTGTTTTACAGACAAGGAAACTGATGCTCAGAGAGATCAAGAGACTTGCCCGGGGCCACATAACCAGGTAGTGACAAAACTGCTA
The DNA here is from genome assembly GCF_000001405.40 of Homo sapiens. Lineage (NCBI taxonomy): Eukaryota > Metazoa > Chordata > Mammalia > Primates > Hominidae > Homo > Homo sapiens. The sequence continues at coordinate 22,605,423 of NC_000008.11, read as the reverse complement.
CTCACACCCAGGCCTCCCAACAACTTAGCGCTCCTCTCACTATGCCACGCCACCCCCAGAGTAGCTGGCGGGGTGAGGGGCTCGAGAGAGCCCCGATGACATTCCTTCGTTCAAAAACATCCGCCAAAACCCTCCACGCAAGGCCCGGAAAAATGGAGGAGGCCGGTGCCGGCGAGGAGACTGTGTGGGCCCTCTCCCCGGAAGCCCGACCCGTTGTTTCCTCGACCGGCTGGTGGGAAGGCAGCTCCCTGGCCGACCAAACGCGAAACCGGCTGCGCGCCACCCTCCTGCTCCCACGCTCCCGGGCCCTCCGCTCCGGCCTCAGCAGCCGCCAGCGCCGGGTCTCCCAGCAGAGCCGCGGCGAGGCCACCAAGGGAGGACTGAGGCGCGCGGTTTCTCCTCCTCCCGCCCGCCCCCAAGGCCGAGGCCGTTGCCAGGGAGACGGGACTTGCAGTCCAAAGAGGGGCTCGGCCCCTTCCGCGCCCCACGCATCTTCGCCGCCCGGCCCTCGCAGCCCCTCGGCCAGCGGAGGGGCGGAGGGGCGAAGGGGCAGAGGGGCGGCAGGGGGCCCCCCAACCCACCTGCGGGCCAGGGCAGCGACACCGGGGGGACAAAGACACCCGGAACCACCACAGCCGCTGCTGCCGCCGCCACCGGAAGCGCCTCTCCGGAAGCGCGACCACTGGTCGGAAGCTGCCGCTCTCCCGGATATGGTCCCTCCCTCGTCTCCGCCGACCTCTCCCTTCCCCCACGCCGGCTTGCCATCCCGCGGCAACTGGGGAGCGGAAGTGCGCCTTCCCGGATCGGATGCGCGTCAGGAAGTCGCGCCTCGGTAGTGTCCTCGCTAAAGAATCCCATCAGGAAAGAAGGCTTCGGATCATTGGTTCCGGGCTCAAAGGAAGCGGGAGCTGGGCCCCCCAAACACAAGGGACCCCCGACTGCCTACCACGCTCGCCTCCCTCTGGCAGTCGAGACTGCAACAGATAAGGAAACCAGCCCCTCCTGACTGGAGGAGAAGGATGCCTATCAGTGACCATTTCTAAGAGACATTCCTGGTCTGACTCAAGCCAGTGACCACCATGCCTAGCCAGTCAGGAATCAGTGCCCTAATTCTCAAATATGAAATCTAAGAGGCCTCAATGAAATGACCTGCTCAAAATCTTGCCAGGAGACTGGCCATTTTAGTCCCCATTAGCAATCCCAGCCCCCCCTTATCCTCCGACCTCCCCATCATCACTCCAGCCTTACTTTCCCCTTTCCTATTCACCTGAGGTTTACAAAGCACTTTGAGGCAGTTTAATCTCACTTTATCCTCATAACAAGTCTGTGAGGTAGATAGGGCAGGCATCATTATTCCCAGCGGGAAGCTGTGGCTCAGAAAGGTTGACTTGGGGTCTAAAAACTAGTACAGGCATCTGGTTTGAATTAAGACCTGTAAACGCTAGTACGGAGCAGAGAAGCTGAGCACTGGCTTTGAAAGTTATTCAGTTCCCAGGTTGTCCCTGATCTTCCTCATTCCTTGTGCAGTCTTCAGGAGTCCGGGGCAAGATTCCATGCAGAGGCAGCCAAAGCCACACCGTTCTCTGTCCCAGGGCTGCCAGCATGGCTCTGAGGAGGAAAGCTCAGTAACTGCCCACTGGGGAATAAAGGTCAGTTCCATCCTTCTGCAGTGACCTCCCCCAGAATATCAACCCTTTGGATGCATTATTTCAGAAGAGATGGTTGGATCCAGCCAGCTTGCAACACTGACAGTCACACAGAGATATGCATACCATTGCGCATAAATACACATCTGCAACATGCTGGGCCCAGACAGGTCACCATGCCAAAAACACTCCACGGACACCTGACAATGAGTGAGTTCACATTGTGGAAGCCCAGGGATTTCTGGTGAGGAGGAAGAGCCCTGGAGCTGCGGCATCTTGGGGGCCTCTCAAGAAACCAAGGTTCCTGACCAGACTGCTTAGAGGAGAAAGATTCAGCCCTCGACTCAAGAGAGGAGGGCAGGCGTCAGCAGCTTTTCCTGGCAATGTGGAGAAGCAGCAAGAGGGCAGAGGGCGAGGAAGACTTCACAGCAAGTCCCCTCCACCCAGGGTCACCAGGTGCACCGAGAGGTCTCAGCCTACAGAAAGGTTTTTTGCTCGTTGCTTCTTAACCACTAATGATGGCATAAAGGTCTTCCGGTGGGGGCGGCACTGAGGCCTTTCAGGGAGGTCCCTGGACTCGATCCTGTGGAATGAAAAGAAGACATTAGGCTAGAAGGGGGAAATAAAACTAACAATGGCCCTAGAGTTGAGAGAACGTGGTTTATCTGCTGGTGGGTAGCTGGGTGTGGGCGCAGCCCGGGGCTGTTAAATGACTTGGTATTTCTTCCTCCTGGAGAACGATTCAATACAAGCCCCGAAGCATGATGGCCTTCACCCACTGTGAAATCCTTTGTGCTCCACCTTGCTCTCCCCACGAACCTGGAAGGTGGCCTAAATGTCAGCATTGAGGGTGAGGGGTTGCTGAGCTAGGGTAGGCAGATTTCCCACATTCTGGTCCTAGCTGTCACTGACTCACCGTGCGGCTTTGGAAAAGCAACTACCCCCAACCCCACCCAGAACCCTGCCTCCTTATCTGTAAATGGGGTGTTTTAACTACTGTTTCTTCTAGCAGCCCCTCCCAGACTGCCTCTCAAGTTTTGCGGGGACAATAATGACAACTGGCATGACAATCTCAGCATCCTGGCTTATCAGTCTCCTCTCCGTGCCCTAACCTGGGCTGGGCACGGGGCTCACCTGGGGTCAGAGCCATCAGGAGGGGCAGGGGGCTCAGGGTGGTGGTGGCTTCTCCGGCAGATCCGGTTGAGCAGGACCTTGACCTTGTCCCAGTGGGAGATATCCCGCTGAGCAGAGGATGAGGGGTCACCCAGAGCCCTCCCCACACTCAGACCCCCGACCAAGCTCCCAGAGACAGCTGTCGCCACAGCCAGGACAAGTCGCCTGCTCCAAACAGGAATCAATCCTGTCATTTCCCCAGAGTTGCTGGCCCCCAGGGTGCCCATGCATCCCCCACCTCCCCTCCCCCCACCCCAGCCCACCACCTGCCCCACATATACCTGTCCCCTACCTTGTGTCCCTGGGAGGATGGCAAGTGGTACGTTGGCTCCACTGGGGTTTCTGGCAGCCTGGGAGGGTTGGCACTGGGCACCTCCACCTTTGGGGGTGAAGCAGCCTTTGCTCCTTCAGAAAGACAGTCAGGTTGGCCAGGGCCAGAAGACACCCCATCAAGCTTCGGCTCAGAGGACCTGCTGGTGGGACCCCAGGCAGGCAGGACAAAGGGAGACACGATGGCCCCTCACCTGTGTGCTCTGTCTGGCTTAGCAGCTCCCATGGCCCCTGCCCCCGATTGCCTGGGGTGTGTAACGGGGACGGTAAAGGGGCTCGGGTCGACTCCTCCTCGCCGGGATCCTATGCACAGGAGAGACAGGTGATCAGGGCCTGGCTAGAGGGCTGAAGCTGCTCTGAGGGCAGCCATGGTTCCCAGGGTCCCATCTGTCCTCTCCCTCCCCCACTCGAATCTCACTCACCCCTGGGGGCCTCTGGATCCGCAGCTGCAGGTAGAGCTGCTGGAGCCTTGCCATCTGCTCCAGCACCAGGCACAGGTGTTCCAGATAGCGAAGACCCTGCCCGGGGAGGCAGGCCCAGGCTCCAGGCCCCAGGCCCCCCACCTGTGGGACATTGTGAGATAGGGGAGATTTCAGCCAGTAGGGCTCCTGCCCTACCCTAAGCAGCCAGGCTGGGCTCAGCCAGCAGATGGGAGCAGAGTGGGCCCCGAGGAGGAACACACGCAGCCGGCTTCCCCACTGCCCAGCGGGGCATAGTGCCAGGAAGGGCCCCCGTAGCTGCCCACCTCCTCTGCAGAGGTGGCCGTGCACAAATGGAACTGGGGTGCAGAAAGAACCTATGACACAACCCATCAATTAGGGGCAGGGAGTGCCCCACCCAGAGAGAGCTCCAGGGAGAACCAGAGGAGCTAGGCTGTCCATCCCACTCTTAAACCCAGCCTGAGAGTGAGCACTCACCGCCTCTTCTTCCAGGCCTGCCTCTAGGTCTGTGTCTGCCTCCATGGACTCCTGTTGCCCTGCTCCAAGGGGCACTTCACGCTCAGGCTTGCTTGCCAGCCGCAGGGAGCGGTGTTGTCCTGACAAGCTGGTGGGAGCTGTTGGGAGCCGGCGGGACCGCTCCAACACCTCCCCCAGCTTCTGGCTGGCCAGGAGTCGGCCTACCTGGGCGGGGGGCTCAGAACTCCCTGAGGATTCAAAGTCCAGGGAGTCCTGAGAAAGGCCCGGTAAGGCGGCCAGGGGGCTGTCCCCAACTGCCATCTCCACTCCTGAGTCCCGGGAGGCCAGTTTGAGAAAGAGTGCCTCCCTGCCGACACCTCTGAACTTGTCACCTCTCTCCCAGGATGAGCACCCGTGGGCAGCGTCGGGGATCCGTCTGTAGGTGCTGGTGACTCCAGGCACTATGCAGCCCCGTGCCAGGCCCTCGCCAGCCCCATCTGCATGGAGAGTCAGCGTCAGGCTGGGCAGGCCACCCCCAACACCCCCAGCATTCCTGAAGGCTGGCAGCACTGCCCCAGGGAGAAGTGTCCCGGAGCAGTGAGGAAGGGCGGTCACTGGACAGCCACGGGCAGCCCGGATATGGCCCCAGCTGTCTGGGAGATGTGTGGATGGGATTCCCTTCGCAACGGTTGTTAGCGACAGGGAACCCGTGCTCTGAGCTGTGTGGTAGGCAAAGCCCTGGCAGGCCACATCCATCAATCCCTTAGACGGCCTGCGCCTGCGCTTCCCACCTAGGATCAGCCCACGATCTCCCGAGTCAGAAGTAGGGAGCCACAGGCTCTTCCGCTGCTCCCCAAGCGGGAGTAGGACTGTATCCAGCTTCAGGGAGAGGGGAGAGGGTACAGAGAGGAAAGCCTGGGATCCAACCTGCTCTCTGGGGGCCCCTGCGGCATCAGGATGCCAGGTGAAGTCTCTCCTGCAGCTCACCGGGAGAGTGATAAAAATCACCGCTATAACCGATTTGGGCTTTTGTTGTAAGTGAGCAATAGTGAAGATTTTATGAAAAGTTTAAAATGAAAGAACTGAAGTGAAAGAAAGGGACGAAGGGGCAGCATTAGCACCCCCTCACTGTCACCTCCGCCAGGCCCTCTGGCGACGGGGCGTCCTGGCGGAATGAACGGTACGGGAAACAGGCTAGGGGGGCGGGGACGAGCTGCGGGGCACGCGGGAGCCGAATGCCAACCCAGGCCCCTCTGGGCAAGGAAGTGGGCCAGGAGGTCACTGGGTGGGAGAGGGGTCCGCAGCCACGGAGGGGGCTGGGGCGCGGGCGGATTCCCACATCCTCAGAAGGAGCGGGAAGGCGAGGGAAGCGGAGCCGGAGGAAGTGGGGCGGAGGCGGTGGCTGGTTTAACGCCTGGGCCCAAAGGGGTTCCAGCCTGCATGGCGTCCCCTGATGACCGCCCCTCCAGGGAGGCGGCGAGGGAGGCGCAGCGGCGCGGGCTCCGCCCGCGGGGTGCGCGGGGCTGGGCAAGAAACTGAGAGAGGGTGCCCGGCTTGGGGGCGGGAAGCGGCTCCGGGGCAGGGGGGAGCCCGGCCAGCCTGGGGGTGGGTGACTCACCCCGGCCGTCCACGGCGAAGGCGCGCCGCCGGCCCATCATGGCCCGCTCCCGGCCCCGGCCCCGGCCAATGCAGCCGCCCGAGGATCCCGGCCCGAGTCCCCGCGGAGCTCGGGCAGCTCAGGGAGCGCGTCCCGACCCAGCTGGGCGCGGCCCCCAGACACTCCCAGCGGGGCTGGGGGGGCGGGGAGCGGGGCTGGGGGGGCGGGGGGCGGGGCGGTGGGGGGCGTGGCCTAGGGGGAGGAGAGAGGAAGAGCGAGACGAGGAAGGGAGGGGCGAGGAGAGAGGGGAGGGGCGAGACGAGGGAGGGGAGGGGCGAGGCAAGGTAGGGGAGCGGCGAGAGGAGGGGAGGGGCGAGGGGAAGGGGGAGGGGCGAGGAGAAGGGGGCGAGGAGAAAGGGGCGGGGCAAGACGAGGGATGAGAGGAACGAGGCGAGGGAGGGGAAAGGAGAGGGAGGGGAGGGGCGAGGAGAGGGAGGGGAGGGGCGAGGAAGAGGAGGGCGAGGGGAGGGGAGAGGAGAGGGTGGGGAGGGGAGAGGGAGGGGAGAGGGGAGGGGCGAGGAGAGGGTGGGCAGAGGAGAGGGAGGGGAGAGGGGAGAGGGGAGGAAAGGAGAGGGGAGAGGGGAGGAGAGGAGAGGGGAGAGGGAAAGGGGAGAGGAGAGGGAGGGGAGGGGAGAGGAGAGGGAGGGGAGGGGAGAGGAGAGGGGAGGGGCGAGAGGAGGGAGGGGAGGGGCGAGAGGAGGGAAGGCAAGGGTGCCAGGTGGGGGGCGCAGGTGGCCGGGTCGCCAAGAACGAGGTCGAAGGCACGGACTGGGTGGCGCCCCCAACTGTGGCTGTGGCCAAAATAAGGGTCCCGATCAGCTGTTCTGCGAGGACCCGGCCCCCGCCTGGGGACGCCGTCTGGCTCGGGGCGCCGGTCCGCCCGGCCCCGCGGGTTCACACGCAGCGTCCGTCTTCCTGCCGCGGACTTAGAGCCGGGGCTGGCTGGAGGACCGGACAAGAGCCAGGAAGGAAATGGGAGCCCCACGTGCTGGCGGTGGGAAGAGCGCTGACCAGGACGCGGGCACCCGGCGCTCCCTAGCAGTGTGGCTTGGGGGCCAGTCTCTTGGCCGCTCGGAAACCTGGGCGATGGGAGGGGAAACGATCCTGCCCACCGGGAAATCTTTTACAACTGCAGAACGCGCGTGTGTCCTCAGCTAGATCTGAACCCCCTCCCGGTCCCCTGCCTCTTTCTCATCCCGGGCTCCCTAAAGCTGGGGACTGGGTAGGTCTCAAGGTCTGGAAAGATGCGAGCCAGCGGGGAGCCGCCTGGAGACTGGGCCAAAGTGTAAATGTCCCCCTGTTCCCACCTCACCCTGCCTTTGGCCCGTGGGATTCCACCCCTCAGTCCCCAACCTAAAAGGAGCCCAAGAAGCTACTGAAGATGAGAGAGAGCCTGGTGACCAGACTGGGGCTGGTGTCCTCTAAAGAAGGCACCTCCTCCAGAGGGAGGGGGCAGGGCTGGAAAAATCCCAGCAGGACCCAAATCCCCCGGAGGCAGATAAGGGAGCTGGAGGACGTGCAGACTAGCACCTGGACCTCTAGGGGAGGGGAGAGGCTGGAGCCAGAGCCACTGGAAGGAAGTGGCTGTTTACCGGGAGGGGTAAGACAGTCTGTGCATCCCCTTCCCTTTGCTCCTTTCTGGAACCAGTCCCCAAACACCCACTGCAGGAGCCTTTATCAGAGAGCCACAAACTATCAGATTTTAAAACTTTATAAAATGGGGAAACTGAGGCCCACAGCCAATCTCTGCGCAGGCCAGCCGAATGACAGCCAAGTGCCAGAATTGCTGGCCATGTCTCAACAGAGTCACATTCAAGCCCAGGCCCTTCCCTGCTAGCCATGGGTCCTCTGGGTTGCCCCCACCCTGCCCAGTCCTCCTAGACAGTACCCATTCCGCTTCTCACAGGCAGAGAGAGAACCAGAGTGCTGGGTCTCCAGGAACTGCCTTATGCAAGACCAAGAAGATGTGTGGAATCACACCCCGGCCGTGCCAGAGCCCTGCCAGCCCTCCCTGGGTAGGAGGGAGCCCAGACTCCCTCCAAAGTAAGAGGGTGGGGGAGGGAGCCTTTGCCAGATCGCGCCCTGAATTTGGAGAATGTGGGGCGGGATTCCAAACAGTCTCTGTGGTGACTCTGGGACAGGAATGCATCTGGAAACAGGAAGCCCAGCCAGCAGGAATGCAGTGTCTCAGCACAATGCTTTGTGTGTGACTCAAAAGAACCTCCACACACACACCCCAACACACACTCCCCTCCAGGCCATGGCGCACCCCTCCTCCCCACCACCGCCATGCAGATGCGTCCTGGCCCAGGACCAGCTCAGAGGAACCTGAGCCCTGGCGGGCACGGGGGCAGGATCTGACCCAACACCCAAAGTAGGGGGATGCCCCCTTCCTGTGGCAGCCGCAGTCCCAAGCCTAGAGCCAGGCCAGGGCTCTCTGAGTGATGCTTGAAGGAATGGGAGGGGCAGCCCGTCCATGCACTCCTGACAAGGTAAACCACTGCCATGAGTTCCTGAGACAGACAGTGTCCTGAGCAGGGTCAGCCCTCAGGCTGCCCAGTGGCCCCTGCACTTCCCATGGGGAAGTCCTGGCTTCAGGAAGTGGGTTTCCTGCAAGCTCAGCTGGAGCTAGTACCCGTGGGAGGAAGCACAAAGCTGAGAGCCTACAGAGCGCTGGGGAGGGCTGTGGTGACCTCCAGTTGTGACCAGAGGTGACCAGAGCTGTGCCTGGAAGGCTGCCTCTGATGACAGAGGGACAAACTCTGCCCCCCACAAGCCAGAAACCTGGGAGGCAGGCTGTAGATCCATTCCTTACTAGCTAGGAGTACTTGGACCATTTACTGAACCTCCTGGTCCTCGGTTTCCTCGTCTGCAGAGAGGATGGTAACAGTACCTATCTCGGGTTGTGAGGATTAAGTGAGTTAAAGCATTGGAAGTATCCCTAGCACATCAAAAGCACCCCCAGAGCTTAGCCATTATGACTGTCTAGCTGTGCAGCTTTGGAAAAGTCACTTTCCCTTCTCTAACCAAAGGGGGTTGTACCAGATGCTCCTTTGGGCCACTTCTAACTCTAATCTGTCACTTCAGTTAATCTCCTCAGTGCAGGAAGGGAAGAGGGCACTGCACTGGACAAAGTCCGGGAACATAGACGGGCGGCGTGCGGCAGAGGGAGTGGGAGCACGCAGCTAGCTGGCTTAGGTTGGGGACAAGATCAGAGGTAAAAGACCAAAAACTGCCTGTCCCCAGCCTCCTCTGCTGACCAACTCATAACTCCGTTCTTCCAGGGGAGTTTGCTCCCGAGCCGGGCTGATTGTGTGGCTGCAGAGAACCCTGGTGCTGAAACCCTCAGGACCCCTGGGAGGAGAGATGGCTGCCACACCAAAGAACAAGAGCCAGAGGGGGATTTGAGCTGGAACCTACAAAGCCCTCAGAAGGCATTCGATGCCTCACTGGAATGCCCATCATTTCACATGTCCCCAGTCCCCACTTATCCCCCTCCACTCCTATGACACTGCTGGCCCAGCATGGCGTGCTACATACAGGTGGGAATCTGTCCATATCAATAATCCAAACCATCTTTTCCAACCTGTCACTTCTCTGCTTAAAACCTTCCAAGTGTTCCCAGAGGCTGGGCAAGGTTAGCTCACGCTTGTAATCCCAACACTTTGGAAAGCCAAGGTGGGAGGATGGCTTGGGGCCCGAAGTTCGAGACCAGCCTGGGCAACATAGTGAGACCCCATCTCTTAAAAAAAAAAAAAAACTTAAAAATTAGCTGGGTGTGGTGGTGCACGCCTGTAGTCCCAGCTACCTGGGAGGCTGTGGGAGGATCTCTTGAGCCTGGGAGGTGGAGGCTGCAGTGAGCTAAGATTGTACCACTGCACTCCAGCCTGGGCAATAGAGCAAGACCATGTCTCAAAACAAAATGTCCCTAGAGCCTCAAGGGGAAGTTCAAACCACTTCTGGCATTGACAGCTCCCCTCCGATCTTATCTCAGTGTCCCCATCAGCCACTGCTCTGAGCTAAGCATCCCCCCAGCAGCCACCCCATCACTCAGCATTCCTCTTCTCCACGTCTCCAAGACCCAGCCCTCCTTTTGCATCACGGCCACTGCTTTGAACTCACGGGACGCTCCTCGGTGCGTTCCAAGGTAGCCCTTGGCGCTCAGTGCCACATCCTCTTATTCATTCATGCCAGCTCAGTCGCTGCCACTGGCCTTCTACCTCCAGGAAGGCATGAGGAGTGCTGTATCTTTCTGTATTCCCGCTGTGCCCAGAAGCCCAGTGTTGCCCCGTGAATGGGCCCCGCCATGGGCCAAACTGGACACTAGGTGGCGCCAAAGAGACTACCCCGTTTCTGACCAGCGCCTGGGGCTCATGGAGTCCCGCGCCAGACAGCCTTGATCTTTTCTATAAAAAGAAAGACCTTTCTCAGGCAGCCACCCAGGCAAAAGGTGAGACAATGATATCATGGTGTAAATTATATCTACAGGTGCCTGAGGAGGCAACACAAACATCTGCGCCAAGATTCCTTTCACAAAGAGCCGGAGAGCACAAAGCTGCCGGCAGGGACCAGCCAGGCACCCTGGGAAGCCCAGCTTTGATCTTCTCTGAAAAGAGAGCTGAGGCTGCCCCCTCCGCAGCATCCTCTGGGACTAGCACTAGGGGTAGTGGGTGAATGACGCCCAAAATCCTAGGCTGGCAGGGGAGACTACTGTCCCCTGCCTCAACTCCAGTGAACCCCCAGGGCAGCTCACCTGGCACTGGCCACATGCATTCATTTGTTTTTGTGTTTTTTTCAACAGACAGGTCCTCTCTCTCTCCCAGGCTGGAATGCAGTGGCATGATCACAGCTTAAGGCAGCCTCGGCCTCCTGAGCTCCAGGAGGGCTCCTCAGGCCTCCCCAGTACCTGGGCCTAAAGCCTGAGCCACCCTGCCCTTTTTCCCCCCTCCAAATCAATCACCAATGAAGCCAGCAGTCTCTCCCAGGAAAGAAGTGGAAGGTGTCGGTAGATCAACCTGGCCCCGGGGGCCCAACCCTTGGTGGGCGGCCGGTCCTCAGGATCAGAGGTTGTCTCACCAGCTTGGCTGGATGGGTCTCCTGGTCTTCCTCCTGTCCCTCCGCTTGGCGCCCTCCACCATCCCCTCCAAAGCTTCCAGTGACAATCTCATTCCCTCCATAGCACAAGCGTCCTCCTGTAAAACGGGCATCTTTACAAAAAGGTTAAGGAATGACATGACTCCCAACCTAAAAGAGGCAAGGCCCTTCCATGGGAAATGTCAGGTGCAGGCAACTGGCAGGGGTGGGATTTGAGGGAGGGAAAAGAAGAAGAAACGTATGTTGCATAAATAAAGACCCTCCACCCAGTGGTGGGAGCAGGTCATACCCAGGGCTGGCGGTAGGAAAAAGAAGGAAGGGACATCTACTTTATTTTGTCCATATTCATATATTTATAGAGCTAGTATGTCAAAAACTTTACACAGTGACACCATTAGCCCCTGGCCCACCCCTCTCCTTCCCACTTCTGTGTTCGACCCTACTTAGACCCTCGCACACAAAGGTTGATCAAAGGCAGTGGCCACCTCAGACTAGTGCAATGCCAGTCCTGCAGGGGAGAGGCCTGGCAAGGTGAGGGTGAGTCTCCCACAGTCCAAGACAGGTCCCAGACCTTGGCCCACCCAGCGAGGACAAAGGGGCCTCAGGTCTCCAAACTTAGCTCATGTAAGAGCAACTGCCCACCATTGTCCCTGCCATGCCAACTTATATAGGCATGACCCTGGCCCAGCAGTGAGGCAGGCTGAGGGCATGGCGGGCTCAGGCCCGAGAGCTGAGGGTGGCAGGTGCGGAGTAGCGCTGGCGGGCATGCTTCTCACAGTACAGCTCGTCACCCACCCAGAAGTGCCCGCGCATCTTCAGGTTCAGCCCACAGTCGGCACAGGTGTAGCAGCCGGGGTGGCGGTACCGGCCCTCCTGGATGCGCACAGCCTGGTTCCTGAAGGGGAGGGAGAGGCTTTAGCTCAGAGCCACAGCACCAAGCAGGAGGCCACCATGCCCAGGGGGCCTGGTCCCCACTGTAGCATCAGGACCTGGGTGGAGCCCAAAGCCTTCTCAGAGACTAGACTTTTTTTTTTTTTTTTTTTTTTTTTTGAGATGGAGTTTTGCTCTTGTTGCCCAGGCTGGAATACAATGGTGTGATCTCAGCTCACAGCAATCTCTACCTTCCGGGTTCAAGCGATACTCCTGCACCAGCCTCCTGAGTAGCTGGGATTACAAGCATGTGCGACCACACCTGGCTAAGTTTTTGTATTTTTAGTAGAGACGGGTTTTACCGTGTTAGCCAGGACGGTCTTGCCCTCCCAACCTCAGGTAATCCACCCTCCTTGGCTTCCCAGAGTGCTGGGATTACAGGCGTGAGCCACTGCACCCGGCCCGAGACTTGATTCTTGAAGCTGCACACAGGAATCTCACTTTGACAAACCCCCTAACACACACAAACCCCCACCACCGCTGCCACTGCTGGGACCCCTAATTAAAAATAATAAAAATAAATAAGTCAGCCAGGCACAGTAGCTCACGCCTGTAATCCATGCCTAGGATCCCAGGTGGACAGATCACTTAAGGCCAGGAGTTTGAAACCAAACTGGGCAACATAGCAAGACCCCATCTCTACAAAAAATTTAAAAATTAGCCAGGTATGGTGGCACACGCCTGTAGTCCCAGCTACTCAGGAGGCTGAGATGGGAGGATCACTTGAGCCCAGGAGTTTGGGGCTGCAGTGAGCCATGACGGCACTACTGCGCTCCTGCCTGAGCAACAGAGTGAAACTCTATTAAAAATATTAAAAATTTTTTTTAAAAGTTGTTCCTCTCACATAAAGACTGTAAGTCCGTCCCACATTGCCTGGATTTTTAACAGAGCAGTGATTCTCAGTGTGGTCCTGGGTCCCACAGCCAGCAGCATCCGCATCACTGGGGAATTCGTGAGAAATGCACATTCTCAGGCCTGTTGGCCTCCTGGAGAGGAGGCTCTGGGGTGGGGCCCAGCCATCGGCATTTAACAAACCCTCCAAGGGACCCGACACACACACCTTTGAGAACCAGGATGGAAAACATGCTTTTTCAACACACATTCCCTATCTCTGCACAGCAGGGGGACTGGATATTCTCCCACTCTGCAGATGAAAACACTAAAGCCCAGAGAGGTTAAGGGATTTGCCTAAAGTCAATCACCTGCCCCTCCCACACTACACACTTCAGAAATTTACCTGAGGGGGGGTTTCAGCAACCTTCCAGAGAATGTGGTTGCATTATAAATGCCACTTAATGAGAAAAATGAGCCCACCTCGGCTGGGCATGGTGGCTCACGCTGTAATCCCAGCACTTTGGGAGGCCGAGGCAGGCGGATCACCTAAGGTCAAGAGTTTGAGACCAGCCTGGCCAACATGGGGAAAACGCGTCTCTACTAAAAATACAAAAATTAGCTGGGAGTGGTGGCGGGAGCCTGTAGCCCCAACAACTCGGGAGGCTGAGACACGAGAATAGCGTGAACCTGGGAGGCAGAGCTTGCAGTGAGCTGAAATTGCACCACTGCACTCCTGCCTGGGCAACAGAATGAGACTCCGTCTCAAAAAAAAAAAAAAAAAAAAAAGAAAAGAAAGAAAGAAAAGAAAAGAAAAATAAGAAAAATGAGCCCACATCGGGAAAAATGCAGCCTGCTCCAAAGGGGGAAGAAGGGGAAAGAGCAAGATTTTCCAAGAGGATGTGCTGTACCTCCGGGCAGATCTCCAGAGGCTTTGAAATGATCAAAGAGAAATCAAAAGGGATGGGAAAAGGAGGAGAGGGAGAGGAGATGCAGCCGGAAGCAGCTAGCCTAGGCTCCTAAGAAGCCTGTAACTAATGCCCCCAAAGCTGTGCAACACTGCTTCCCCTAGAGTCCCCGACTGGGTACCCAGTGCTAGCCCCTGATGGGCCCGGCCCTTCCTGAAAGCATCCAGTGCCCTGTCCCCCTCCCCACTCCCCTGTGAAGGCTCAGGTCCCCCACCCCCCTCCACACTCACGCGATGCTGGTACTGCACTTCTCACAAGTGTGGAGCTTGGGAGGGGTGGCCAGGGCCCTGGAGGCGGGCAGGGAGGACTGGGGGCTCAGTGAGCTGGGCAAGAAGGCTGGCGTGCCACCTGGGGGCAGGGCAGACAGACATGTGGTGAGAGCCCACCAACCACAGCATCCTCCCAAAGATGCTCTGAGGAGGTGGTCTTGGAAAGCACCCTTATAAGAGAAACCCTAAAGTCACGCTGACAGTGGCACCAGGTAAGGAGGAAGGTGATCTTGCCAGATCCATGGCTGAGGCTGGGCAAGGGCATGAAGGAGGCAGGTACAAGGCCGAGTTTGCCCATCCAAGGCCACCTGGGGCCATCTGTGCTCAGTGTCAGGTGAAGCAGGTGCTCCCTCTCTAATGACCTGGTAATAACAGTGTGATTAGATAATAACTGGAGATGGCAACAGGAGCGCAATGCCTCGGTGTGGCTTTCAAAGTGCTTTTCCATGCCTTGTCACATCTGAGCTCTCAAGCCACACGAAGATGAAGCCCAGGGCTACGGGGCAGCTGTCGCCCGTCTGCAGCTAAGGACGCTGAGGCCTCCTTGGCAAAGTCACTGCTCTCTCCCTGTGCTGCCTCCTGGGACCTTCTGAGGCCTCAGGGTCAAAACAGACCAGATTTGCTCCAAACCTTCTCACCCCACCCCCTGTGCCTCTGCAAATGCCCCTTGGAGCTAAACATCAGCGTTAGAACCAGCCACCTGCCAATCTCCAGGTGTGCCCTGTCCATATGGCCTCTTACATTTGCTCCCAAAATGGAAATCTCACCTTCAACCTCACAGTTGTTCCTGGAGGCCAGTTTCCAGCCTGCATCTCTGTACTCCCCACTCCCCTGCTCCCTTTCCATTGCCACCCCAATGGGACTCAACTGAGGTCCAGGAGCCCACACCAGCCACTGGGAAGGAGAGCCTTGGAGACAGCCAGGCGGGCCAGTGCCCAGGGCCAGGGGCACCATTTCCTGGGAAACCAGCTTCTCTCCATTTTAAAATTCAAAGTCATAGATGAATTATGAAGCCTCTCTGGCCACTCTCCTACCTGTCCTGTCATCTCCCTCCCCTTCTCCCCACTGTTCTAGAGGGCATTGGTGCTGAGCACCTTAAGGACAGGGGCTGTGGGAGTAGTAACTCCCACAGCAGCGCTCACTTCCATGGGAGCTGGCCAGGCCCATCTGCCCCAATGAACGGAGCTCCCCAAGGGCAGGAGTGGGGTCATGGCCACCTATCCCCAAACTCTGCACACATCTGGTCCCTCAGATGGGCACAGTCAGTGTCTGTCACATGAATAACGGAACTCTGGCAAGCCTCCGTATGTCTTGCTCGCCTGGCATCAGTATTTAATGGCTTTCCTGGGTTAGGGCACTCCTCAGCCTGATTCCCTTCCCGAGGGCCCTCACTGCAGGGGCTTGGCCTCCACTGGCGCCCTTTCATGCTATCAGGCCCCCATTCTCTCACTCCCACACCCCAAAGCCCTCTGGCCGCCAGCCTCCACCTTCCACAGTGCTTCCTGCCACCCTCTTAATGCTGTTTAAGTCTTGATGTTTTTTCTAAGGCCAAGAGGCCAAGTCAAATCCCTCTTCCTCCAAGAAGCCCTCCCTGGAGGCCCAGCCCCAGGCCCTGCCACCGCTTTTATCACTCGAATGACACTTTCCCATCCCAGCTGGCTACTGCCCACTACTCTGTGGGAGCACGCTGGTGACCCTCCCGGACCCTCCCGGACCGTCAGCTCCTTATGGGCAGGGGCTGGGGCTTCGCGCTCTGCTCGGCTCCGTGCCTAGTCCTGGGGTGAGCACCTCACAGGCACTTAAGAACACTGGTTCACTGACCCATCCAGTCAGGGCCCGGGGTACGGAAGGGAACCTCCTTCCCCTCCCCAGCCCCCCAGACCCTCACCTCTCTCCTCAGCCTCCAGGGCTTCCTGCAAGAGCCGAAAGGAGCTGGACTGTCGGGGGGCCGCCCGTCCCTCGCGATTTTCCTGCAGCATCTTGAAGACTTCCGAGTCCTCGTCCAGGAGGAGGCTTCCCCCTTCCGAGTCCATGCTGCAGGGTGGGAGGCAGCCAGGAATGAGGGTCCCGTGCCGGAGCTTAGGCAAGCAAGGGGGTGGGGGGCAGGAGAAGAGCGTGGGGGAGGGGGAGGAATCTGGGAGGTGGAGGAGCCAACTGGGCTTGGGGGACCCCATCCCTCTCGGGGAAGCCCGTCTCCCTCCTGCCCCTCCCAGCCTTCCAAGACCCCAACCCGACCCTCCGGGGCCTGCTGGTACCTGGGCCTGGAGGAACGAGGGCCCGGGGAAGGCGGCAGCACCAGCACCGCCGAGTCGCCAGCGCGGCCGAGGCCGGCCTGTTGGGAGGAGGCAGCCGGGGAGGAGTCAGGGCCAGAGCCTTGGGCCAACACACCCAGGAGGGCCTAGCCCGGCTGTTCCCAGGCCCGACACCAGGGGGCCCCCGGCCCTCGCCGACCAGCGGACCCCTGCCCCTTCCCTTGGAGCCAAGGTGTCGGGGGCTCCCAGCCCTCGCCGACCAGCGGGCCCCCTGCCCCTTCCCTCGGAGCCAGGGCGCAGAGACTGCCAGGGTCCAGAGAGGGAGGGAGGCATGCGGGTTCTGCCGGGGACCGGGCAGCAGGAAGGCAGCAGGTGACAGCTAAGCACAGAGTCCTCTGTCACGCACGCTATTATCTGTGTGCAAAGACATTGCACACTGGGGCCTGGCTCCGATCCCACGGAACCAGCAGAGAGGAAGCACGCTGCCCTTTTGCACTGAGGAGATAGAAACATAAAGGGATGAAGCAAGGGGTCGAAGTCCCCTGGGAGTCAGGGCCGGCCAGGGCAGAGGCCCTCTTCCCAAGGAGAGCTGGTTCCTCTCCTCAGAGGCGGGAGTCTGGGCTAACCAGCCTGTCCCTACTCTGCTGGGAGGTCTGGGCCTGCCCCGTGGAGCTTTGGGGAGCCGAGCCCTCCCTGGGCCACACTCAGGCAGCAGTGCCTGTCTCCAGGTGTGCCGTGTCCATCTGGGGCTCTTAAATTTGCTCCCAACATGGAAATCTCGCCTTCAACCTCACAGTTGTTCCTGGAGGCCAGTTTCCAGCCTGCATCTCCGTACTCCCCACTCCCCTGCTCCCTTTCCGTTGCCACCCCAATGGGACTCAGCTGAGCTCCCGGAGCCCGCACCAGCCACTGGGAAGGAGAGCCTTGGAGACAGCCAGGTGGGCCGATGCCCAGGGCCAGGGGCACCATTTCCTGGGAAGCCAACTTCTCTCCATTTTAAAATTCAAAGTCATGGATGAATTATGAAGCCACATGGAAAATTGCACACATCCTTAAGCTAAAGCAAAAACTTCTGGATCTTAAGAAAACAACCCTAGACCCTCACCCCACCAGGCTGCTACCAGCAGTTGGCCTCGCATCCCTCTGCTCTCAGGGTTCTCCAGTAAAACGTTCTATAGGTAAGGAGACTGCAGGTCAGAAGGGCAAAGTAGCTGGTCCAAGCCACCTGCAGCATCAGAGGCAGGGCTGGGACTCCACACCTGGGCTCCAGGGCAACTGCCCGGGGCTGTGCGGTCACCTGAAGGACCTAGAGATAGTTTCCGCAGGAATTCACGAGCCACATCACATCTCCAGACAGACCACCATGGGCCCTGCCTAGGGCACCGGCCCGGGATCCCTTCATGAGGCAAGTCCTCATTCCCAACCAGAGGGAGAGGGGCTTTTTTCACTTGGCCTCTGCTCACCAAGGCATGTGCCTACCAGCAGGGGGAACCTGTAATTTCCAGAGGCACTATAAGGGCATCCTGAGCCTCCAGCTCTCTGCAGCCTTGGCCATGTCAGGAGGCCACAAGGACACAGCACCCCTGCCTCTGCAGCCCACAGCATTCCTCTCACACACTCCCACCAGACTGCCCAGCCCAGAAAAGGAGACCAGCTCCCCGACTGGGAGAGACAATGTCTTTCTCTCCTTCCTTTCCTCCCAGGCGGTTAGGGGTTAGCGACCCTTGCCTTCACAGAAGAGACCTTTTATCTCCAAATCCAGGAAAGCTGCTCCCCCTTCACCTGCCCATCATGAGCTTGTCTGTAGCCAACACCTCTCGAAATGTGTGCTGGGGAACGCAAGGATGTTCCTGGGGGTGGGGCAGGGCAGGGCAGGGGGTCAGGGGTAGAAATTCAGGAGAAATTCTGCTGTTCAACAAGTTTAGGATATAAAGAAAAATTAAGTGGGTTTCTTTCTCATGGGACCTCTTAGAGCCTTTAAGACTCTCAAGTATAAGCGATT